>NC_000018.10:78455151-78756506 GCF_000001405.40 Homo sapiens
AGTGGCTCCTTCCATGACATCAGAATCATCCACGCCGTCTGTCAGCCCAAGCCCCAAACTTCAACTTGGACCCCGTGCATTCTCTTCTTCTTCTGGTGGCTAACACTAGACAGCAGGCAGATGCAGGCGTCTTTCACATGTCTGCCGAGCAGCCATGGCTACACTAATTAAGGCCTTCAGCTCCTATGAAGACCGAAATCAAGCGGCTTAGAAGCAAAGCATCCACATCCCCTGGAGTCTTTCCTGAGTGCAAGTCCTCAGGGCCCCAGGAAGGGTTGTGAGGGTTGTGAATTACTATCTGAAAATAATAGCAACACAAAGTACAGACATTACTGTGACAGCCTGTGCTTTTTGTTTAAAGGGCAAAGTGTATGAAATCGTTTATTTGTATCAGCAAGCTTTGCTTGAATCTGATAAATGCATCCATCGTTTTCTAAATGCACATTTGCCTATGTCCAGGCTGCGACAAGAAAGCAGCTTTGGCTGAGACTTCCTGGGAGAGGGTGGAACAGTAGAAGCGACATGCTCAGAAAGTCATCAGACCCAGCCTTGGGAGCTGCTGTAGTCCTCACACTTAGATCCCAAAGGGAAACCTCAAATCTCAGCTGGCATTTGCCGCCTTATCTTAGTTAATATTTCAACCACCACCTCTCTATGAAAATAATTCTTCTGTGACTGGTGTGATTGTTTTTTCTTAAAATATTTTTAAAAATACATTCTTAATTGCCATTCCAGCTCTGGTGTAAAATTATACCATCTCTATTCATTATCATTTTAATTTAATGTTTTAACAGGATTTGCCTTGCACTCTTTGTCAGTCAACATCTAACAGAGCAGATAGAGACAAAACGAGCATTCAGCATTTCCTGCAATGGTTTCCATAGGCATTTTTATTCTACCAATATGTTTAGGAAGAGTAATATACTGGTCTACATGAGTTTATTTGCCTTTCTCTGCGGGTAATTAACAGTAGAGGGGGTAGGTCTGAGTTAACTATTAATAGTTTAGAAGTAAACCTGAATTTCAAAAACAACACATTATCAGACACAGTAAAAACCTGATTCTTCCATTTATTTTAAGAACTTATCAATGAATGGAAATTTCCAACTGTGTCAGACTACTGAACAATTGTGTTTTCCCAGCTGATGTTCATTTATGCTGCACACTGCTGTATACCTGTATTGCTGTCTAACAGTGTTAATTTCTTCTAACCATACGGGGTATAGGAAAAGAACTTTTCATGATGTCCCTGAGCCATCAGGCACAGTCTGTGTTCACAGAAATTGTTTTAGCATTTAACTGAAGTGCTGTTGCCTAAAAGTGGGAAGTTCACAGGGAGCAAAAACAATTTATGCAGCAAGAAAGAACTCCCCACTCATGGTTATGTTAAGCAAGGCAGCCGGGACCCACTGATACTGCTTGTGGTGCACACGGAGAGGAATGGGAGGAAAGGGCTGAACCGGCCCAGTGCCCAGCTCACTCCTTGCACACACATGCACACACACAGCATGCCCTGCAAGCTCTTCCTCCAGGCCCAGGCCCCGCTTTGCACACTAAGGAGTCATCCCCTTCACATCTTCAATCCTCACAAAACCTCAGCCACACAACAATACACTCCCTTCCCCACTGTGGAAACATACAGAGAGGTGGAGTGACATTGCAAAGTCACACCGTTGTCATGCAGACAGGGGATGTGGAGGTGGACCCAGGCGGAGTGCACAAAATGCCCAGTGATTTTTAGCTTATTGCATATCACCCGTAAACTCAGTCCTCCCCTCCTCTCTCCTTCATTTAGTATTTCCTAAAATAATGCAGAAATATGTAAAGTGGAGAAATAAGAAATAAGAAGATTCCTGTGAGCAGAACGAAAGCAAATAAGAAAGACACAGAGTGAGATGCCCAGAAGTCATAGCATCCCCACGTGTGGAACCTGTTTTTTGGCCACCTTATTCTGTTGGGGGAGGGGCCCTGCCAGCCGCATCCCCCCTGCTGCCGGGCCCTGCTCTTGCCTCCGAATCTAGGCGTTTGGCCTAATTTTGCCACCTGTCACCGTGTGAGCCACCCCCGGCCTTTGCACTTAGCTCACAAATAACACTCGCCCTGAAATTCTCATAGGAATGCAGGAAGAGCCAGAGACACAGGCTTTGAAAGAAGAAAATAAGCTCAACACAGATGGAGTCATCGCCACTGCTCTGAGGCCTCCTCGGGGCCCAGGCCTCCTGACACCAATGTCTCTACCAGGGACGGGACCTGGGGCGGGGCCTGCTCCTTCCTCCATGCCGTGTGCTTGCTTTTGATGAAACACATTGGTCACCCCAGAGAACTCAGCCCTCAGAACACCTCAACAGAAGTTCATGGAAGATATTATTTTGGTAATAATAGTGGGTTTTGCTGTTGTTGTTAAAACAAACCTTCCTTCTACTTACATACCCTCATGGTGACCGTAGAGAAGAGTTTCTGCAACATGCCCTATTAAATCATTTTGTTAGTAGGACGTTCAAAAACGACCCTTGGAAACTTGGGTATCCTTGCCTTCTATGTAAAAGCAGCTTTCTCCATGAGGCTTCCATGGAGCCCCCAGCATCTCATACTGGGGTAATCAGGATCAGTTTTTTAAGACAGGGAGTGGAAGTGGCCGTGCCAGTGCACGACGCCCCCAGGATTAAATAATGAGGGGCACTGTCGCTGCCACAGGCTATTGAGGAAACTGACGCTGTGTGGTGGCTTCGCCATCAGAGACTGGGTTTCCTTTTGTTATTGGGGTTACGCCAACCTCACACACAGCTTCTCTTCCTGTGTCTCTTCTGACTGAAGCCACAGCAGCCTCTAGCTGGCTTCAAACACTGCTTACAGATAGTTACTGTCCAACAACTATGCTGCATTTTGATGAAAAGTTTATGACACTACAAATTGCTAGAAATCACCACCCTTTAATTACATGTACATACTGTATTAACAAAAGACATCTTAAAGCAAGATCTGCAGACGAGGATCAGGTCCAATCCGAGGGCCCTGAGAGCTCAGTGCTCCTTGGCCACTGTCTAGCAAGACTGAGTTGGGAGATGACTCCGCATTCTGGAGAGATCTGAAGAGATGTGTGCACCAAGGTTCTTCTCTGAACCTGGGAAGGAGGCAAGCAGGGGAGGGGGGCGCAGACAATGGGCCCCAAGGCTGCAGTGGAGCCCCCCACCCATACCCCTCCCTGTGCAGGGTGTGAAGCTGCCCGCCCCTGCCACTAGAGTCACCCACTCACTGTGTCGAGATGTAATTTATAGACCATCAGATGTGCTCATTTTAGTTGTACAATTCAATGATTTTTAGTAAGTCCACAGAGCTGTGCAACCACTATCGCAATTGAATTTGAGGACATCCTTATCACCCTAGAAAGACAGCTGGCAGGCATCTGCAGTCACTTCCCGTACCCAATCCCAGGCCCCAGGCACTTGCCCACTTTTAAAAGTACAATTTCCAAATCCCACTGCAGACTTTGTGAATCAGGGTGTCTGGGGCTGAATTCTGATGCATCCATGTTCTCAAACCTCTTTGGGGAGAGGAGGATCCTTGACCCAGGATGTAAGAACCTCCCCAGCAAGCAAGGGAAGCTTTGTGTCTGCCTGGAGAGAGAGGACTCAGAGAGACACAGTTCACGGTAAAGAGTTCATGGGAATGTGGATTAGGGTATCGGAAATTCTTCAGCTTGCATAGGCAACAGAGTCCTTGAGTCCAGGTGGTGTGGCTTTGTTCACATGTGCACTTCTCACAGCGGTTTACATCACAACGACACTCTTCAATGTGGGGTAAATCTTATAAAAATGTCAAACCTAGCAAGATTATTTCCTAAACTATATATTTTGTTCACGTGTGCACTTCTCACAGCGGTTTACATCACAACGACACTCTTCAATGTGGGGTAAATCTTATAAAAATGTCAAACCTAGTAAGATTATTTCCTAAACTATATATTTTGTTCACGTGTGCACTTCTCACAGCGGTTTACATCACAATGACACTCTTCAATGTGGGGTAAATCTTATAAAAATGTCAAACCTAGTAAGATTATTTCCGAAACTATATTTTTTGACTCAATGTTAGAATCTATTTGAAAACTCTTTAGTTTTTTTCTGTAAAGCTCCAAAGTTTAATAATTTGAATCTAAATTACAACCAAACATCATAAGCACTGCACCTCCCAAACCAGCACACTCCCTATCCTTGTAAAAGCCAAATGAGTTCATCATAATTAATGCTATAGAACAAACCCTGCATAATAATAATTAACCACATATTGTTAAGTGCTATCAAAAATGCATGGCATTTAATTAGCTTGAAACAACACTCTCTGCATATTACAAAATGAACTAATGTCGTTCTTCGGATGATCATTCTTCAGCAGGAAGTACTTCTGCTAACAGTCTTTTAATGTATTTATTAGTACTTCAATAATATTGAAGTACTGCACTAGCAATTTAGCTCAAATATTCCATTTCAATTAAACATTTGACCTCTTTGAACTCCCTGGAATTAGGGATTGGTTTGTAATTATGCCATTTGTGGGCACAGTATAATATAATAATAATCCAGAGTTTTATTGTTTTAGTACCTAATGTAGATGCTCTGTATAATGAAAGATTTCCAACATGTTGGTACCAGTTCCCTCAGGGGTGGAACAGGCTATAATGTCACTCGAGGTCATAAGAGAAAAATTTGGCAACGGCAGATACATGAGGCAAGAAGTCCAAGTCAGCAAACTTGCATTCTACCGCCAAGCCAGGCAGAAACTTGCAATGTTTGCTCAAGCAAGCTTGTCTCTCCTCTGAGTATTCCTCTTCTGTGACATGGGATAATATTGCTGGATTCATTTTCACTCCCAAAACTTCTATGAAGCTATACCAGTCTAAAATTTGCATGTAAAAGACTTTGTGCTAATTGATACAAACAACCTTAGTAAAATGTTAGATTATGACACGATCCTTTGTAGGAAGAATTCTCATGATTCTATTTTTATTCTAAAATGAAAATAAAACATCGTAAAGATGAGTGGGAGGATTTGCTAAATTTAATAAAATACTGTTTTAATTAAATACTGATTTAATAAAATACTGTTTATTAAAAGTCATATTAGCAACTACTACTTATAAGTAAATCACACAGCTGTGCACTTACGTATCCTGCTTTGAATAAGTAAGCAGGGAAGAAAATCTGTTGAACGTCTATTCAACATGGCAGTTTGGGATCCTAGGTTGTACTGCCTTCCCCTAAAGTGTCGTGTTAGTTGCCATTACCCATCGACTATGTCAGGTATGAGTGAGGCTCTGAGTATAATCCATCCTTTCTATCTGTGGACCTGGGAAACCAGGAAACAAATTACTTGCTCTCAAAATACAATGATGTCATGAGCAGAGGGTATTAGTTAGGTATCCTGATTTACAGGGGAGAATATGGGAGAAAAAAAGGAGTAACTGGTCCCAAGCAATTTCAAAATGAGAAATTGCATTAGGTTCTGAGGTCTGGGACACATTCCTGTCACCAGGGCTCTGCCCTGAGCCCTTTTCCTTTCTTATGAAAGATAGTGTTTATTTGCTGCTGAGTGATTTTATTCATCTGTTTCCTGCCTTCTTTCATGTTGTCCTGTCTGTTCCTTCTGGATCCAGCTGGCAGCGTTTCTGCTGATCCAAAATTCTAGAACTCTGTGGCTCTCCCACATCAGTCCCTGGGACTCCTGCTATTACACAAGGGGCTCGTCCATAGGTCTTTCCCACACAGCCCCATCTCTGTTTGGCTTTTGCCGAGATGGCTGAGGGACAATGCCTTCAGCTTTCTCTTGCCCTATGGTTTGATTGAAGGAGAAACCTAGGCCACACCCTTAATCTCTTCAAAGAGCGCCTGAGTGACCGACCCTCCAATCTTTGATCTTTCTGAGGTTTTAGTGAAAGATTGTGCTGCCACACCTCAGCTTCTTCTCTGGAGGTCTCTTTCCAGATAAAGACCTTAACTCTAGTGTGTTTTGCAATCTGGATAGGCTGAGCATTTTCCAAATTATCAAGATTTAGTTCATTTTCATTTAATAATTTTTCGCTCAATTTATCTTTCTCTTCTTGCATTTTACTATAAGCAGTAGCAAGGAGAAACAGGCTATCATCTCCACACTTTGCTTGGAATTTTTCTCGCTGAGTGTTTCATGGTGTTCACACTCTTCTTGCCACAAAACTGCAGGACACGAATCCACCAAGCATCTGGCCCCTGCGTAACAAGGACCTTCTCAGGTGCAGTAGTGTGCTCTTCCCTCCCGCTGAGCCCTCACCCCAGCATCCTCCTGCCTGGATTCTATGAGCCGTCTGCAAGACCTGGCCAGTTGCATCCTTATGGCACCCCCTGCATCGGCAATGGTGGCAATAGAGCGTTCGGTCATCAGGCAGCATCCCTCCAGCCCTCCCGCTGCCTCCCTCTTCCTCTTCTGAAGAGCTCATGTGAGTAGAGCCCACCTAGTAATCCAGGACACTCCCTAGTTTACGGTCAGCTCATGTACAGCATTGATTCCATTGGCCAACTTCATTCTCTTTTGCCACGTTCCCTGACGTGTTCACAGGTTCCAGGACCAGGATGTGGACATCGTTGGGGTGGGGGGCATCATCCTGCCTACCACACAGATATTTCCTCTTGTTATTATTTTCTTTAATGGATACATAATTGTGCATATTTATGGGTCACAGTGTGATATTTCAATACCTGTGTATAATGTGCAATGATCAAATCAAAATTAGCATATCCATCATCTCAAACAATTATCATTTCTTTGACTTGGGAACATTCAAAACCTCTCTTCTAGCTATTTGAAGATACAGAATAAATTGTTATCTATAATCACTCCACAGTGCGATAGAACACTGGAACATATTCCTCCTATCTGCCTTTAATTTAGTATCTGTTACAAACCTACCTCCTCTAGCACTCCCATACCCCTGACCCTTCTTAGCCTCTGGTAATCACTATTCTGCTCTCTACTTCTATGAGCTCCACTTATTTAGCTTCCACATATGAGTGAGAACATGCAATGTTTATCTTGCTGTGCCTGGCTTGTTTCTCTTAACAGAATGTCTTCCAGGCTCCTCTGTGTTGCTGCAAATGACAGGATTTCAGTCTTTTTTGTGGCTGAATAGTATTTTATTGTGTATATATATCACATTTTTCTTTTTTACTTTAAGTTCTGGGATACATGTGCAGAACGTGAAAGTTTGTTACATAGGTATACATGTGCCACGGTGGTTTGCTGCACCTATCAACCCATCATCTAGGTTTTAAGCCCCACATGCATTAGGTATTCGTCCTAATGCTCTCCTTCCCCTCTGGCCCCAACCCCTGACAGTCCCCAGTATGTGATGTTCCCCTCCCTGTGTCTATGTGTTCTCATTGTTCAACTCCCACTTATAAGTGAGACTATGTGGTGTTTGGTTTTCTGTTCCTATGTTAGTTTGCTGAGAATGATGGCTTCCAGCTTCATCTATGTCCCTGCAAAGGACATAAAGTCATTGTTTTTTATGGCTGCATAGTATTCCATGGTGTATATGTGCCACATTTTCTTTATCCAGTCTATCATTGGTGGACAAAGGCCTAATATTCAAAATCTACAAGGAACTTAAATAAATTTACAAGAAAAAACAAACAACCCTATCAAAAAGTGGGCAAAGGATATGAACAGTCACTTCTCAAAAGAAGACACTTATGTGTGGCCAAGAAACATGAAAAAATGCTCAACATCACAGGTCATTAGAGAAATGCAAATCAAAACCACAATGAGATACCATCTCATGCCAGTAAGAATGGTGATTATTAAACAGTCAGGAAACAACAGATTCTGGCAAGGCTGTGGAGAAATAGGGACACTTTTACACTGTTGGTGAGAGTGTAAATTAGTTCAACCATTGTGGAAGACCATGTGGCGATTCCTCAAGGCTCTAGAACCAGAAATACAATTTGACCCAGCAATCCCATTACTTGGGATATACCCAAAGGATTATAAATCATTCTACTATAAAGACACATACACACGTATGTTTATTGCAGCACTATTTAAAATAGCAAAGACTTGAAACCAATCTATATATAACATTTTTTAATCAATTTATCTGTTGGTCGACAATTAGGTTTATTCTATACCTCAGCTATTGTGAATGGTGCTGCAATAAACATGGGGGTGCAGCCATCACTTCAGTACACATGTTTTCCTTTCTTTAAACACATTTTCCTTTCTTTGGTATATACCTAGTAGTGGGATTGCTGGATTATATGGTAGCTCTATTTTATAGTTTTTTGAGGAAACTCTTTACTGTTTACCATAGAGGTTGTACTAATTTACATTCCTACCCATTTCACCTCCTCACCAACATCTGTTATTATTTGTATTTTTGATACTAGCCATTCTAACTAGGATAAGATAATACCTCATTGTGACTCTGAGTTGCATTTCCATGATTATCAGTGATAGTGGAAATTTTTTCATTTACCTATTGGCCAGGTGATTTTTTTCATTTACTTGTTGTGTGCATTCTTGTGAGAAGTGCCTGTTCAGGTTCTTTGCCGATTTTTTGATGAGATTTTCTTTTCTTCTTCTTCTTTTTTCAGTTTTATTTTTTGCCATGAATTGTTTGAGTTCGTTGTATATTCTGAGTAGTAATCCCTTGTAAGCAGATAATACTTTGCAAATATTTCATCCCATTTTGAAATTTTCTTTCCTCTGTTAATTGCTTTCTTCCATGTAAAGAAGGTTTTTAGTTTGATGTAATCGCATTTGTCCACCTTTCTTTTTGTTGCCTGTGCTTTTGAAGTTTTATCCATAAGTTCTTTACTTAGACCAATGTCCTGAGGCATTTTTCTCTGTGTTCTCTTCTAGTAGCTCCACAGTTTCAGGTCTTACATTTAGATCTTTATTTCACTTTTGAGTTGATTTTTGTGTATGGTGAGACATATGGGTCCAGTTTTGTTCTCCTGCATATAAATATTCAGTTTATTAAAGAGACTGTCCTTTCCACAATGTATGTTCTTGCTGCCTTTGTTGAAAATCAGTTGGTTGTAAATAATACAGATTTATTTCTGTGTTCTCTATTTTGTTACATTGGTCTGTCTGTTTTTATGCCAGTACCATGCTGTTTGGGTTCTTACAGCTTTGTGGTATATTGTGAAATCAGGTAGTGTGATACCTCCAGCTTTGTTCTGTCTGCTCAGAATTGATTGGCTATTTGAGGTATTTTGTGGTTCTGTATGAATTTTAGGATATTTTTTCTATTTGTGTGGAGAATATCATCAGTGTTTTGATGGGGATTCCATTTAATCTATATACTGCTTTCGGTAATATGGTAATTTTAACATTATTTATTCTTCCAATTCATGAACACAAGATGTCTTTCCATTTTCAGTGTGTGTTTGTCTGCTTCAATCAAATTGATCAGAGTTTTATAATTTTCACTGTAGAGATCTTTCACCTCCTTGGTTAATTTATTCCTAGGCACTGTAAATTTGTGTTTGTATTGTAAATGGAATTGCTTTCTTGATTTCTTTTTAAGCTAGTTTAAGCTAGTTCATCGTGCATTTATAGAAACAGTACTGATTTTTGTATATTGATTTTGTATCCTACTTCTTTCCTGAATTTGTCTGTAAGTTCTAACAGCTTTTGATGGAGTGTTTAGGCTTTAATATATATAAGACTAGTTCATCTGCAAACAGAGACAATTTGACTTCCTCCTTTCCAATTTCTATGTCCTTTATTTCTTTCTATTTCCTTAATTACTCTGGCTTGAACTTCCAGGACTATGTTAAGTAAGAATGGTAAAAGTAGTCATCCTTACCTTATTTCAGTTCTTAGAGAAAAAGCTTTCAACTTTTCCCCAACGATGATAGCTGTGGGTTTGTCATAGATGATCTTTATTGTGTTGAGGTACATTTCTTCTATATATAATTTTTTTTATCATGAAGGAACATTGAATTGTATTACATGACAATTCTTCATCTGTTAAGATGATCATAGAGTTTTTATCTTTCACTCTGTTGATGTGATATAACATGTTTATTAATTTGCATGTGTTGAACCGTCCTTGCATTCCTAGGATAAATTCCATTTGATCATGTTATATAATTTTTGGATGTGCTGTTGGATTCAGTCTGCATTTTGTTGTGGATTTTCCATCAATGTTCATCAGGAATATTGGTCTGTAGTTTTCTTTTGTGTGTGTACGTGTCCTTGTGTGGTTTTGATATCAGGTTAATGCTGGCCTCATAGACTGAATTTGGAAGAATTCTCTTCTCTTCAAGTTTTTGGAATAATTTTAAAATAATTGGTGTTAGTTCTTTAAATGTTTAGTAGAATTCAGCAATGAAGCCACCCAGTCCTGGATTTTCTTTGTTGGGAGATTTTTTTTTTATTACTGCTTCAATCTTATTATCTGTTATTGATCTGTACAGATTTTCTATTTATTCCTTGTTTAATCTTGGTAGGTTGTATATGTCCAGGAAATTAACATTTATTCTAGATTTCTTAATTTATTGGCATATAGTTGTTTATGAGTCTTTATTGAGCCTTTGCATATCTGTAATATCAGTTGTAATGTCTACTTTTTTGTTTCTGATTTTATAAATTTGAGCTTTCTCTCTCATTTTCTAGCAAGAAATTTATAAATTTTGTCTGTCCTTTCAAATGCCAACTTATTGTTGATCTTTTTTCTTAGTCTCTATGTTGTTTATTTCTGCTTTGGGTCCTCATTAGATCTTTCCCTCCACTAATTTTTGTTTAGTTTCTTCTTGCTTTTCTGGTTTCTTAGTGTGCATCTTTAGGTTGTTTATTTTAAATCTTTTTTTTTGTATATAAATGTTTATTTCTATAAGTGCCCCCACTTAGTACTGCTCTTGCTGTGTCACATGTTTTGGTATGTTGTGCTTCTATTTTCATTTGTTTTACAAAATTTTTTACATGTTTAAGTTTCTTTTTTGACTCGCTGTCTGATCATGGGCATGTTGTTTGATTTCCATGTATTTTTACCGTTTCCAGTCTTCCTCTTTTTATTCATGTCTAGTTTTATTCCACTGTTGTCAGAACAAATACTTGATAAGATTTCCTTTATAAAAAATTTGTTGATACTTGTTCAGTGGCCTAATATTTGGTCTTTCCTACAGAATGTTCCATGTGCTGGTGAGAAGAAAGTTCATTCTGTTACTGTTGGATGAAGTGTTCTGTAAATATCTGTTAGGCTCATTTGTTCAGCAGTGCAGTTTAAATCCAATATTTCTTGGTTGACTTTCTGTCTTTATAACTTTTCTAATGCTGATACTGGGGTATTGAAGTCCCCAGCTATTCTTATTATATTTGGAATCTGTCCCCTCATTTAGATCTATTAATATCTGCTTTATATACCTGAGTGCTTTGGTGTTGATGTATATGTTTTTAGAATTGTTAGGCTTTCCTGCTGAATTGATCCCTTTATCGTATAAAATTGCATTATTTTTCTCTTTTTATAGTTTTTGACATAAAGACTATTTTATCTGATATAAATAAGCCACTCCTGCTTATATTTGATTTACATTTTTCTGAAATATGTTTTTTCATCCCATCACTTTCAGTTTATGTGTATTTTTACAGGTTAAGTGGTAGGCAGCATATAGTTGGTAGGCAGAATATAGTTGAATCTTATTTTTAATGTATTCATCAGTCTGTATTTTTAATTGGAAAATTTAATCTACTTACATTCAAGGTTATTATTTATAGAAGAGAACATACTCCTGCTATTCTGTTCATTGTTTCCCAGTTGTTTTGTATATCTTTTGTTCCTTTCTTCCTCTTATTATTTATCTTTGTGATTTTGTGGGGTTTCTTATAAGGATAAGGTTTGAATTTTTTATCTTCCTCATATATATATATGTGTGTGTATATATATGTGCGTGTGTATGTATATATCTATATCTATATATATATATATATATATACATGTACACATCTGCTCTACCAGTGACTTTTTACTTTCATGTGTTAACATGATGTAAGTTATCTGCTTTTGCTTCTAGAAGAGGGACTCTCTTAAGTATTTCTTCTAAGGCTGATCTAGTGGTAACAAATTCTCAGGTTTTGCTTGTGTGGGAAAGACTGAATTTCTCCTTCATTTTTGGAAAACAGCTTTTCTGGATATAGTATTCTTGACTGCCAGGGATTTTTTTCTTTTAGTACTTTGACTATATCATCCCATTTTCTCCTGACCTGTAACGTTTCTGCTGGTGAGTTTAAATTTCTGCTGGGACTTTTTCCTGTAAATGTGTCCTGTAGTGTCAGCTGGCTAGGGAGCTTTGGTTTGGTTCTGGGTGGGCACAGAAGTGTAGTCTCAGGAGATTTATTTATTGGTAATCAACATCAGCTGTGTCTGCAACTGCTTCAGTGGCCTAAACTGTGGGTATGTGTGTAGGAAGTGGTGCAAATTTGCTGAGGGTGGAGGCCGCCATTCAGGCTGAGTCCTAAGCCCTTAAAGGGACATGTACCTGGCATGGTGGCACCGCCAGTTTTGAGGGTGGTATTGCCCATGGAAGTGGGCACTGAGAGGCTACTTTTTGGTCCCCACAGGGCACATGCAGTGTACAGTGGCTCTGTACCTGGAGGGGGCTGGGTTGCTGGTAATAGGCACCAGTCGGGGGCAGTCCTCAGTGTTTGTGGGTGTGCATAGAACTCAGCAGTTTCACTTCTAAATAGAGTAGGATCACCAGTGTCAGACCCCAAGGGGTGCATCCAGTGCACAATGGCTCCACCTTTGGAGGAAGTAAATTTGTCAGCAGTGATGGGCAGGCCACTCCTTGGTCTTCAGGGAATGTGCAGGGTATACATCAGCTCTGCCTCTGGATAGGGAAGGGTCACCTTGTGTCCCCAGTGGGCATGTGTGACTTGCAGTACCTTTGCCACTGGAGGAAGTAAGGTTGTAGGTGGTGATGGGTACCAGGTGGTTGGCTCTAGATCTCTGGGGGAACACATACATCACCTTCCCCAGTCCTGGGGTGACCTTCCTGCTGTGACTGTCTGTTGCCTGGAGGGTATGATGCTGCCTGGGCTTGAGTGCTAGGGTCACAGCAGTACTGTTGAGTCTAGTTGGAATTGTAGTGTTGCAGCCTTCTGGATGGGTGTGGTGGGATATTGACAGGGCCCCAGAAATGTGGAGATGCAAGCACTATTAGTCCCCAGGGCAGAATGCGATACAGCAGTGGATCAGTTCTGAAAATGCAGCCATGCCATAGCAGCTTGGGTCCTGGGGAGTTGTGTGGATTCAGCCTGTGCCCCTTCTCTGGAGTAATACAGACACGTGGACTCTAGGCTGTTGCTCATACTAGGCTCAGGGCCTGTGAAAACAGTGAGGCTCTCCTGTAGCTAGTATTTCAGATATCCTCGGTGACAATGGGGGGCTCTTCTAGTTGGCCATTTTGATCTCTCTTGTCCTGGAGCAGTTACTCTTGTTATTCTAACTTTCATATTAGAACAAAAACAAGGGACAAAATTGTATTCCACTCATGGAAAGACTGTGTCCACAAATGGGCTAGGAATAGTTCAAAGGTACTATTTTAATACTGATGCCTGCAGAGGTAATTTCTTTACCTGCATCTAGGGAAAATCTCTATTTTTTTCCTACCCTCACAGGCAAACATCTTGAGTTAGTTTTTATGTGGTCTGGGAGTTAGGAGTCCATCTGTATGAATCAGGATCCTTCAGAGAAACAGAAATAAATGGGATTTTAGGTGTAAGAAATAATATAATTTATGTAGTACACATAAGAAATATATAAGCAATATAAGAAATATATACAATATAAGGAGTAATATGCATATTATGATAAACAATATGTATAGAATAATGTATACACTATATATAATATTAGGCATACTATATAATATATAGCTATATGAAATAAAATCCTACATATATTCCTTAGAGTATATATTCCTTGTGTATACTGTATTTAGTGTATATAAAGCATATATATAAGAAATATATTTGAGATTTTATTGTCTATATTGCATATAATCACACATATGCAATAGAATATATATTTGTGATTGTGAGGGATGACAAGTGCAAGACCCACAGGACAGTCCATCAGGGTGGAAACTGAGGCAGGAGCTGAAGTTGCAGATTTGATAATTTCTTTTACTCCAGGAAACCACGTTCTTTGCTCTAAAGGCCTCAACTGATTGGGTGGGACCCACTCACATTATCCAGGGTAATATTTTGTGCTTTAAGCCATCTGATTGTGTTAATAACCTCTATGAAATACCTTTGCAGCTACCTCTGGGTTAGCATTTGATTGGGCAACTGGGGTGCAGCCTAGATAAGCTGGCATGTTTCCTTTGTCCACACAGGTTTCTTCAGTCTATGTTTTTCAAACATCCCATGTTCCAGGATTATTTATCATGCTTCCAAACAGAAAAAACTTGAAGGACAAATATAGAAGAGACATTTGACTTATAGAATTCACAGATGCATTTTGGAGCATGAAACAGTTATGCTGAAAGGAAGGAATAACAGAAACAGAAATAGGCTGGGATAGATATTAGATGTAAAAGAGAACAAGAAAGAATAAAAGTAAGAAGAGAATAAAGAAAAATTGTTTTTATTTCCTATCATTTTATCAAAAACTGTATTAGAGTGAGTATTCTATAAATAGGAGAAACATTTTTTTCATGTTAGTAATATACAAGTATTAGAGAAAAATATAAATTTGTAGAAAAGTAGAAAATTAAAAATATTTTTAGTTTCACAACCCGAATACAACTGCTTTCAATGTGCTGGCGTGCACATTTCCATAGATTTTTAACGTGGTTGTCATGCTTTATATCACATGTCTTGGGGGGTCTTCTCATGGCCATCATGGGCTGTGGCTACAGTAGGGAGAGGCAATGTGAACCCACGAAGGGTGCCAATTATGGTTTGGATTTCTGTCCCAGCCCAAATCTCACATCAAATTGTAACCCCCATGTTGGACCAGGGGCCTGGTGGGAGGTGATTGGATTATGGAGGCAGAGTTCCCCCTTGCCGTTCCTGTGATTGTGAGTGAGTTCTCATGAGATCTGGTTGTTTAAAAGTGTGTGCTACCTCCCCCTTCTCTATTCTTCCTGCTCTGGCCATGTAAGACATGCCTGCTTCCCCTTCCACCATGACTGTAAGTTTCCTGAGGCTTCCCCAGCCATGCTTCCTGTACAGCCTGCAGAACAGTGAGCCAATTAAACCTCTTTTCTTTATAACTTACCCAGTCTCAGGTAGTCCTTTATAGCAACGTGAGAATGGACTCATACAGATGCCTTGAAGATGCCACACATCTGCAGCAACAAAATATTGGTCGTATGCTTGTTCTAAAGGTAAATTATATGTCTCTTTAAAGAGCACTCAGGTAAGAATGCTTGTAGTAAGTTTCTGCTATTCCTACATATGCTCAGAGAGAGAGAGGAACAATGACCCCATACCAAATAAATATTCACCTTATAAACTTAGATAAAATTGCACCAATGGATTCCTGTAGCTTTCTTTTCTGGGCTATTTTTTTCTGGTTCATTAATTGATCTGTATTCTGTTGTTCCACTTCCTCACTTAACAAAAATACTCAAGTATTTCTTTTCTAATATGCATTTTGGCTAATCTTGCCCATCTCCTTTACTTAATTATTTCAAAATTGTCTTTGCTATATTAATCTTTTGTGCTATATGAACTTTAATGAACTTCAGTGTCTGGTTCTCAGAGACAAGAGGCAGGGTGAGCTGCCAGTCCCACAGAGGTAGTCACAGCCTCTCTCTGCCCACAGCTGCCAGTGGTCTTCCCCATCCTCACTGCAGACCAGTGACAAGTTCATTCTCAACCCCAGCCTTTTGCAAGATCGACATCCTTGCTGTGATCTAAATGTCCATATTCCCCCCGAAATCCATATGTTGAAACCTAACTCCCAATGTGCGAGTATTAAGAGGTGTGGCCTTCGCAGCTGGTTAGTTCATGAAGCCTCCACCCTCACGAATGGGATTAGCACCCTTAGAAAAGAGGCCTGGGGAGCTTGCCAGCCCTTTGCCTCTTCCACCATGTGAGGTCACCGCAGCAAGGCTCCAGCTATGAAGCAGAAAGCAGCCCTCGCCAGGCACGGCGTCTGCTGGCGTCTTGATCCTGGACTTCCAGGCTCCAGAGCTGAGAGCTGTACATTTATGCTGTTTGTAAATGATCTACTTCAGGTATCCCCTGGCATGGACTAAAGCAATCCCCTTCTTTGCAACTCTCTCTTTTTTCCTCTTCCGCAAAACCCCATCATCTCCTGCGCACTCTTACCTCCTTTAAAGCTCAGGGGAGCTGCCACCTCCTCTGTGAAGGTGAGGTGTGCACTTCCATCCCCAGTCACTGCCCTGGCTCTATTGTGCTATGAGATCCTGACATCTTCATCTCACACTAGATTCCAAACTCCTTGAGGGGGTTAGAACATGACTTGGTTCACAGTATGTGCTCAGTAAACATTCCTGAGCAAATAACTTTAGGATATAAACTTAAGCACACCCTCCCCGTCTGCTGCTGGAGCAGATGCATTAACTCTGCGTTAGGAAACAGAATTGCTGTCGTTCTCTCTCCAGCAGGGCCAGGGCATGGGGGAGGGGAGCTGGCCTCAGGCACAACATTTAAGAGGCACCAAAAATCTCAGTCACCAACATAAATAAAAATTGAAGGTAATGGTTTAATAAGTAAAATGAATACACACCAGAACAAATCCACAAAGCAAATGTCAAAAGATGTGATCAGCATGACTGATTTTTCATTTTGCCCACATGGTTTCTGCAGGACATCGTTACAGATCGTCTTTGTTCACAATCTGGATTTTTATTATTATAAATTTTTGCATAAATTTTGGTTTTTTAAAACTGCATTGAAATCTTAAGTATTTTTATGACTCATTTTTTGGAGTCCCCTTAAATGTTGCACCTTAAATGAGTGCATCACCTGCTCCATCTGTCCCAGCCCCCAATGTCACCTGCCCCCATCATCACCTGCCCCATCATCACCTGCCCCCCCATAACCTGCCCCATAATCACCTGCTCCCCTTGTCACCTGACCCCATTGTTACCTGCCCCATCATCACCTTCCCCCGTCGTCACCTGCCCCCATCGTCATCTGCCCCCTCATAACCTGCCCCATAATCACCTGCCCCCCTTGTCACCTAACCCCATTGTTACCCGCCCCATCGTCACCTGCCTCTATCATCACCTGCCCTGATCGTCACCTTCCCCCATCATCACCTGCCCCCATGGTCACCTGACCCCATCTTTCCCAGCCCTGCTATCTCAAGATACTCTGGCAGTCAATGGGACTTCTCAATCTGGCCCAGCAAGATATTCTCCACCATTTCTGATATGGGATAGAATCCATCTGGAGGGCTTCGTTTTGTTCTTGATGTTCTCCCTGGATACATTAATGCAACATTAGGATAAAGATTACACGAAGTCTGCTTCTAGTCTCATACAGCCTCAAATCCTTAACATAATATTATTTATTCATGCTACATTTGTTACATATTTGATTAGGTCACATTATTATAGAGAAGCCAAGAATCCACATTACTGTGTACTGCATAAATGCATTGATCTAAAGATGAAAGAATTGTTTTACATTTACTTCTATGTATCAACTTCACTAACATTATTCCAAAGTCTAAATAATATAATGAAATAAAGACCCCAGAGGTATAAACTAATTTATTTCGATGCTTACAAAAGTTTTTAATATACCTAAACTGTCTTGCCATATAAACATATTTCTGTGAAACGTGCTTGGTTCTTAAGTTCTGGGACTACACCTGCAGCCTTAAACAGGAGGAACAAGTGCAACTCTAAGAGCCATCCCTTGATGTTTGATATGGTTTGGCTGTGTCCCCACCCAAATCCCATCTTGAATTCCCGTGCGTTGTGGGAGGGACCTGGTGGGAGATAAGTGAATCATGGGGACAAGTCTTTCTCGTGCTGTTCTCATGATAGTGAATAAGACTCATGAGATCTGATGGTTTTACAAAGAGGAGTTCCCCTGCATAAGTTCTCCTTCTTTGCCTGCTGCCATCCGTGTAAGACGTGAGTTGGTCCTCCTTGCCTTCCACCATGATTGTGGGGCCTCCCTAGCCATGTGGATCTCTGAGTCCATTAAACCTCTTTCTTTTGTAAATTGCCGAGTCTCAGGTATGTCTCTATCAGCAGTGTGAAAATGGACTAATACAATGTTTAAGGACCCATACTAATGAAGTGGATGTTAAAGTTCTGTGAATATGATGCAAGGGCTCATTAAAAGTCTGGTCTAATAGTTTTATTTAAAAATTGTAATTAGTATAAAAATTCAGTTGAGAACGTTTTCAGCAAATATCAAGTACGTTTTTCCATAGTTCTTATGAGGAGCTCTTTCTTTAATCAAAGGTACAAGTTATGTTGGTAATGCCTAAGGTGGGCTGTGTTTTGGTTTGTCAGGCAGCTGGAGCAAGGCCACAGCAAACTCTCGAGGCAATGTAGGAATACAGAGATTTAATCCAAGATACAGATGGACCGTGGTCACTGGCTGGGCAGGAACTTCCTGCTCATTTGTGTGGCCTGGCCCACCTCGGGAGGCAGAACAGCTCGGTCTTCCAGCTGGAGTCTGGATTGTGCCCTGAGATGTCTGAGTTGCTGGGCTGGTTTACAAAAGCACTGTGCTTGAGGGACAGTCAGGCCTCAGCCAATGCAAGACACCCATTCCTTTCCCTTTTAGCCTTCTTTTATACATATGTGTGGCTCGTGCCTGAATGGAGCATTTGTATGCAGTCCAATTATAGCAGGTACCTTGCCTTGACAACTGGCTGGTCAGAGTGAAAGCTCCTTTTTAAACGTATTGCCTGGTCTTATCTAAGACAGGTGCAAAAATTAAGCTTAGTAATTATGAAGAACCAAAGAGAGGCTTGGCTTTGCCTTAGCTCCTGGGAGACAATCTCTAAACCCTTGGGATTTCCAGAGTGATGAGTGTCTCTGTTGGGCATGGTGAGGCCCTGGACCCCACCTGAGAGTTCATGCTAAGAAGGTGATTCGAAGTGGGGCTGGTCACTCCAGCCTTGAGATTTGGGCTTCAAGGCTCAGTGAGCTTTCCGGGTGGCCACACTATGCACATGGCCATGGTCAATGTCGAGAGGGTAGCAGGCCCTGAGTATGACAACACTCCCAGGGCCACACTATGCACACAGCCAAGGTCAATGCTGGTGACTAGCGAGTCCTGAGGATGACAGTGTTCCCAGGTGGCACACTATGCACATGGCCACTGTCAATGCTGGTGACTAGTGGGTCCTGAGGGTGACAACATTCCCAGGTGGTCACGCTATGCACCTGGCCACTGTCAATGCCGAGAAGGCAGCAGGTCCTGAGGATGACAGTGTTCCCGGGTGCCACACTGTACACATGGCCGTGGTCAATATCGGGAGTGCAGCGAGTCCCGAGGGTGACATCATTCCCAGGTGGCCACACTATGCACACGGCTGTGGTCAATGACGGGAGGGTAGCAGGTCCTGAGTACGACAACATTCCCAGGTGCCACACTATGCACATGGCCACGGTCAATGCTGGTGACTAGTGAGTCCTGAGGGTGACAACATTCCCAGGTACCACACTATGCACATGGCCAAGGTCAATGCTGGTGACTAGCGAGTCCTGAGGATGACAGCATTCCCAGGTGGCCACACTATGCACACGGCCACGGTCAATGCTGGTGACTAGCGAGTCCTGAGGATGACAACGTTCCCAGGTGCCACACTATGCACGTGGCCACGGTCAATGCTGGTGACTAGCGAGTCCTGAGGATGACAGCATTCCTAGGTGCCACACTATGCACATGGCTACTGTCAATGCTGGTGACTAGCGAGTCCTGAGAGTGACAACATTCCCAGGTGGCCACACTATGCACATGGCCACGGTCAATGCTAGTGACTAGAGGGTCCTGAGGATGACAACATTCCCAGGTGGCCACACTATGCACATGGCCAAGGTCAATGCTGGTGACTAGCGAGACCTGAGGATGACAGCATTCCTAAGTGGTCACGCTATGCACACGGCCACAGTCAATGCTGGTGACTAGCGAGTCCTGAGGATGACAGCATTCCCAGGTGGTCACACTATGCACATGGCCACGGTCAATGCTGGTGACTAGCGGGTCCTGAGGATGACAGCATTCCCAGGTGGTCACACTATGCACATGGCCACGGTCAATGCTGGTGACTAGCGGGTCCTGAGGATGACAGCGTTCCCAGGTGGCCACACTATGCACACGGCCAAGGTCAATGCTGGTGACTAGCGAGTCCTGAGGATGACAACGTTCCCAGGTGCCACACTATGCACGTGGCCACGGTCAATGCTGGTGACTAGCGAGTCCTGAGGATGACAGCATTCCCAGGTGGTCACACTATGCACATGGCCATGGTCAATGCTGGTGACTAGTGAGTCCTGAGGATGACAGCGTTCCCAGGTGGCCACACTATGCACATGGCCACGGTCAATGCTGGTGACTAGCGAGTGCTGAGGATGACAGCGTTCCCAGGTGCCACACTATGTACCAGCCATGGTCAACACTGGGAGGGTAGGAGGACCTGAGGCTGACAATACCTTCATGACTGCATCCCTCCCAGTGCCAGATGCCACCTTGTGCCTCCCTCCCTTCAGCCAGTCCTGATTTGTGTCAATTTGCCTTCAAACTGTAATCATCCATAGAGCACTTTCCTGAGTTCCGTAGTAGCTCTGGGGAAGTATCAAACCTCAGGGAATCTATGGGGACCACCAAATGTGTAGCCCACTAGTGTGCAGTGAGAGGGAACCTGAGGCCCCCACCCCTGTGGCTCTTTTTGGAAGTGAGGACTTCTAGACGGTGTGGGAACGATGCCCTCACCCTGTGCTTGGCTGACTCCAGGTGGTAACTGAAAGCACCGTTCACCCTCAACCCACAGAAGCATCTCTGCTAGCATGTTCACTGGGAGCTCCCTCATATATGGGTTCCATAAGTAACCTTTTAAAAACCAACCTCATTCCTTTGGGAAACTATGTTTGAGCAGGCCAAAAGGATATTGTTTTCTAAAATCATTACTGAGAATGTAAGATGATATGATTTGGCTGTGTCCCCACCCAAGTCTCATTTGAAACTGACGATTCCCATAATCCCCATGTGTCACGGGGGGAACCCAGTGGGCAGTAATTTAATCATGGGGGCGGTTACCTCCATGCTGTTCTCCTGATAGTGAGTTCTCACGAGATCTGATGGTTTATAAGGGGCTTGTCCCCCTTTCACTCTGCACTTCTTGCTGTCGCCATGGGAGGAAGGATGTGTTTGCTTCCCCTTCTGCCATGATTGTAAGTTTCCTGAGGCTTCCCCAGCCCTGCTGAACTGTGAGTCAATTAAACCTGCTTCCTTTATAAATCACCAAGTGTTGGGCAGATCTTTATCAGCAGTATGAGAACAGACTAATACATAAGGTGCTGTGAGTTGAATAATGTGTATTAAAATTTGACTTTTACTGTTTAATCACGCCATCATAAGATGCTTATGGTTCTATTGGCATAATACATCCATGTCTTAACATTTAAAATTTAGGTTGCATGTTAGAATTACGTTAGAATCTACCTGAGTCCTGAAAACGTATCTGTAACTTCACAAGCCCCCCATTTCAATTATGAAATGCACAGTTCTGTTTGTTTTCTGTGGACATTTCTGCAACTTGCATGTAAAAGCTAGTCTCTCCAGTGTATATGATCATCTCATCTCTAGGAAAATGTGGACGCATCACTATAGGAAGTACAACATTTTGATTTTGAGGCTATTCTCTGGAGTAAACACCCAGAGGTCCACCCGGGGTGTTGGCACAGAATCTCAGTGTTGCAACAGGCCTTGATTTGTTGTCCCAACTGACATCGATTCCATTGTTGAGACCCATCAATTTCATTTACTAAGTGTTTAGAGCACTTTTAGTTAACGAGGATGCACCTGAGCCTCCAGAGCTGGCTTGACTCTTCCTCCATTTGATTTGCAACCGCTGTTCCACTGGTCCACCTCCAGCTACACAATCCAAGTTTGAACCTCAGTGAAGTTGCTTTGGTTTTGGGGGCTTACCATTTTCTCAGATCAATTCATTGCTAATTGACTTTGATTTCTGTGTAAGAGTCAGTTTCAATCTCACACCTGTCAGGTGTGTCGGACAGTTTATGGCAATGTCCAAGCCCAAATGGGACACCCATTGTTTCGACTGCACCACCCTTCCCTCAGCTGAGCAACATTCTCTTCATGCACTTATCGCTAAGCTGCGAAATTTGTGATTTTGAAAAACACCAGTAACATGAAAAAATGTGCATGCATTAAGTACAAAGAGGGAAATAAATGTACTAGTAGTGCGGGATTATCATTACATAAACACATCAAAACTCTGTGCTCAGGAACGATTAGAGGGATACACAGTGAGATGTTCACAGTGAGTATGTTTTGGCGGCAGGCCTGGTATGCTTTTCTACTTTCCTGGATCCTTAAATCTCCCTAAAAAGAGTATTTTGTAATAGAAATGTTTTAAAAGAGAAAAACAAAACAAAAACGATGCTGGCTGTTGGTGGAGTAGTGCTGCCCTCACATGAAAGAATTGTTTCTCCTTGAATGAGTCCAGTTCAGCTCACAGGAGGGTGGACCTAGCAGCCCCTGTGTCCTGTCACCCCCGAGTCCCTGGCCGTCCCCCATCCCCTGAGCAGCACTGACTGTGGACCCTCAGGCTCCTGCTGCCCTTTGACTTCTTCCTGCCTTTATCCCAGCCTGTTCCCATCACCACCTCCCCGTTCCTTGCCCCCAGCTGCGTCCCTCTCCCTCTCAGGGAAGGCTCTGGAAACACGAACGCTGCTTTCCAGGCAAAATGAGAGTGGGCAAGGCTCAGGTCTGTGAGTGTGGAGGGACCGTGCAGAGAGGTTCCAAGGGGTGCTTGCTCTCCCTTCCGCAGGCCTCCTGCTAGCTCACATGGCTGGGAAGCATCTCCAGACGGGGATCCTTCCTCTCCAGAAGTCTCCCTAGAGGAGAGACCAGCAGGTGGTCAGCGTAGACGCTGCCCCTGCATACCTTCTATAATAGCATTTAGAATTTTAGGTAGCAGCTTAATTTGGAAATCTGAATCATAAGTTCTAATACACAAAGTCTCTCCAATCAAATCAATTAAAATTTTCTTTTAAGGTAATATTTATTATTAAACTGCAGCATTTAGCAAAATTCAAGCGTGTTTGTATTTTTTAAATGATTCTTTCTCCAACTAGAATTATAGGAAAATGAAAGGCCAGCCACACAGAAACAACGTGTTGATGTTCAAAGGCCTTGAGATCGTTTTCGTGCGTTTTCACCAGGACCCCTAAGTGTCAGAGATGGAGGGTGGCGTCCAATGCACAAAGACTCTGCCACCTCCCAGGTGAGAGCTCGAGTCTCCTGAGTCCCTGCTGGGCACTGCTACAGGGAGTGAAATCATTGGCTCTTTAAAATTGTTCTCCATCTGCAACTCTCCTGTCCTCCTTCCCAAAACAAGCCTGCACTGGTGCCCCCAGCTCTGCCCGCCCTCCAGTTTGAGCTCCGCTCTCTTCCCTGGACTCCTCCTCACTGCCTGTGGTGTGCACAGGTCCATCCAGAGCTCTTCAGTCACACATTCTTGGACCCTGCAATTGCTACCATATTATTCCTGTGTGTGTGTGTGTGTGTGTGTGTGTGTGTGTGTGTGTATGTGTGTGTGTGTGATTTACTACCAAAATTCTCCACTATTCTCTCTCGTCGCTGTTACTTGAACTCCTACTAAGCCTTCTCAGCTTGCTTTCCTTCTCATAACTTTTTAAAAACTGCTTTGTTAAAATCACTTCTGAGCGTCAGGTCTGAGTTTTCTTAGCTCACGTGGGCCGTCTGCACTATCTGATGAACTCCTGTGTCCTCGCCTAGCCAGGCCTATAGGGTCCTCCTTTCTCTTTCCAGCATGGCTTCCGCGCCCTGCTGCCCCTCTCACCTACACGCTCTGTGCGGACCTCACCTCCTCCATGTCCACACCCGCCCCCAGTGATCTCAGCAACGCTGCATGTCCGGGATGTTTCCGGCCGTCACAAAACACAATTCAGGCCTAATGACCAGTTACCAAGTGCCAAGCAGTGTGCTCAGCCCCTCCCATGCGTCCTCCTGCTGAATTCTCCCACAACACCAGGAGGTGGGGCTGTTTTCAACCCCATTCGACAGATCGGGAAACTGAGGCTCCCATCAGGAAGGGAAATTGTGCGATCAACGCACAGCAGCACGAGCACTCCACCCGGGTTAACCAGAGTCCGGAGTCAGAGAAATAATTTGGTGTTTCAGGGTCGCCTGCTGCAGGGCAATCTCCACACCTGACTGCGGGGTCACCTGCTGCTGGGCAATCTCCACACCTGACTGCGGGGTCGCCTGCTGCAGGGCAATCTCCACACCTGACTGCGGGGTCGCCTGCTGCAGGGCAATCTCCACACCTGACTGCGGGGGCTTCCCAGACCTCCGCCCACTGTGCCCTCCGCCCACCGTGCCCTCTGCCCACTGTGCCCTCGGGCTTGTGTCTTCATCTATTCATGCACACAGCACTCATCCCCCATGAAAAGTTCCTTTCTCCTTTTCTTTCCTCAGAAATATTATTCTCTCTTTTCTGCTTCTTAAAATTGTGTATATCTTTCCAAATCTAGTTAAATACTGCCTTTGTAAAAATTCTCTGAATCGTGACATTAAAAAAAATGGTTTCTCCCCTGAATTCCAGTTCTATTCTGCACCACTTGTAGCAATGCTCTCATTTTATTAAATAGGTATTGTTGTTGTTTCTCATCTCCCTTACCCTACCTTAACTTTCTGAAGGCAGGACCTGTCTGCCACATTTCTCGAATTCCCTGTAGCGTCGAGCAGACAGTGAGAACTCAATATTCTGTAAATGAATGACTCAAGACAATGGAAGTCAGAACTCTCCACTCTTCTCTAAGACCCTCTCTTCTCTTGGAGAATCATATATAATTTAGTTTTATTATCTTTTAAAGAGCATAAAATAAACTTACACATAGATATAAAGTAAACTAACCACACACACAGAATAATTATGAAGTCAATAAAACATCCTGCAATCTTAAGAACACATGTCAATAACCTTGCCGAGAGAGAAGCCAGCACTTTGCATGGAGCACCATTCGAAGAGGCAGTTAATATGCCAGGCAAATTTGAGCAGGTTGGTAATGCGATTTAGCTGTCTTAACTGTGTTGAGTGATTACCTCCACTGATCAAGGAGTAGAACGGCGAGGAAAACACAATTACGACTCTCACATTCGAATTCCCTGCATCCTCTGTGACGATGGGGCGTTTCTGCCTGCATTCTCTCCGGCTCCAGATCATCCAGTGTGACAGAGTCTTAATCCGTGGTTCTGCCCATCAGCACATTCAACGGACTTAGGATTTCTCACCACGTGCCCTTATTTTGGAAAACTGTTCATTTCAAGACCACAGGCAAAGGGGATACTAAGAATAATCGCAGAATTAACATCGGCAAGGTATGATCAGGATGAGGACGTGAGAAACGCAGGGCTAAGAGTTGGGAGTCCTGGGATGAACTTCCCACCTCAAAGCCCAGCACGAGGGTCCCTGGACGCTGTCGGCCCCGGACGTGGGTCCCCGAGACTCGACTGCAGCTCAGAGTGGCCACATCTGCCCTGCCAGGCTGCCGCGGAGACAACACGGAGGAGCACCTGTGAGAACACCTGCTACACCAAGCTCAGGGACTCGTGCGTCTCCCCGTCCGGCACTCCTTCTCCTTGTATTTGAATCTTTTGATCTCTTTTTGGCAAAGGCCAATCATTTAAACTTTCTGATTTTCAGTTTCTTTGTATGGAAACGACAGTAATTTCATTGATTATATATGTACCATAAAACAATTTTACTAATTTTTAGTAAATAACTAGTTTACTAACCATCAAGAGCTGCACAGACACCGTTTGCTCTCTGCGGCCCTCAGCTACATCCTCTTTGTCTTTCTCTAAAATCCTGCCTGGGTGTATCCTTGTTTGTATGAATATGAAATAATACATGAATTTTGATTTGTACTCACTAAATCTTGGAAACAATACATCTCATTAGATTAGTATATGCACCAAATACTAAATACAGATGCACACTCCCTCAAAACGTTTGACTATAACTACATGATATGAGAATACTCCATCTTTAAGTAAAGAGAAAAACTGAGTCACTTATCTGTATAGTTCACGTTCCTGATACAAGAATTAGGGTTGTGAAAATGAAAAAAACTAAAAAATTTTAAAAATGGCAAAACTAAAAACAAAACTGCAACCGGCCTCCCCACTAAACCCTCTACCACTGTATTTTCATACAATCCTCAAACCTTCCATGTTGAAATAGAATTTTTTTTTTTTTTTGAGATGGAATTACACCATTGTCGCCGAGGCTGGAGTGCAATGGCACAATCTCAACTCACTGCAACCTCCACCTCCCGGGTTCAAGCAATTCTCCTGTCTCAGCCTCCCAAAGAGCTGAGATTACAGGTGCTCGCCACCAAGCACAGCTAACTTTTTGTGTTTTTAGTAGAGACGGGGTTTCACCATGTTGGCCAGGCTGGTCTCAAACTCTGACCTCAGGTGATCCGCCCACCTCAGCCTCCCAAATTGCTGGGATTACAGGCATGAGCCACTGCGCCTGGCCCAGAATATTTTTAAGATGGTTAAATGATCTGATTAAATCATTGAGAAGGTTGCTTCTCTGTCTTCTTACATCTCCTAAAGATATT
Organism: Homo sapiens; assembly: GCF_000001405.40. Classification (NCBI taxonomy): domain Eukaryota; kingdom Metazoa; phylum Chordata; class Mammalia; order Primates; family Hominidae; genus Homo; species Homo sapiens. The sequence continues at coordinate 78,481,971 of NC_000018.10, forward strand.
TGAAACTAAGTAGATTAATTTTAACTTCGATAATAATTTATTTTTCGCAACTATGTACAAAAAAACTGTCATTTAAAAATACTCTCCATCTGGGAGGCTGCGGCTGGAGGGTCACTTGAGTCCTGCCACCTCGGGGCTCCCCATTCTCCATAGCTTCCAGTTACTCACGTGACCTTTCCAAGATTTGACTCTTATTTTGGAAGACCATCACGAACATTACATTATGTTAAAGGTAAAATTACAAGCAAGCCATTTTAAGAAAAGATTTCTGTATTTGAGGTTTTTTTTTTTTGTTTTTTTATATTATTATACTTTAAGTTTTAGGGTACATGTGTACAACGTGCAGGTTAGTTATATATGTATACATGTGCCATGTTGGTGTGTTGCATTTGAGGTTTTAACTCAGGTGCTGATGCTGATTCTGTCATCAGAATGGTGCCATGGCCAGAGCCACATAGTGTCCCCAGAGAAGTGGGGACTCTGCAGGTGGCAGGCAGGCCATCAGAGGGACCTGCCATCAGAGAGCACGCCACACTGGGACTCAGCTGCTCAGGGGTGCCTTTCTGTCCTCTCAGACAGAACACGTGTGCCGCCCAGCTGTGGGAGCTACAGGACAGTGGCAGGCAGAGAGAACGCTGATCCTGGCCTCGGTTCCTGACCACTGTGATCCATCAAACACTCAGAATCATGTCTTTCAGGAGATAGAAGAGTGGCAGTGTGGATTGCGACAGCCTGGGAAATACATTCCAAAGAAGAATCTCAGAATCGTGACCACTTCAAAAGTTCCCAAATACAATCCTTACTCTCCCAGAATATCAGTTGAGTGAATACTGGGCTTTACATTCAGGCAGTTATCAAACAACGTTTGCCTATGGTGGGCAGTTATCAAACAACGTTGGCTCATGGAAGGTAAAGATTGCTTCCTAGAAGAATGTGAAGTCATCCTTCCTCTTAACCTTTTTGCCTTTACTCTCTTCACCCGATTCTCAGTTGGTTTTTGACTCACTTAGAATAATATGGAATTCTCTAAATGAACAGAAGCACCTTAAAAACATATAATTATGTTTCCGTAATGAGAAACTTTGTCAGTCTGAGCAAAGGGGTGCAATAGTGGGAGGACATTAAAATTGGTGAAAAATAAACTAAATGAAGGCAAATCCATAGCTTCCCAAAAGGGCAGACCCTGCCTGGTGGTGTTATTGTACATGAGAATCCAAAGAAAATCACTGCCGGTGTCAGGACTCAAACTGACTTTGCTTCCCAGACCCTCAAGTCCTGACTTACCTGTAACAAACATTGTGATGAAAGCTCCTACTAAGATACTTTGAATTATTTTAACGTTTTCATTAACAAAAATTACATTGCCAGGAACAAGCATTTTGAACGTACCTCTGATGGGTGCTTTAGTGTGATTTGCTAGAAGTGGAATATTTTGGCATCATAAACTTGAGTGGTTCAATAGGTTCAACAGGATCACATTAACCACATGTGGCTATTCAAATATAAATGAATCGAATTTCAGTAATATCACAGTCAGTTCCTCGGGCACTCGGACCACGTTTCAGAGTCCACATGACAGGGCTGCTATGGACTCTGTGAAGGTTTTATGCCTGCTGTCCTACAGCAAGGATTTCAACCAGGATGATTTTGTCCCCACGGACATATGGCGATGTCTACAGGCATTTTTGGTTGTCACAACTGGGACAGGGGGTGCTACTGGCATCTGGTGGGTGGGACCAGGGGGGCTGCTCCACATCCTGCAGAGCATAAGACAGTCCCAACTACAAGAAATCATCCAGCCCCAAACTGCAACAGCGCTAAAGCTGCAAAATCCTGCCCTACAGAAGCTTCTGGATTGCCTCCCTCAAGGTCTAAAACCTTGTGTCAATATTTACCATTAAGGATGACTCTGGCTAAAAAATTATTCCTTCTATTCCTGGTATCCTTTCAGTACTACATATCTTTCTATTCTAAGTTTACTATGAATCATTAATAATAATGAATGTTGAGTTTTGTTAACTTCTATCAAGATAATACCAGGATTTTTTAGTCTAAACTTCTAATGTAAAAATCACATTAATTGATTTCTCCTTCTTGAACAACCATTATATTTCTGAAATAAAAATAGGCAATAGTATATTTTTACTTAATATACTACTGACAAGTCTTGAGTACTTCCCTGGCCTTACGAAGCTGCCGCTGTCTTTGGTGAGCACACACTCATCAGTATTCAAATGGAAAGTCGCAAAAGGGCAAATCAGTCACCATTTTAAATGGAAGATTTGCTTTATTTCAGCCTAATTTGGTTTCCTTTCTGTTGTGTCCTGATGTACTTCTTTGCATTCTTTTCTCTATTCTCTCCACTGCAATTTTTATTCCTTTTTGCCTCATATTAGTCTCACGTTATTGATTTCTTTTTCTTTGAACTCCTGTACCACTTATAGCTTTTCCCACTCAGAGAATCACTGAAGAGGAAGGAACACATAATCCAAACCCTTCATATCACAAACAAGGAAACTAAGGTTCAGAGCAGCTTGGTTATTTGCTCAAGATCTCAAAAGCAGTCTGTACCCCTCAGGCCTCTGACAGTTTGCTTCCATAATCTGCAGTTTCATGTTGGTCCTTAATCCTATATTGTTTGTATTGTTGTATGATGTTCAAAGATAACATTAACAGTCACACCGGTATGAAATTTTATACTTTACAGATGGTGCATGTAGATAGATGCAGATGACTTAAAAATAATCTAATTCTGTGAAGAAAGCAGGCTGATATTTTAAAAATGAAGAAAAAGAAGTTGTAATGGGCTAAATAATGTGTCCAGAGTCAAGCAGCTCTATGTAAGAAAGGGGCTGTCCCACTAAGGAGTCCTACATTCCAACCCTCATTTGCAGAGTCTCAGTGTGGCAGGAAGGCAGCGGTGGAGGAGTCCACACTCTGTGCCTGCAGCCTCCTCCTGATGGGTGTCCAAGTCTATACTCTGCGCCTGCAGACTCCTCCTGATGGGTGGCCAAGTCCACACTCTACCTGCAACCTCCTCCTGATGGGTGGCCAAGTCCACGCACTCCACCTGCAGCCTCCTCCTGATGGGTGGCCAAGTCCATGCTCTGCCTGCAGCCTCCTCCTGATGGGTGGCCAAGTCCACACTCTGCCTGCAGCCTCCTCCTGTTGGGTGGCCAAGTCCGCGCACTCCACCTGCAGCCTCCTCCTGATGGGTGGCCAAGTCCACACTCTGCCTGCAGCCTCCTACTGATGGGTGTCCAAGTCTACACTCTGCACCTGCAGAGTCCTCCTGATGGGTGGCCAAGTCTACACTCTGCGCCTGCAGACTCCTCCTGATGGGTGGCCAAGTCTACACTCTACCTGCAGCCTCCTCCTGATGGGTGGCCAAGTCCACGCACTCCACCTGCAGCCTCCTCCTGATGGGTGGCCAAGTCCATGCTCTGCCTGCAGCCTCCTCCTGATGGGTGGCCAAGTCCACACTCTGCCTGCAGCCTCCTCCTGATGGGTGGCCAAGTCCACACTCTGCCTGCAGCCTCCTCCTGATGAGTGGCCAAGTCCACGCACTCCACCTGCAGCCTCCTCCTGATGGGTGGCCAAGTCCATGCTCTGCCTGCAGCCTCCTCCTGATGGGTGGCCAAGTCCACACTCTGCCTGCAGCCTCCTCCTGATGGGTGGCCAAGTCCACACTCTGCGCCTGCAGCCTCCTCCTGATGGGTGGCCAAGTCCACACTCTATCTGCAGCCTCCTCCTGATGGGTGGCCAAGTCTACACTCTGTGCCTGCAGATTCCTCCTGATGGGTGGCCAAGTCCACACTCTACCTGCAGCCTCCTCCTGATGGGTGGCCAAGTCCACACACTCCACCTGCAGCCTCCTCCTGATGGGTGGCCAAATCCACACTCTGCCTGCAGCCTCCTCCTGATGGGTGGCCAAGTCCACACTCTGCGCCTGCAGCCTCCTCCTGATGGGTGGCCAAGTCCACACTCTATCTGCAGCCTCCTCCTGATGGGTGGCCAAGTCTACACTCTGTGCCTGCAGATTCCTCCTGATGGGTGGCCAAGTCCACACTCTACCTGCAGCCTCCTCCTGATGGGTGGCCAAGTCCACACACTCCACCTGCAGCCTCCTCCTGATGGGTGGCCAAGTCCACGCTCTACCTGCAGCCTCCTCCTGATGGGTGGCCAAGTCCACGCACTCCACCTGCAGCCTCCTCCTGATGGGTGGCCAAGTCCACACTCTGCGCCTGCAGCCTCCTCCTGATGGGTGGCCAAGTCCACACTCTATCTGCAGCCTCCTCCTGATGGGTGGCCAAGTCTACACTCTGTGCCTGCAGATTCCTCCTGATGGGTGGCCAAGTCCACACTCTACCTGCAGCCTCCTCCTGATGGGTGGCCAAGTCCACACACTCCACCTGCAGCCTCCTCCTGATGGGTGGCCAAGTCCACGCTCTACCTGCAGCCTCCTCCTGATGGGTGGCCAAGTCCACGCACTCCACCTGCAGCCTCCTCCTGATGGGTGGCCAAGTCCATGCTCTGCCTGCAGCCTCCTACTGATGGGTGGCCGGCGGCCAAGTCCACACTTCGCCTGCAGCCTCCTCCTGATGGGTGGCCAAGTCCACACTCTGCACCTGCAGCCTCCTCCTGATGGGTGGCCAAGTCCACACTCTGCACCTGCAGCCTCCTCCTGATGGATGACCAACAGGAGCAAGGGGCAAGGCAATGAAAAGATGCATCAGCAAGACTCCCAGAGCCATAGAGCTGACATTCCACTGTGATTTTTAAAGAAAATCTAGGTCGTTAGATTTCCCCATCCTCTTCTTCATCAGCATGTACTGTATTTCTCTATTTTGGTGATTTTTTTTAAGTTCTGTTATTGAAAATACTCTAATGTACAGTGACCAAATCACTTTTCAGCAACAACTGCATTATTATGAAAAACTAGTGTTACCAACAGGATACTTTATTGAGTGATGATAGGAAAACCCCAACTTCTTCAGTTTTTATGGATGACAAGGATTCACTGCCAATGCCTAACACCCGTCTTCCTTGTCATATGGGAGAACATTAATGAGGGAGGCCCAGGATGGTGGGGAGAAAAATACATCAGATCACAGAAGTCTCGGTTTACTGGGGTGGGAACAGGTGTCACATGCTTCAAAACCAATGCTTCTTCCTCCAGCTACCAATGAGGTGATGTGGAGAAGGTTGTATCCTTGGCCCCAGATGGCTAAAATAATTGATGAAATAGAAATATATGTATTTTCTTGTTTCTTGATATTTTTCATTGTCTTTGGGTAAAATGATGGCTTTTCCAACATGCTTTCTCAGTACAGTTAACTCACTAGGATCTTGAAATGTCTTGTGCCTATGTGACAGTGGACAACTGGAAGTGAAATTATGCAATTTGTCCATTTAGTTCAGAAGCCCAAAATACATAATTCTCAGGATCTCTTGCACATTTTCTTCCTACATGGCCCCAGGCACTCCAGCCTGTCTCCCTACCTCATGTCTCTAATCAGCCCTGGGAGAAAATGACAAACAAAGCAAGGGATGACAAAGCTCTCTGCAAACATTACAATTCCTCAGTGGACAGACAAGCAGGAGCACGGTCTGGCCCAGGAACCTCTCCCCAGCTGAATTCTGACTCCTACAATACTTGATTACACCAAAGCTCCCTGAGTGGAAAGCTCTTCTCTCCAGCTGAATTCTGACCCCTTACAATACTCGATTACACCAAAGCTCCCTGAGCAGAAAGCTCTTCCTATTCAGGCTTGCCAGAGACCCACCTAGATTATGCACACCCACAGTCTTCAGGGTCAACACTTTAAACAGTGCAGAGTCCCTCCGATTCCACGCCCACACCTGGATGAAGCTCAACACGCCCAATGCCAGTTTCTGCTCCACCCTTTTCCTAAGCCTGTCTTCTCAAGGGTCAGTAACAACCTCCTCTGGCTGAAGCCCGTGACCTTACTGAGGGCTGCGACTCTTACCTTTGGCCTCTCCTCCTGGCCCCCCTCTCCCCAGCACTCTCCTCTTGTTCTTCCTTCCCCTTCAACCTTGAGATCTCCCCTCTTCTGACCCTGTACTCTCCCATCTGAGTGACCTTGTTCCCTCTCCTGAGCAATTATTGCCTGCCAATCTGGAAACCCCCATCATTCTCCTGCTCTGGAGATCTTCAACCAACTCCCTGCGTGCCCTGGGGAAGTCCAGAGCCCACTAAGTAGCCCACCCTAACCCCAGCTTCCTTCCTCCTGCCCCTGCAAATCAATACTGCTCCTCCTCCTGGGGCGGCCTCTCCACTCCCCTCGGCCCCAGTCACCCAGGCCTTCCCTGCTACTCCTCAACACTGCAACTCCCAGGCACCTCAGCCATCCCAGGTCCTATAATATCTCGTCTAAACTGCCCTCAGCTGCTTCACAGAACACCTCAATGCCTTCCTAGTTGACATCACTGCATTGATTTTTCTCAGATACAGAAATGAGAGACATATTTCTAAAGTGCATCACTCATCACATTGTCTCCTCTGCAATATCCTCAATGATTGTTTCTATTGCTCTCAGTTAAACCTCAAGCTCCTCAATATAGTTTCAGGATTTTTCACAAAATCGACTCTGCTCACTTGAGTCACCCCAACCCTCACAAGGGTGAACACCTTAAATTGCTGTGTTCTGTGTCACTAAGGACTTTTTGTCAATGTCACTTCCTAGAAGGCCTGGTCTACCATCTTTACCCTGCAGCTCACTTCATCTTTTGGTATATGCTGCTTTCAAAAAACCCACTTCAAATTCTGCAACACACGTCGGTTACAAGTAAAAGGTTGAGAATAGGAATATTGTGCAAACGTTAAAAACAACCAAAAAGGAGGAGTGGCTACATTAATATAAAACAAACTTTAGAACAGAGAAAATATTTGATACAAAGAATGGCATTACCTAATTATAAAAACGAGTGGCTATGTTAAGATAAAATAAACTTCAGAGCAGAGAAAATCTTTAATATGAAGAATGACATTACCTAATTATAAAAAGATCCAGAATCGTTTTTACTGGCTAATAAAGACATAACAATCTTAAATGTATCCACAACAAAAAATACAGCTTCATCATACATGAAGCAAAAATTTAAACCTAAAATGATAAAGAGACAAATCCACAGTTATCCTTGCGGACTCTAACACTCCCTGCCCTCCCTAAGGAGAGCTACCAGATATGAAGTCAGCAGCGACCCAGAAGCTGAGCAATGCAATTCCCCGACAAGGATCTGATGGCAGCTGTGACACGACCAACAGCAGCAGCAGAAGCGTCGCATACACGTGTTTTCCAAGCACCCCTGGAAGAGTCACCAAGACTGACCATCTTCTGTGCCACAATCAAACCTCAACCAGTCAGAAGGAATTGATATTATACAAGCATCCCTGACCGCAATACAACCAAATTATAAATCACAAATAGAAACACATCAGGAAAATCTCAAATATCTGGAAATTAAGAATGAAATTCTTGATAAGCCACAGATATAAGACAAAGTCTCAAAGCAAATACAAATATATAAAACTGAAAGAAAATGAAAAAATATATCAAAATATACAGAACGCAGCTAAAGCCACGCTGAGAGGAAAATTTACAACATTAAAATGCTTACACTGAAGTGGAGGAAAAAGTAGGGCAGTTCTCAAATTATTAATTTCTGCCCCAAGAACGTTGGAAAAAATAAATTTTAAGTAAGCAGAAGTAAGGAAATTATACAGATAAGAGCAGAAACCAATAAAACTGAGAAGAAGAAAACAATAGAGAAGTGATCAACCAAAAACTGATGATTTGAAAAAAAGTCAGTAAAATTCATAAGCCTCCAACAAGGCAAGCACAACACAAAGGAGAAGACTTGAATCCCTAGTGTCAGGAATGAAACAAAGGATATCATTACAAATCCCAGACACAGTAAAAGGATAATGAGAGAAAATTATCAACAGGTTTAGATTCATGAATTCAACAACTTCAAAGAAAATGACTAATGCTTTAAAAACCACAAGGTGTCAAACTCAATCAAGGCAAAATAAATTATCTGAATAATCTGATAATCATTATAGAAGTTGAATTTATAATTTAAAACCTCCTGCTGGGCTCGGTGGCTCATGCCTGTAATCCCAGCACTTCAGGAAGCCGAGGTGGGTGCATCACGAGGTCAGGAGATCAAGACCATCCTGGCCAACATCGTGAAACCCAGTCTCTAGTAAAAATACAAAAATTAGCTGAGCATGGTGACACATGCCTGTATTCCCACCTACTTGGGAGGCTGAGGCAGGGGAATCACTTGAACCAGGGAGTCAGAGGTTGCAGTGAGCCGAGATCACGCCACTGCACTCCAGCCTGGCAACAGAATGAGACTCCATCTCAAAAAACAAAAACAAAAACAAACAAAGAAACAAAAACTCCCCACAAAGAAATCTCCAGGCATACATGGTTTTACAGGAGAATACTACCAAACACTTGAAAGAAGAACTGCCAGGTTTACACATGGCTTCTAGAAATTCCAAGTGAAGGGGGTACTTCCCAGCACATTTTATGCATCTACTATTGCCCTGCTACCAACACTAGATAAAGCAGCACAAAAAAGAAAACTACAAACACTTATCACTCATGAACTTACGCAAAATCCTCAACAAATATTATCACATTATATAAGAAAATGTGGCACATATACACCATAGACTGCTATGCAGCCATAAAAAGGATGAGTTCATGTCCTTTGCAGGGATATGGATGAAGCTGGAGTCCATCATTCTCAGCAAACTATCACAAGGACAGAAAACCAAACACTGCATGTTCTCACTCATAGGTGGGAATTGAACAATGAGATCACTTGGACACAGGATGGGGAACATCACACACCAGGGCCTGTCGACGGGCAGGTGCTAGGTGAGGGATAGCTTTAGGAGAAATACCTAATGTGAATGATGAGTTGACAGATGCAGCAAACCAACATGGCACATGTATACCTATGTATCAAACCTGCACGTTGTGCACAGGTACCCTAGAAGTTAAAAAAAACTATCAAAACTCAACATAAAAAAGAAAACAATCCATTTAGAAAATGGGCAAGAGACATGAACAGACATTTCATTAAAGAACATATACAGATGAGGTCAAGCACATGGAAAGATTTTCTGCATTATAATCCATTAGGGAAATGCAAACTAAAACCAAATGAAACATCACTACACAGACATCACAATGTCAAAAACAAAAATATCTCAACAACCTCTGTTGCAAATTCAGAGAATCTATATCCTTCATACACTGTTGGTGGGAATGGAAAATGTTCAGTGACTCTGGAAAAGTTTTGCAATTTCTTACACAACTAAATATGAAGCTACCATACTGCCCAGTAATGGTACATTGGGCATTTGACCCAGAGAAATGGAAATGTATGCTCACACAAAAATCTGCATGCATGTAGAAACAGCACAGTCAAAACCTAGAAGCAGCCCAGCCATTCTTCAGCAGGAGAATGGATAAACGACTGGGCGTGGGTGGGATACTACTCAGCAATGAAAAGGAACACACATGTAATGACTTGTGTGACTCTCCAGGGAGTTATGCTGAAAGAAAATGGTTTTACAGTGTATAGCCCCAAGGTTAGACCATGCATGATTTCACTCACAGGACATTCTTGAAACGATAAGCTAGAGAAATACGTTGCAGAATGACGGGTGCTGGAGCTTGAGTTTGGGCAGGTGGGCTGGCTGTGAAGGGCTGCAGGAGGGACTTGTTTGGAGGGAGCTCTGTGTCTGGATGTGTCCCTGTCACTGTCCCCAGGGTGAAGATGTTCCACGGTTTTGAGGAGGCTGCCATGGGGAAAATTGGGTAAAGGGTGCAAGGGTGCCCCTGTATTTTTTCTTACAACTGCAGGTGAATCTGCAATTATCTCAAAATTAAAAATTTAATTTAAAAAATTCTAGTGAAAGACTGGACATTGGGTCAATTCATTGAAGATTAATTGGCTGTAAATCAATTTGGGAATTAGCCATTCATTGATAAAGCAACCACAGATTTAGAGGCATCTCCGAAAGCAAACTGGCAGGAGAACTTCTGCTGAGGCCCAGTTCAACACGCAGTATCCTCAGGCGGTTTGGCCACACAGAATGCCCGGAACGCCCAGAATGCCTGGAATGCCCAGAATACCCAGAATGCCCGAAATTCCCGGAACACCCGGAATACCCAGAAAGCCCAGAATTTCTGGAACATCCAGAATTCCCAGAACATCCAGCATGCCTGGAACGTGTGGAATACCCAGAATGCCCAGAATTCCCAGAACACCCAGAATTCCCGGTCCACCCAGCATGCCTGGAATACCCAGAACGCCTGGAATGCGTGGAATACCCAGAATGCCTGGAACACCCAGAACGCCTGGAACACCCAGAACGCCTGGAATGCGTGGAATACCCAGAATGCCCAAAATTCCCAGAACACCCAGCATGCCTGGCACACCCAGAATGCCCAGAACTCCCAGAATGCCTGGAACACCTGGAATACCCAGAATGCCCAGAATTCCCAGAACACCCAGAACTCCCGGTACACCCAGCATGCCTGGCACACCCAGAATGTCCAGAATCCCCAGAACACCTGGAAAGCCCACCCAGAATACCCAGAATTCCCGAACACCCAGCACGCCTGGCACACCCAGAATGCCCAGCACCTGGACCATGGCTGAACCGCCAAGGACAACTGGCATTCCAGACAAAATTGAAAATTCCTAGTCTAAGTGTGTCACCCATGGCAAAGATCCTAGATAATAATAATATTTAAAGTACAGATTAGCTGTTCTCTTCCGGGGCATTCAGTCTGATTTTCTTATTAATTCAAGAACACATTTTTCTGGAGGAAGAAGGAAACGTGTGCATAGAGAGGGGCATGGGGAGGCTCCCTTGGAAGCGGGAGCTCCACGCCACCTGCGCCGCCACCCCCTTGTCCATCTGACGCCCCCACGCCTGGGGCAGCTGCAGGCGTTGCCCTGCTCGGGCCTCACCCCAAGGGGGCCACTGCACTGGGGAAGGCCCAGAACCCACATCCTGCACAGCAAGGGGGACTGTGGCTGAGGAGGGCACGGGGTGGCAGCCCTAAGCCCAAGGTTCCGGAGACGCCACTCTGTAAGCACCTCACATGTGCCAGAGTCACTGTCATGTACATCAGGGTCACCCTCATGTCAACATCATCCTCACACGTGTCACCAGTAGCATCACATGTGTCGCCATCACCCACATGTGCATCTTCCTCCCCCACACGTGTGTCACCATCCCCCTCAGTCAGTCACATCCCCCTCAGTGTGTCACCATCCCCCTCGGTGTGTCACATCCCCCTCAGTGTGTGACCATCCCCTTCATTGTGTCACCATCCCCCTCAGTGAGTCACATCCCCCTCAGTGTGCCACCATCCCCCTCGGTGTGTCACATCCCCCTCAGTGTGTGACCATCCCCTTCATTGTGCCACCATCCCCCTCAGTGAGTCACCATCCCCTTCATTGTGTCACCGTCCCCCTCAGTGTGTCACCATCCCCCTCAGTGAGTCACCATCCCCCTCAGTGTGTCACCGTCGCCCTCAGTGAGTCACCATCCCCCTCAGTGTGTCACCTTCCCCCTCAGTGAGTCACCATCCCCCTCAGTGTGTCACCATCCCCCTCAGTGAGTCACCATCCCCCTCAGTGTGTCACCATCGCCCTCAGTGAGTCACCATCCCCCTCAGTGTGTCACCTTCCCCCTCAGTGAGTCACCATCCCCCTCAGTGTGTCACCATCCCCTTCATTGTGTCACCACCCCCCTCAGTGAGTCACATCCCCCTCAGTGTGTCACCATCCCCCTCGGTGTGTCACATCCCCCTCAGTGTGTCACCATCCCCTTCATTGTGTCACCATCCCCCTCAGTGAGTCACATCCCCCTCAGTGTGTCACCATCCCCCTCGGTGTGTCACATCCCCCTCAGTGTGTGACCATCCCCTTCATTGTGCCACCATCCCCCTCAGTGAGTAACCATCCCCCATTGTGTCACCATCCCCCTCAGTGTGTCACCATCCCCCTCAGTGAGTCACTATCCCCCTCAGTGAGCCACTATCCCCCTCAGTGAGCCACCATCCCCTTCAGTGTGTCACCACCCCCCTCGGTGTGTCACATCCCCCTCAGTGTGTCACCATCCCCCTCATTGTGTCACCATCCCCCTCAGTGAGTCACCATCGCTCTCAGTGTGTCACCGTCCCCCTCAGTGTGTCACTGTCCCCCTCAGTGTGTCACCATCCCCCTCAGTGAGTTGCCATCCCCCTCAGTGTGTCGCCATCCCCCTCAGTGTGTCGCCATCCCCCTCAGTGAGTCGCCCTACGGTCATGCGTCATTCCACAGTCACGGAGTCATCCCACCATCACATGACTCAGCGAGCCGGGGATGTGGGAGATTCTGGGCTCCAGGCCAGCACTGAGTGGCTGCTGAGACCAAGGTTGGGACTTGGTTTTGCTTTATTACCCTTCCTTGCCTTTCCTTCCCAACCTCGCTTTGCCTGTCCCACCACCGACGTCTGCCCAAGTTCAGGAAGCTCCTGCTGGGGTAGAGTGAGTAGAGTCAGAGTCACCTTCACATGAGTCATCCCATCACTAGTGTCAGCATCACTGTCACATGTGTCAGCATTACCACCTCGTCCACCCGTGTCTGCTTTGGAGACTCTAGAAATACAAAGGTGCAGCTAACCCGGCCCTCTCACTCCAAGGACCACAAGCTTGATTGGGAAAACACCTGGTGTCCCTGAAGGCAGATGGCAGCCAAGACCAGGGACACTGGGGAAGCCTGGGGATGGAGCAGAGAACCTGGAGAAGGCAGAGACTGGGCTCAGGCAGCTGGAGACGGCTTCCTGGAGGTTGCCACAGCAAAGCGCTGCCGTCGTGTGGTGACGGCCAGAGGCCCCAAATCTGGTGTGAGCAGGGCCACGTCCCTCCAGGGGCTCTGTGGGAGAACCCCTCCACCTCTTCCAGCTTCTGGAGGCTCCACAGTTGCTGGGTTCTGTGACTTGGGTGGCCTCACTGCCCCATCTTGTCCCCATGGCCACGCAGTTTCTCTGTGGGGTGTCTTGTGGCTTCATGTGGCCACCTTCCTCTAAGACAGCAGTGTGTGGATCGGGGCCTACCCAACTCTGGCATCACCGCATTTAATCAAGTCCTTCTGCGAAGGCCCAGTTTACAGATAAGGCCACACTCTGAGATTCTGTGTGGGCGTGGATGTTGGGAGATGCCACCGAACCCACTACTGTAGGGCAGTTTACGGGGAATTTAGTCCTGGCCCAGGCTAGCCAGGAGCTGAGGGCCACACCAGGCCTCACAGGGTCCTCCCTACAGCCTCCTGCCTGTAGTTGCATTGGTGGATCCTGGTCAGAGGGCATCGGGGACAGGCCATGTGGAGGCCACCCAGGAGCCAGCCATGGTAGAAGTTTCCAGAACCACAGACCACAGGCATGGGACAGCCGGGTCTCCTATGGAGCAGTCAGCATTTCTTGTGGGGAGCCTTGCCTCAGAGGGCTCACATACGCCGTACCTGCTTCATGGGGCACCTTCGGACACTAAACATGTGTCTTTTCTCTGCGTATACTACGTGTATGGCATAAAATTAGCAAATGGCTTTTGATCATTTTCTAACTTCATCTGAACCTTGGCCCCAAGCACTGGAGGCTGAGCCGCAAGCGTGAGGAGGCAGCCATTTCCCTGGGACTGCAGAGCCCAGGCGGGCGCCCGGCTGGGGCAGCGGCTCCCCTCTTCCAGGAGACACTTCCAGAGCTCAGAGCAGGACTGGGACTGCAGAGCCCAGGTGGGCGCCCGGCTGGGGCACCGGCTCCCCTCTTCCAGGAGACACTTCCAGAGCTCAGAGAAGGACACAGGTTTCTCGTTCACACGGGCTCTGTGTAAAACATGAAAGCTGCATTTTCCTTTTAAATCAATACAATGAAATCCCCTCACCCTTTCTCTCCAAGCTGTTTTCACAGTGAGAGCAAGCGTGCCAGGTCACCCAGAGAGGAACCAGCTTGAGAACCACTTTGCTTTTATCTTTTCTCTCCTAGCAATGCCCACATTTCCATTTCATATGGGGAAAAGCCATTTTCCTGCTAGAAGTCAGCAAATTGCCTTGGCAAACAAGAGCAGCCACCTCTTCTCCGAGGCCCAGCGTGGGACTTGCATCCAGATTGTGGATGCAACAGGACCGGGGAGTCCTCCCACAGCGGCTGGGGCGGAGCCGACTTCCAGGCTGTATCTGGCCCTTCAGGGGCTCAGCCGGGCCAGGCCACAGGCCACGTGAGCGGCGTCCCTGGCTTCATCTTCCCATCTTGGCAAACCTGAGCCTGGATCTGTCATTTGAACTGTGTTATCACAGTCCATTAACAGACAATGTTCCATCAGAAACAGGATGGAAATATGCTTTTAAGTAATGACGTTCTCATGCGCGCAGGACGCATTTGCACTGCTGGTCGGTGGGCGCCATGGAGATTTCTCTTAAAATAGGAGGAGAGGATAGAAAATACCCTTTGCGTGTCCCGTGTCCTCTTGATACTCGTCCAACACATTTCTCTCATGTTTTTTATTGTTCTTTCTTCAAAGACAGTGCAGTTTAATAGGAAGACTTTACAATTACTGAATTTATGATATTGTTTATAAAAGGGAATTTGAAAGAACTGATGTATACCAATAAAAATGGCATATTAGTAATTTTTTTAATTCTCAAAGAAGAAATAATAGCAAAATAATGTCCCTGTTTGGGAGGGGAGGAGGAGAAGAGAAAGCAAAGTTAAAATCAAGAAAATTAAAATTCTAAAACAACCAAATGCACAAAAATGTGCTTTTCCCCTTTTAGAGAGGTGATGTGATAGGGTTTCTGTCTATGAAACCAAATGTTTACAAATATTCAAGCCCATAAATTTGAAGAGAAACCGAATACAGAAAATTCTTGTTAATGCAGTACATTTTCTGGTAATTTTATAGTCCAATTTTCAGTGATTCCCCACAGAACGAATGCAGTTCAAAGGCAATTTTATAAAGTACTTTGCAGATAACTATTATCTGCTAATTATTAGAAATTGCATGTTGTTGTTAATTGCATAAATAAATTGTTTTATCTGAAAGCCATTAAAAAAAGGTTTGGTGTTTGAAGCATATATAGTTTTGATGTTCCTGTATAAAAACGTTTAACTGTTTAACTCTAAAATAATGACATGCTGCTTTTAAGACAATTTCTTAGACTAATGGATTATGGAGGGGGGGGGGTCCCTAAACATGTATTTTATTTAATTTCCCTGACATACTTCAACTGATCGTCATGGAAAGGAAGAGTGCAAATATTTTACTAAATGTATTAGAATGATAGCCGTATATGGCTACTTTTTTAATCCTTAAAGGAAATTTATATGAACATTTTCTTTCTTCCAAAATACTCTTCATTAAAAAAAAAATGCTGCTCTGTTTTATCATATATTTCCCTCATAATTAGCCATAAGAGAGAGAAATCTGTGGGGACTGCTGCCTTTCATTTTCTATGAAATAATTCAGAAAAGAGTTTAATAGCAGATTCTAATAGAATTTGAAAACAAGGTGTGTGGATCATTTCTGCAGCTTCCTGAATGAATGTGCTTTGGAGAGGAGCCGACCGCATCCTTTCCAGGGCCCAGTGCCAGGACCCTGGACGGCGTCACCCTAGGACGTCACCCCAGGACAGCAAATTCAGCCTCGGTGCTTTCATGGGAAGGCGTGGGCAGTGCCATCCCCAGTGACTCGCAGGTGGAGAAGCAGGGCTGAGGTTGTTGGGATCCTGACGGATGGCCGGCTAGGGCCTCGGGAGGCGACATCCTGGCCCTCACCCTGCCTGCTCAGTGCTGAGGAAGGAGGTCCACATAGAGCTCAGGAGGGCTGGAAGCGGCCAGCACACACCTGCCCAGGTGCACAGCAGATGCAGGGTGGGCTGCTAGGGTAGTAGCAGGTCAAGCAGGGCAGCCGAGCCCAACAGGGTCCACAGATGCCCATGGAGGAAGTGGCCTCGTTCATGTGCTGAGAATGTCTCTAAGCCTGGTGGGGCAGACAGCCCACATATGCTGGGCTACACGCAGGGCTCAGGGGAGGCGAGGGAGAAACAGTGGCTCCTGAGGACCAGGGGCATGGTTTTGGAGCCTGGCTACTGGGGAGGGAACAACTCTGGGCACTCAGCATAAGGGACATGCCATGCGTGGAGGGGATGACGGCACCATTGGAGTGCATGGGCGTCCCTGTGTTCCAGCCACGCAGTGAAATGGTGAGGACGGAGGGGGACAAAAAGGGCGCAGAGCCCAGCCCCTCTCGGAACAGAGGTTGCTGCACCCAGCTCCTCTTGGGACGTGGGATAGCCATGCCCAGCTCTGCAGCCCATGCTCTTGTGGACAGGACAGGTGCCAGTGTGGTACTGCGTGTGGCCTCACAGAGCGAGTCTGTGAATGAACGAGTGACAAAACCTGGAATCTCAAAACGCGAAGCAAGTACGGAGCTCGCTGCCGCTCCACAAGGATGAGAACATTCCAAGGACTGAAAAAGCCTTTTTGCCGCAGTTTTGTCTGGCTACATCCCCGTGAATTTGCCAGGGCTTCGAAACAACTGACCTCAGACCAGGCGACCTGCACAGCACACATTTATTTTCTCACAGTTCCGAGGCTGGAAGTCCAAGACCGAGGGTGTTGACCGGTGGTCTCTCTCCTGCATCGTCAGGACATGGCCGTAGCACCTGGCCAGACAAGTCTCTACATGGGGAGCATCACCCCACACCCCAGCAGTGCCGAGACGGTGCCAACCACCAAATAGTGAAACACAAAGCCCATCCAATGTCAGGTCAAGAGAGCCACAGACAGGGTGCAGGATCTCATGGCCCAGGCCAGTGCAAAGTCAGAGAGCCTCAGACAGGGTGCAGGATCTCATGGCCCAGGGCAGTGCAAAGTCAGAGAGCCTCAGACAGGGTGCAGGATCTCATGGCCCAGGGCAGTGCAAAGTCAGAGAGCCGCAGACAGGGTGCAGGATCTCATGGCCCAGGCCAGTGCAAAGTCAACACGTGGCTCTCCCATCTGCCCCAGACCCACTCTTTCCCTTACAGCAAGTGCCTCCAGACCTATGCAGCACCAGGGTGCACAGAGGGCCAGGACAGATGCCTGTCCCTCAGAGCAGACAGAGAAGTCCCTCCTTGTCCCTCAGAGCAGGCAGAGAAGCTGCTGACCAGGCTTCTCCCATACCCCTGCAGAGTCCCCCACAGAGGACACCATGCACACCTCACCTTCTGGTCTCCAAAACGTGGCTTTCCTGGAGGCTGGCAAACCCCCTAGTCAGTGCCACATTTCCCTCTTGGAACAAGAGATAATATGTAGTTTTCGATCTAATTTTAGACCTTGGCTGAATTAGCTGACACTCAAAGAGGCCGGGGCCCAGAGACATAATGTGTGTGCGAATTCATATTTTAAGAGTCCATTTGCTTATTATCTATCTCGTTCTATAATTCAATATTTTCAAAGGATTGCCAGCAAGGAGCCCTGGGCTCTCTCCCACTGAGATTATGCTTGTGGCACAGTGGGAACAGGCACGGTGCACCCGGCCCTGCTGCCCATCACTGCCTCCCATCTTTCATTCTTCCCTCCGTCCTCCGTCTGCACCACTCCTTGTCTCCCCTCATGCTGAAGGTCTTACCTCTGTTTCCTTGTATTCATACCTGGGTCTCAGGTGTCCGCGAGTTGTTCGGTCCCTTCGTGGATCTACAGCTCGGGCAGATGCCCCCAGGACTGCAGCCTCGGCACCCGTGGAGTCTCTGTCTCTGTGGAGGGGCAGCCGATGACTCCCAGCCCAGCGTTCAAAGTCACCCTCTGTGAAGACAGGGCCCCACCTGAGCATGGCGCTGTCACTGCAGGACGGCCCAGATCCCATCCGAGACAGAAGGAACCTGTGTCAGGATCACCCTGGTAAAACGCCTCTGGGGTACACCACACAGCAAAGGTCACCTCGTGAAATTTTGAGGTCAGTTTCCCAGGGCAGGTGCTGACCTTTCTCGTTCTCTGAGCGAGGGCCCCTCAGCGCTTCTTCCTTCTGGGTGACCTTCGGAATGCCGTGGGAGTGCTGTAGAGTCACGATGTTGAACTCACAAATACTCTGGTGGATTTTCCACTACACTAACGGTTTCATGGCTATGAGCACTGGTCACACAGTGCTTTAGGCTGACGAAAACTCTCACACCACCCAAGAGCAGCCTTGCTACTGCCCGGCTGCCACCTCCACCCCACGGTGCATGCAGAAGCTCGTCCACTCCAGGCAGAGTGTACCCTGGCCTCCAGGACAAACCAGTTATTTACTCAGGCCCTGCTTGGAGGGACGGGGTCTGGAGGGTCAGCTCGGGGTGAGCACAGGCCAGTCGTGTGGGGCCTCTACCAGCCACAGGCACAGAGACCCCTCCCTACCTCACCTGCTGAGAAAGGCCATCCCCTAGGGAGGAGCAGTAACAAGCGGAAAGGAAGGAGGCTGCTCCCTTTTCCTGCACCCCAGGGACAACTGGGCAGGGAAGAAGGATCCCAACCTTGCACAAAACCGCAGAGGCTCAGAGAGGAGCCCCTGGCCAGGGTCTGGACTCAAACTCAGGTCTCCCAGCCCTTAATATCTCTGTTCGGTCAGCCACAGCCTGTGGCGCCTGCCAGGCCCTAACGGAACCGACTCCCATTCCCCGGTTCCTACAGGGCAGCTGATTTCCACCAGCGTCCTCTCATTCCAGGCATTGGCCAAGCCTAAAGTTTCTGTTTTATAAGATCTGTTGAGATCACATCTCAAGGGGTATGGTTGAACGTGTCAGTCAAATTGATGAAAGAAAGGACAAATTCATTAATTAATTCACTTCTGAGCTGAGTTCCCGCATGCCAGCCTTAAACTCAGAGTGGGTTTTTATGGTTGAGTTATAAATCCCTCACAAGCGGGGCTTCTTATAGACAAGCTGTCAGGGCCGTAAATGCCAGGGCCTCGGTGGGTGCTGGGGGGTGACATAAAAAGGGCATTGACACACTGCCTCTTGGGCGAACTGCAGTTTTGCCCTTTGGCAGATATTCCAGATGATTACAGTTTTTATTACCAGCCTCTGCAACACTACCTCCAGCCACATCTGTCTCCACATCAGCTGGGTCACCACAATGCACGGCGGTGAGGTATGAGCCGATTCCGACTGGATGTAGGAATGTGCAAGTTTAATTCTTCATAACCCCAGATCTTGGGTGAAGAGAACGGCCCATTGTGAAGAAAGCGCGTTTTCTTGTCCACTACTCATGGCAAAAGCAGACAGGCCTCCTTCTAACCTCTATGCCAGCCAACCCTGGACCATCAGCCCGTGAGGCTGAGAGTGGCCCAGCCCTCAGGTCTCTCGGTGCCTTTGTTCAGCCATGCCTCATCCCGGCCACATCCCCACAGCCCCTGCTTCTTCACCTGCCAGGGTGAAAGTTTCCGGGAAGGTCTGCTGCCATGGCCTCCCCTTTATCAGACACTCACCCACCCCCAAGTGCCTCACCAGGGTGGGGCCCCCTTCCTAGGGAGCAGCAGGGGCGAAGTCCTGGGGTCCAGCCTGTGCTCCTCTAATGCAGAAAAGCAACCACAAAGGCAAAACATGCAGTCTCCAAATGTTACCTCTGCTGCCAGGTTTCAGCTTGTGTCCGCCAGGAAGCAGGTGTGACACCATGGATGTGACTGTGGCGTGCACACCACGGGCTCTCAATAGTAAAGGTGTCAACGTGGGCACGCGTTTTGACCAGAGAGAGGTGCAACGGACTTTCACCTTTCCGTGGAGCGAGAAAGACTGAAGATTTGAAGTAGAACGGCACCTGCCGCAGAGCCCCTTTGTAAAAAATCTCACTTTGCTCCACGTGATCCACCACCAGCAGCCCTGTGAGAGGCGAGGGTGACCCATGGACTAATGGCAGCTGAACTCCAACCCCTGGCTGGGCATCTCCTCTGGGCCCAGCCCAAGGCACTGGCAGGAGGCAGGAGGAGGCTCTGCAGCCTGGCCTTCTGTCCTGAGCACGGTTCCAAGGAGAGACTGCACACCCTGAAACCAGCCTCCACACAGACTGAGATAAACAGAAAGGCCACTTTACACATCACGCCTCAGGACGCCTCAGGCCACAAGCAGCATGCAATGGTGAGGTCCTGGAAAGAGCCCCACGGCAGACTGGCATCCCTTTGACGCAGAGCTGCTGCAGCTGCCTCTGAGTGTTTGCCTCAGGACGCTTCATCTTCTCATCCCTCGTCCTCAACATTAAAAACAGCTCACGCGTTCCAGCCACTGCGGGGCACGTTAGCATGAGAAGCAGGTGAGCCCCTCGCGTGCCCGTCTCATTAACCTCGATCCTTAGCGCTGGCCTGCTGTACCGGGACAGGGCATGGCCGTCTCGATCCTTAGCGCTGGCCCGCTGTACCGGGACAGGGCATGGCCGTCTCGATCCTTAGCGCTGGCCCGCTGTACCGGGACAGGGCATGGCCGTCTCGATCCTTAGCGCTGGCCCGCTGTACCGGGACAGGGCATGGCCGTCTCGATCCTTAGCGCTGGCCCGCTGTACCGGGACAGGGCATGGCCGTCTCGATCCTTAGCGCTGGCCCGCTGTACCGGGACAGGGCATGGCCGTCTCGATCCTTAGCGCTGGCCCGCTGTACCGGGACAGGGCATGGCCGTCTCGATCCTTAGCGCTGGCCCGCTGTACCGGGACAGGGCATGGCCGTCTCGATCCTTAGCGCTGGCCCGCTGTACCGGGACAGGGCATGGCCGTCTCGATCCTTAGCGCTGGCCCGCTGTACCGGGACAGGGCATGGCCGTCTCGATCCTTAGCGCTGGCCTGCTGTACCGGGACAGGGCATGGCCGTCTCGATCCTTAGCGCTGGCCTGCTGTACCGGGACAGGGCATGGCCGTCTCGATCCTTAGCGCTGGCCTGCTGTACCGGGACAGGGCATGGCCGTCTCGATCCTTAGCGCTGGCCTGCTGTACCGGGACAGGGCATGGCCGTCTCGATCCTTAGCGCTGGCCTGCTGTACCGGGACAGGGCATGGCCGTCTCGCCCACCTCTTGTGACTCTGCTGACACCGCTGCGCCCTGCACCACCTCCAGGCCACATTCACTGCTCATCCAAAGCTTGAATTTCCCATTGACTTAAAACTTCCATTAAAGCCCCAGATGAGGGTAAACGAGGCTCCATGTGCTCTGCCTAATGGGAACGTTCTGGCTGGCACCGACTGCGATAGTTTCGGGCAATCTGCCGCTGCCTCTGTGGGAGCCGAATGAGCACTTCACAGTACTTAGGTAGACTCCTTCCCCGCATGCAGCAGCTGCTCCGGCTGAGCCCTCACCTCCTGGTTCCTTCTCCCTCCCACATACAGGGCTCGGATGGGGTGCTGGGGTCCTGTTCCCACCTCCGTGGTGCAGCCCCACTGCCCTCAGAGCTGTTCTTTACCCGCTTCCTCCAGAAAAAGAAATGGTGACGCAGAGGGTCTCCCCGCCTCCTGCTGGCTCCCAGCGAACACAGGCTGGCTCAGGGCACTGTGCAGGGGGCCTGCTTGGCCACGAGAAGCACGCAATGGTGAGGTCCTGGAAAGAACCCCACGGCAGATCCGGCTTCCCTTTGACACAGAGCTGCTGCAGCTGCCTCTGAGTGTTTGCCTCGTCTGCAGTAAAACATAGCCGAGGGTACACTGGGGACAGGCAGGAGACCTGATGGGCCATGCCCCAGCGCTGCTGCCCATGGTGTCTCTGAGATGAGACAGGAACGTCCCCAGGGGAGTGGGAGCCAGGGGCTCCCAGGGTCTGACCCTCTCCAAGCCCCAGGCTCCTCAGGGCTGCACTGTGTGTGCTGCCCACGTGCACCGAACCCTCTGGCCCTGGCCCTGGCCCGGTTTGCACCTTCCCCTTGGCTCTGACACCTTCCTCCCTTCACAGCCCACACACAGATGAGTGCTGCTTGTCCTGCAAGGCTTCCCAAGAAGTTTCAGTGGACACCCTTCCAGTAGGAATGGCCCATCCCCTCTATGTTTCCCAGAGTGTCCTGCAGCAAACATCAATGTGACTCGTGCACACGGCATTGGGGCTGCCTGGTGAGACGCCGTGCTCCTGGTGGACTGACGGCAGGAACGAGGATCATTCACCTTCGTGAGACAGAACGGCGCAGCTCCCAGAGGAGAGCAGAGCTTGGGGACTGCGTGAGGACTCCCTGAACTAAGCTCCCCAGTGGGCCCCTTCACCTGTGCGGCACGCAGCGTCTTCACTGTCCACGGGGAGACTCAGGGTCTGAGATTAGACTCCTTTTGAGGTCTACAGCTGCTGGAGTCAGAGCTGCCCCTGCGCCCTCTGCTGCCTAACTCAACCCTGAGGATGCCAGCCCGACAGAGCACGGTGTCGGCCAGGAGGAGGATGGACCTGAGGATGCCAGCCCGACAGAGCACGATGTCGGCCAGGAGGAGGATGGACCTGAGGATGCCAGCCCGACAGAGCACGGTGTCGACCAGCAGGAGGATGGACCTGAGGATGCCAGCCCGACAGAGCACGGTGTCGACCAGCAGGAGGATGGACCTGAGGATGCCAGGCCGACAGAGCACGGTGTCGACCAGGAGGAGGATGGACCTGAGGATGCCAGCCTGACAGAGCACGGTGTCGACCAGCAGGAGGATGGACCTGAGGATGCCAGCCCGACAGAGCACGGTATCGACCAGGAGGAGGATGGACCTGAGGATGCCAGCCCGACAGAGCACGGTGTCGACCAGGAGGAGGATGGACCTGAGGATGCCAGCCCGACAGAGCACGGTGTCGACCAGGAGGAGGATGGACCTGAGGATGCCAGCCCGACAGAGCACGGTGTCGACCAGGAGGATGGACCTGAGGATGCCAGCCCGACAGAGCACGGTGTCGACCAGCAGGAGGATGGACCTGAGGATGCCAGCCCGACAGAGCACGGTGTCGACCAGCAGGAGGATGGACCTGAGGATGCCAGCCCGACAGAGCACGGTGTCGACCAGGAGGAGGATGGACCTGAGGATGCCAGCCCGACAGAGCACGGTGTCGACCAGGAGGATGGACCTGAGGATGCCAGGCCGACAGAGCACGGTGTCGACCAGGAGGATGGACCTGAGGATGCCAGGCCAACAGAGCACGGTGTCGACCAGGAGGATGGACCTGAGGATGCCAGCCGCACAGAGCACGGTGTTGGCCACAGAGCAGGACGGGCCTGCGCTGCTTTCCTGTCATCACGCAGGGATAATCTTTACCTCTCATTTAAAAAGGCCAATAGTGCCCATGTCACAGGGATTATCAGCAGCCGCTCTGACAGGTGGATAACGTGTGCTCGGGCAGAAGAGATTGAAACCCAGCAGGGCGGGGAGGCAGGGAGGCTGGAAGCCAGTGAAGTTCACTCCAGCACGGCGTCCGGCAGCTGAAGAGGCCCTGCGTCCACACAGGCACTGCGGAAACTCACCTTGTCCTGAGATGAGGGAAGGCCAGGGAGAGGTGCGTACCAAGCTTGTCACAGGGCACTGAGGACAGAGCTGCCACTAGCTCCTGGCAGGAGGCTTTGATGTGGAAACCGGCAGCCATGCAGTGGGCGCAGAGGAGGTGGCCTTTCTGCCCTTCCTCCCTCCTGGCCCCCAAGGGTCACCTGGGGAAAGCCCTCTACAGTGTGAACACGGCTGTGAATGGCTAATTTGCTGCAGTGGCGGGGGTGGTCTCTGTCCTGTTCCCCCCACCCCCTCATTCTCCCCACCCGGAGCAGCCCTCCCTCCCTGCCACCCCCGACCTGAATCAGGGCCACCGCCAGAGCCTTTGCCACTCCACATAAATGTGCCATCAGCAGGCCAGGGTGGTTTCATTTTGTTTTTAGTGCTGAGGATTTGTGTGTGTGTTCTTTTTCCTTTTAGTTTCTTTATTTTCCCAAATGAAATGTGATCCAAATCAAAACAAATTCCCAGCATCTGCTGGAGAGACTTTCCTCCTCTCTGTTTCCCCAAGTGCTGAATGGAGAACACTGCTCCATCTCGCTGTTATTAAGACGCACGGAGGCCTCACCGCCAACAGTCCATGCGTGTTTCTTGGCAGCCCTGGCCGGGTAGTGGTGACGGTGCTCTGAATAGGGGGCACCCACTGCCCCTCGCTGCTGCCCCCATGACCCGCTGTGCAGTGGCTTTTCCGGGGAAGGGCACCCCATTGGCAGAGAAGAGTGTGCGGGTGGCAGGGAGGGAGGCGAGCCAGGGCCCGGGCCCGAGCTCCGTGTGCCGCGGCCCTGTCAAAGCGGCCTCCTCGCGCCTCAGCCCTCTAGCGCCAGCGTTTTGTCACATCTCCGGTTTCCTTTCTTTGCTTCAGCTTCCATGCGACCCCCTAGCTGCGGACACTCCACACGCTGAGAGTCAGCTGAGCTTGAACAAAGAGACCTTTCTCCTCTGCAGAAATCGCTCGAGCCGCCAGCGCCAGAATTCACAGCAGCTTTCTCTTGAAATGCTTGGCATTTCCCCACAATTTCTTAGGTATACTTGGTGGGCGAAGTGCGTCATCTCTGTTTGAATTTATCGCACAGAATAAGCCATTTTCTCCATTTAATGTTATCCCCTCGGTAACCAGGAGGTCGGAGGCCACAACGCAAAAACAGCAAATTTGTCAACGGAATGTGCAAAGCCGGGCATAAATTTATCTTGTCCTAATCCCCGGCCCCCTTTCATGCGGTGATTTTTCATATGCATATGAGAATTTTCCGAGTTTGCTTTCTCACACATTTCGCCGTCCGCAGACGGGCGGTGGCTCTGTGGGCCCCTAGGAAGCAACGTGGCTTTCCCCTTCCTCTGTAAAGCCCAAGGCGGCCACCTCCGCTTTTCTGATCATCTGTCATTGAAAACCCCCCAAGCATCGCTTCCTATGATTATTTTCACACACAGGGAGCATAATTGCATGTTCTGAAAAAAAATTCTCACTAAAGAAGCCCGTGATTCTCAGACATCCTAAGGCATCGCAAAGCCAACCCTGTGCCATGCTGTAGCCACGTACAAACTTTACAATCCCGTGTCACTCACATTTAAAAATAACCAGCAACTTCATAGCAGAAAGAAAGGGTCATGGTCACCACAGTGAGACTGAGACACACATCTCCTCTAACTTTACACCACTCGGGATAACTATGTGCATCCTCACCAGAGAATATCTACCTCGTGCTGTTTCCTTCAGCCTCCATTATACGGTGGAAGAGTCGCATGACAAGCTAGAGGATCAGTCCTAAAGGAGTCCGTGTCAGTGTGTGACTATTTTCACAAAACAAGTAGTTTTGTCTTGAAGTCCACTCTCTTGACACCACCAATATTGTGTGCTTTGGATGGCAACAGTGTACCCGGCCGGCCAAGGAGAGCCTGGGCGCTGGTGGCGTTGGCTGCAGACCAGTCTCCGGCCCAGGACCTGCCGTAAGACCTGGGGGCCAGTGGTCTGCGCCCTGCAGGCCTGAGAGGAGGGAAGCTGTCTGATTGCCAGGTATTTACACAGCAACACTGAAGGAAATGTACCACGGCCCCTGGCTTTCTCAGACGTCAACTCCTCAGGCTTAATGATAAAATTCATCCCCGAAGCATATTTTCTTTGGTTCAAGACTATCTCCCCACACTGGGAATTTCCCCTGCAGTTTGCTCCTGGGTGGACAGTTCCACAGGTCAGTGATTCATCTCTCCTCAGTCAGGCTTACACGTGAGTTTGTTGCTTCTCAGTGAACTCCTAGACTGGAATTCCAAGCACACTGGAGAGAAGGATGCGCTTTTCCTCGAGAGTAAATGTTCATCTCTTGCCCCAGAAGGAAATCCTGTGCCACAAAAGAGAAGCAGAGCCACCTTCCACAGCAGTGAGCTGTGAGGAATGGAGATGGTACTCAACGTTTTAGACAAACCCTGTAAATTCCTGCTCAGGTTTTTAGTGTGATTCAAATCAATTTGGCAAAATAGTTACTGCATCTAAAATACACCAGGGTGATGCTAGACCGCTGAGCTAGAATGATGAAAAGCAGATATGGGTCCTGAATTCAGAGAATTTCCACAAAGGAGATTGTGGAACATAATCTCCTAGAGACATAGAAGTGTCTAGACATCTGTGAACCATTTAAGCTGTCCTGAAGGCAGAGGACTGGTGTGTCTCAGAGCAGCAGCATCCGCATGCGAGCACCGCCCACACGAGAGCACCGTCCACACATGAGCACCGCCCACACATGAGCACCATTCACACGTGAGCACCATTCACACATGACCACCACCCACACATGAGCACCACCCACACATGAGCACCACCCACACATGAGCACCATCCACACGTGAGCACATCCACACATGAGCACCGTCCACATGAGAGCACCGTCCACACATGAGCACCACCTGCACATGAGCACTGTCCACACGAGAGCACCGTCCACACATGAGCACCATCCACACATGAGCACTGCCCACTTGAGAGCACCGTCCACACATGAGCACCATCCACACATGAGCACCACCTGCACATGAGCACCGTCCACACATGAGCACCGTCCACACATGAGCACCACCCACACATGAGCACTGTTCACACATGAGCACTGTTCACACATGAGCACCGCCCACACGAGAGCACCGTCCACACATGAGCACCACCCACACATGAGCACCACCCACACATGAGCACCGTTCACACATGAGCACCACCCACACATGAGCACCGCCCACACGAGAGCACCGTCCACACATGAGCACCATCCACACATGAGCACCACCTGCACATGAGCACTGTCCACACAAGAGCACCATCCACACAAGAGCACCGTCCACATGTGGGCGCCGACCACAGGTTAGCACATCCACACGTGAGAACAACCACATCACACGGTTAAGGTGGGCGCTGCACATCAGAATTCCAAGGTCAGCTTCTCCACTCACTATGTCATGTGGCTGCAGTCCGTTACCGCCCCATGGCCCAGGTGACAGTCCTATAAGACCATGTAAAACACCACCTGTCTCAAAGAGCAGTTTGAAGAATTCAAGGATTCAGAATATTTCCACTGAGCACACAGCCGACCCTATAGGACTGCTGCGTTATTAACATCATCGTTATAGCTTTGGTGCCTACAACGATCTCTGGTACATATTAATTTATATTTATATATGCATTTGTTGAATTGAATATAGTAATGGATATGATTATTGTGGTGGTGTCCCTCGGAGGTTTGCCCCAGAGGCCATACTGGGTTGCTGGAAACTGTCATTAACTGTAGTGAGTTGTAACTCTGTATCCTTATCTGTGAATTGAGAAAATTAATTGCTGTTACGTAACATAAAATGAATTGTTGCTGTACAATATAAAACGCCCACCAGCAAGACAGAGGAGTCATTACTCTGGAAGAGTAAATGAAGAAATCTCAACATTACAACATGACAATTAGATTCCATGTCAATAAGCAAAAAGGAGAACATAGCATGTGTTTTATTCACAGCTGTCAATTATGTCCTACAAAGACAGGCAGCAAAATATTATAACATTTTCATTTAATAATAAAGCACTTACTGAGTACTTACCAAAATGCCAACTACTGTAATGCACAATCTTTGCTTGAAAAAAATGAAGCTCCGTTTTTTTTTTTTTTTTTTTTTTTTTTTTGGACAGAGTCTCACTCTGTCACCCAGGCTGGAGTGCAGTGGCACCATCTTGGCTCACTGCAACCTTCACCTCCTGGGTTGAAGCTAATCTCCTGCTTCAGCCTGCTGAGTAGCTGGGATTATAGGCGCTAGTCACCACGCCCAGCTAATTTTTGTATTTTCAGTAGACATGGGGTTTCGCCATGTTGGCTAGGCTGGTCACAAACTCCTGACCTCAAATCATCCAAAGTGCCTCGGCCTCCCAAAGTGCTGGGATTACAGACATGAGCCACCGTGCCCAGCTGAAGCTCAACTTCTAGTCAGGGCATAGCTCTATAGACAAATCATTAAGATAAATATAAGGTGATGTTCATGCTGTGGGTGACAGATAATGTTCGTTATGTCTAGCCGTGAAGGATTATTTCATACGTGAAGAGACGATTCAATTGGGTTTGAGAAGACTGAAGTCTGTCAAGCAGGGAAGGAGATAAAGTCAGAGAGAAGAGTCTAAACAGAGGCAGGAAAATGTGGAGGCATGTTCTGGAATGACATGGTCCCTGTCAGGGAAGTTCAGGCAGGGAAGAGGGTGTTTAAAGGGTGTCTGGGAAAAGTGAGTGGAAAATAAGGCTGGAAGGGGAAACTGGCCAGAGAATGGAAAGTTGGGAATGTCATTGCGTGGGCGAATGTGTGCTGGTGGTAACAGAAAGTCGTCTGTAGCTTTGGAACAATGGTGCGACGTGTCCACACGTCTTTAAAAAGCAAACACTTAAAGGCAAAGGGAGGAAGGAATAGCAGCTGAGGAGGGAAGCTCAGAAAGGAAATCCAAGTTGAAATATCCATGCGGTAGTAGCATGAGAAGGATTCTAAGGAAGTGGAGTGAGGACGGGGATGCGGAGCCAAAGGTTAGAAACTTCTTAGAGGGAGGGCGACCTTGGGAGACAGACTGGGTTTGAAGTCCGGGTCTGACACTTACTGCCTATGGAACAAAGACAAGTCACAAATCTCCATTTCTTCTATAAAATAGACACAGTGTTGAGTATTGTTTAGGGACCCTGTCATGACTAGACAGGGCATAAGATGTTCAGGCATCGCTGAGTATTGTATAGGGACCCTGTTTTGACTAAACGAGGTGTGGTGTCCAGGCATTTCTGGCTTGCACAGAAGTGGGAGAAGCCCAGAACTGTGAAACTCCAGGGAGCAGGAGTCCCTCACAGGCATGCGGGGAGTCGCCTGAAACCCAGATGGAGAGGTCACTAAGATCCAGGTCTGTTTCCTGTGCTTTTCTGTCCCTGGGGTCTAGTCGATGTCCTGAACCCTGTCATCTGCTCCACAGCAACATATAAATGAGTTACGGTAACCAGATATTAGATGCTGAGAAGCAGCAGCCGTGTGTGGGGATTATGATGGGAAAGGAGGGGAAAGCTGGAACTGAGGTGCGTTAAGGACAAGTTTGCAAGCATTTGGTAGTGGTTGAAACGTGTCTCTAAGCCAGGGACTGGGAAGTTGCAGATCCCAGGCAGGGAAGGTGGTAGGGAACCGAGACCACAGGAGAATCACTCATCATTTGCAGATGAAAGGGTTGCTTACTTAGGAAACACACACACACACACACACACACACACACACACACACACACACACACAACATCACCTAACAATGTTATAAATTGTGAAATAATTCAGTAAGGTAAAAAGTACAACATTAACATCAGTACAGTTCCATAAATAATCAACTACCGGATGAATACAATGAGGGAAAAGTTAACATGATACAACAGGACAGGCGTGAAGATATCTTTAGAACTTGGCTGAATGCTTCAAGTGGAAATTTTTCTGCATTAAAAGTTAAAAACTTTAAAAAATTAAAACACTCTGAGGGGCTCCCATGATGGCTGACTAGAGGCATCTTCAACTTGCCTTCTCCACAAAGAACAAAAGTCGTCATTAGACAATCACACTTCAAGTAGATCATACGAACGAGAACACATGAGCTGAACAGAGAAGGGACAGGAAGCCTCTCCAGCAGGGAAGGAGAGGAGGGCAAGGCAGCCTTCCCGGCCAGGATGGGCTGGGAGCCCAGAGAGATGTCCCAATGTGGGGAAGGGGTGAGGGAGAAACCCCCAGGGTTCACATCCCCACTGTGAGCTCCTGCATCGTTGGCCATGGGAGAGCCCCTCGACCATCGCTAGAGGGGAACCTGACACAGGGAGCTTCCTGGAGACAGTCGCAGTGCTGCTCCAGAGAGGAAGCTCACGCCAGGTCCCACGCACACCCTGAGTCCTAAACAGCTACAGCAAAGCAGCATTTTGAGAGCCCAGCCCCCAACAGACTGTGCCCTGTCCTGTGGCACCTGTGTCTCCACCTCCCTAGAATCCCACTGACATCTCCCATGTGCAGCTGCCACCACCAGGGCTGAGGTGTGGCCACAAGCAGCATCACCCCACTGGCAGTGGGGCCGCCATGCATTTCAGGTGACAAGGCAGGGTGCCCCACCTGCAGCTGCTGTCACCGTGGGCTGCCACTGCCGAGGCTGAAGTGCAAGTGGGGTGTGAGCTGCTGCTGCCAGGGCCGGGATGTGAGTGACGTGTAAACCGCCACCACTGACGAAGAGGCGCAAGCCAAGTGTGCATCCCTCCGACCACCCCCTGTCTTCAGCGGCCACTGAAATCAACCCCTCCTTCCCCAGAGGCAGGGCCACAGTGCAGGTGCTGACATCCCCAATCTGAGCATTCTGCCAGGAGCCTGGGGATCATCTCACCTCTGCCTACGGCCAGCACCTGCACGCACCACTGGGGGCCTGAGGACAAACACACCCAGTGCAAGTTCATGCGCACTTCATGCCAGAGCATGCAGTCTGGGGGCGTGGGGATTGCCCAGCCACATTCACCACCGCTGGCACCTGACCACTTCCCAGAGGCCTGAGGTTGGGTGGGCCCAGCCACTCCGCTGCTATCACCACAGCCGGCCCCTACCTGCATGCACAACCTGAATGCCTGGAAACTGGCACTTCCAGCCCACTGCAGCCACCACTAACACCAGCATGCCACTGCTGTTGCCATCCTCCATGCCATACCTGCAGCCTAGGGGCCCGAGAACCTGACCACCCTTCTGGCCCTCTGCTGCCACTACTGTCATTGGAGCAAGACACCTGGAGGTCCAAGAATCAGCCTATCTAGATCTACTAACAGCGGGTCAGCAGACACTACCCCAAGAATCAGCCTATCTAGACCTACTAACAGTGGGTCAGCAGACACTGCCCCAAGAATCAGCCTATCTAGACCTACTAACAGTGGGTCAGCAGACACTGCCCCAAGAGTCAGCCTATCTAGACCTACTAACAGTGGATCAGCACACACTACCCCAAGAGTCAGCCTATCTAGACCTACTAACAGTGGGTCAGCACACACTACCCCAAGAATCAGCCTATCTAGACCTACTAACAGTGGGTCAGCAGACACTACCCCAAGAATCAGCCTATCTAGATCTACTAACAGTGGGTCAGCAGACACTACCCCAAGCATCAGCCTATCTAGTTCTACTAACAGTGGGTCAGCAGACACTACCCCAAGAATCAGCCTATCTAGACCTACTAACAGTGGGTCAGCAGACACTGCCCCAAGAATCAGCCTATCTAGACCTACTAACAGTGGGTCAGCAGACACTGCCCCAAGAGTCAGCCTATCTAGACCTACTAACAGTGGGTCAGCAGACACTACCGCAAGAGTCAGCCTATCTAGACCTACTAACAGTGGGTCAGCAGACACTACCGCAAGAGTCAGCCTATCTAGACCTACTAACAGTGGGTCAGCAGACACTACCCCAAGAGTCAGCCTATCTAGATCTACTAACAGTGGGTCAGCAGACACTACCCCAAGTATCAGCCTATCTAGATCTACTAACAGTGGGTCAGCAGACACTACCCCAAGAATCAGCCTATCTAGTTCTACTAACAGTGGGTCAGCAGACACTACCCCAAGCATCAGCCTATCTAGACCTACTAACAGTGGGTCAGCAGACACTACCCCAAGAATCAGCCTATCTAGACCTACTAACAGTGGGTCAGCAGACACTGCCCCAAGAATCAGCCTATCTAGACCTACTAACAGTGGGTCAGCAGACACTGCCCCAAGAATCAGCCTATCTAGACCTACTAACAGTGGGTCAGCAGACACTGCCCCAAGAGTCAGCCTATCTAGACCTACTAACAGTGGGTCAGCAGACACTACCGCAAGAGTCAGCCTATCTAGACCTACTAACAGTGGGTCAGCAGACACTACCCCAAGAGTCAGCCTATCTAGACCTACTAACAGTGGGTCAGCAGACACTGCCCCAAGAATCAACCTATTTAGACCTACTAACAGTGGGTCAGCAGACACTGCCCCAAGAGTCAGCCTATCTAGACCTACTAACAGTGGGTCAGCAGACACTGCCCCAAGAGTCAGCCTATTTAGACCTACTAACAGTGGGTCAGCAGACACTGCCCCAAGAGTCAGCCTATTTAGACCTACTAACAGTGGGTCAGCAGACACTGCCCCAAGAGTCAGCCTATCTAGACCTACTAACAGTGGGTCAGCAGACACTACCGCAAGAGTCAGCCTATCTAGACCTACTAACAGTGGGTCAGCAGACACTACCCCAAGAATCAGCCTATCTAGACCTACTAACAGTGGGTCAGCAGACACTGCCCCAAGAATCAGCCTATCTAGACCTACTAACAGTGGGTCAGCAGACACTGCCCCAAGAGTCAGCCTATCTAGACCTACTAACAGTGGGTCAGCAGACACTACCGCAAGAGTCAGCCTATCTAGACCTACTAACAGTGGGTCAGCAGACACTACCCCAAGAATCAGCCTATCTAGATCTACTAACAGTGGGTCAGCAGACACTACCCCAAGAATCAGCCTATCTAGACCTACTAACAGTGGGTCAGCAGACACTACCCCAAGAATCAGCCTATCTAGTTCTACTAACAGTGGGTCAGCAGACACTACCCCAAGAATCAGCCTATCTAGACCTACTAACAGTGGGTCAGCAGACACTACCCCAAGAATCAGCCTATCTAGACCTACTAACAGTGGGTCAGCAGACACTACCCCAAGAATCAGCCTATCTAGTTCTACTAACAGTGGGTCAGCAGACACTACCCCAAGAATCAGCCTATCTAGATCTACTAACAGTGGGTCAGCAGACACTACCCCAAGAATCAGCCTATCTAGACCTACTAACAGTGGGTCAGCAGACACTACCGCAAGAGTCAGCCTATCTAGATCTACTAACAGTGGGTCAGCAGACACTACCCAGGGGCCCAAGGAAAGACATACTCAGCCTACCACTGCCACTACTAGGGCCTGAAGACTAGTTGACCTGGTCGATGATGTCTTTGAGAGGATTCAAAGCGACGGCCGTGAGGAGCCAGGCATGCAGACGCTCCCTGGAAGTGGACACCACCAGGCAACCACAGCCTTTGCAGGAAAGATGTGGAGGAGGTGGTGCAGGCAGGAGAGAGGCTGGATGCCACCCTGAGGGGAAGCCCAGGTCTGTCCTGGCCAGGAGGCATTGTGTGGCCACCGCAAGAGAGGAGGGAGAAAAGCCCAGAAAGGCAGGCGGGGACTGTGACTCTCAGAAAGCGCCAAGAATGCTGGGAAACATCGTCACAAGTGTCTCTTCATGCCAACGATGACCACAGGGACAAGAAAGATTCATCAAGTTGACTTAGAGAGCTCCGGTTTCCCTGAGACATCATCAAGTTTGAATAAGCAAGCAACAAGCTTAGGCGCGTGAACTCCCGCGTGCCGGAGAGAGCACATGGTGGTTTAAAGTGCCACATTCCCTTCTGGCTCAGAGCATCTGCCCTGGGTGACAGTCTCGTGCTTGGGGAGGCCCTCGGAAACCTGCCACAGCCCTATTTCCAACGGGAAAGACACAGACGAGCCAGGCCAAGATGCGGCTGGGATGGTGCCTGTGCGCTCACAGCCCTGAGCAACACCTCACCCTCAGCTCGCCCAGCCTCTCCTGGCCACTCATTTCGGCTTTCTTCACTCTAGAGCAGGGGTGTCCGGGTTTTCAGCTTCCCTGGGCCACATCAGAAGAAGAATAATTGTCTTAGACTGCACATAAAATACACTAACACTAACGATAGCTGATGAGCTTAAAAAAAAACTCCCAGAATTCTCATAATGTTTTAAGAAAGTTTACGAATTTCTGCTGGGCCACATTCAAAGCCATTTCGGGCCTCATGTGGCCCATGGGTGGCGGATTGGACAAGCTTGCTCTAGATTCTCCTTAGGTAGAAGTAGGATTTCCTTCACCTCAAAGGACTGCAGACATTCAGCACAATAACCTTCCAACCTGCTAGCAAAGCCCTTTCTAGAAGGGGAGACAAGAATCCAAAAAGCACGCCAGAAAGAAGCCGAAAGTGAGGGACCTCGGACGTAATCACACCAGAACTCTGTGACGTTTTTAGCAAATAAGTCAAACAGGTAAAAGGATGGAATGCCAATAAGAAGAGAGTGGCCCCCTCCCTAGGCGCAGCCCACCTCCCTTTTAAAAATGTTTCCCTTTATGAATAAAAGCACAGGCATGGGAGATGAGGGCAGCCCCACGTATCAGGTAAACATCCTGATCATCTATTTGGTATGGGACTTGAAACAAATCACATTTTCGTGCTGATAACGTCAAATTGACCCCTTCCAGATATTGTTTTCCCTTTGGGGACTCTGTCCTGTATAAAGAATTTAGTAAATTACCTGGTTAATAGAGAGAACTAGCAACAAGGTAATCTTAGCGGTGTCATTTGTGTTTAGGAAAATAGTTTTTCCATTTAAAAGGCTTTAAACACATGTGTTTTCTCGTTTTGCCTCTACTGTGAGATAAATCTTCGCTTCAAGAATACACTAGATCACCAGATTCCCAAAAGAGAAGTGGGGGTGGGGGGTGCGCGGCGAGGGCAAGGGCTGGCTGAGAGCAATGAATTTGTATCAGAGAGCAGAATTATGTTATGTTTTCCTTGTAGATCTGAGCTCAAGATATGCCTTGGCTAGAGGCAGCTTAGCTGTGAATGACTGCACTAGCTTCTGCCAAGACCATCCTGAGTTTTCACTGTTTACATCTCCATGTGTGGACTTTACCCTCACCACACGATGGCAGATGGAAATCTGATAAAAACGAAGCAATGCATATAGATACATGCACATGTATTTATACATACACACATGTGTATATACACACAGGTGTGTGTGTGTGTATAGATATACCACAAAACAGGAGACCTTTATGTTTTGATGATGGGATTCAAGTGTTTCAACAACAAAATACAACCAGTGTTTTCCAAGTTGGACTCTGTAAAGTCCCAGAAATCCACAAGATTTTCATTCCTTATATTCATGTTGGACACTGTTACTGAAGAACCACGTTCCTTTTATCCTGGAGGAAAGAGGACGGGTCATGTGGCTGTACCTGCACCTCATCGCCCTTGGCCCAACCCCAGTTTAAAATGAGTGATATTGCAGTCTGCTAAGTGGCTTGTCTATGAAGTTCATCCCAAGTGGAAACAGCCCTCCATCGTGTTCAGTGAGGGATTATTCCAAACTTTAGATCTCATTAAACAGACAGAACGCCACAGTCACTTGTCCCTAATAAAAAATATGCAAATAAATCGAACTCCACCCTCCTGGTATGGTCCATTTTCTAAGAGGCCTTCTTCTGAACGTCAGCCCTCTAGCATTTCATTCAGGGCTGGGAAGCC
Source organism: Homo sapiens (assembly GCF_000001405.40). Classification (NCBI taxonomy): domain Eukaryota; kingdom Metazoa; phylum Chordata; class Mammalia; order Primates; family Hominidae; genus Homo; species Homo sapiens. The sequence continues at coordinate 78,517,359 of NC_000018.10, forward strand.
GATGGCCGAATTTATTAATGAAGTTAATCGTGATAACCATCCTTCTCCTGGTAACTCCTGTGGATGAACACCACTTGATACCAGGCTGTAGAGAAGTGAGCTGGCGGTTCCTGGGAACCAGGCAGGAGGCACATACTCAGGTGAGCTGTGGCATGGGCTGTGCCCTGAGGAGGGACCACCCTTCTGCTGTGGCTCTCTGTTCTGAGGGCTAAAGCTGTGGGCGACAGACGCAGAGCCCGGCGCGTTGTCCCGGAAGCAGGGCCTTCAGGCACAGAGCCCGGCGCCCTGTCCCGGAAGCGGGGCCCTCAGGCGCAGAGCCCGGCGCCTTGTCCCGGAAGCGGGGCCCTCAGGCGCAGAGCCCGGCGCCTTGTCCCGGAAGCGGGGCCCTCAGGCGCAGAGCCCGGCGCCTTGTCCCGGAAGCGGGGCCCTCAGGCGCAGAGCCCGCCGCCTTGTCCCGGAAGCGGGGCCGTCAGGGCTGGAAGGGGCAGCAAGTGGCATTTTCCACAAATGGCTCCACTGACATTTCCTATTCTTTTGTATTTTGCTGTATGTTTTGGGTTGAGTTCTGTCTCCCAAAAAGATACATGGAATTCCTAACCCCCAGTAGCTGTGAATGAGAGCTTATTTGGAAATACGGTCCTGGTAGATGTCCTAATTCCAGTGTCTGGTGTCCTTATAAGAAGAAGGAAGTTTGAGCACAGCGACCTATGGGGAGCCGCAGTGTGAGGATGGAGGCGGACATTGCAGGGAGGCAGGGGCCGACAGGGAGCACGGTGGCGCCAGGAGCTGGAGGAGGCAGGAAGGACCCCGAGCCTCCACAGGGAGCACAGCTGCCCACACCTTGATCTCGGATATGTGGCCTCGGTGAAGGACCCCAATCTGTCACAGGGAGCATGGCTGCCCATACCTTGATCACGTGGCCTCCAGAATTAGGAGAGAACAAACACCTGTCGTTTTCAGCTCCAGTTTGTGGCACTTTGCTACAGCAGCCCGGGGACACTCCTACTGTCCAAAAGGATAAGCACATTTCAATCAAGCAGATCTGGGGCCTGAGCTTGAGTATCCATGGGAGAGCCAGACGGGAGACAGGGACGGGGGCAGAGGGCATGGGAGAGGGAGAGACGGAGAGAGAGAGAGAGAGAGAGAGAGAGAGAGAGAGAGAGAGAATGAGAGAGGGAGAGAGAGAAGGTGGGGAGGGAGAGAGGGGAGGCACAGAGACAGAAGCAGGGCTGAGGGGATTCAAGTGCTCAAACAGCCCAGGCGTATGGGTCACCTGGCACCTCTGGAGGAGGGACATGGCCCACAGATGTCACCGTTTTTAAGAGGGCCTGCCCTGATCTCGCCTATGTCAAGGGTGACTAGAAGAAGGACGAATCGGTCCTCTGTGTAGCTGTTTGCAAACGTGAAGAGGTGCGTAAGTCCCTAATAATGAAGTAATTGCCCAAACATCTGGTTAATGTGAACAAGTGCAAGCCAGGCAGGCAGGACGCGTGCCGCAAGGCTGTGCCCACAGAGCCAGGATGGCCATCTGCTGCACACCCCACACGCGGTTGCCCGCAGGACCTGATGGGGCCGCGGAGCCCACCTTGCTCCTTTCTCCCGGAGGGAACCTGCCCCCACAGCAGGGCAGAGAACAGCGCTGCGGGTGTGGGTTTGTAGAAGGGACAGAGCCGAGAGACCCTGGGGGTCCACAGGTGGCTTCCCAGCAGCGAAGATGAGGTCAGAGAGCACCTCTGAGCCGGCACAAAGGCCCCTCGCTGGCCCCGTAAGCCCGAGGCCAGCCTCGCGTGCGGGGGAGCTGGAGCACTCGGGTACGAGGAGGGCGGCGATGGCTCACTGTCCGTTTCCTTTCTAGTAATGACTTTTGCTCAGTTTAAAACTGTGTTTTAGTCCATTATGAGGCGTAAGTACATATTAGACTGAACCACGTGAAACTTATTTTTGTAGTTATCAGCCATTTTATATGGCTCAAGCTTATCTATGTTGCTCATGGATTTAAACGTAATGCAAAGCACTTATTAAATACGTGGGAATTGCAAACGTGAAATGGAGAAGGCAGGGAATTGCCAGGGAACGAGAGAGCAAACAGAAAACTCATGTCTGCAATGCTGAAGAACAAGGGGTTCCGGGCTGGCAGGAACCTTCTCCAGGGATGGGAGCCTGGGAGCCTCCTACCCGATTGTGCCCAGAGTCCCTGTCGCTGCACATTCACTTCAAACAAAGATCGTGCAAAGGAGAAACCCTCGTCCTGTGTGCTCAGTCCCACCCCAGGTCAAAGGCTGCCTAAAGCCTTTCCACCGCCTCCACAGGGGAACAGCTGCTGAAGCCAGATGGGGAGCGACCTTCACATGTAAAGCAGCTCCCCACACCTCCCCAGCTCCACAGGGCAGACGTGCATGCGTGCACACGGGCAAACACACACAGAAGTGTACATACGTGCACTCACAAAAACACAGGCACACACAACACACAGATATGCACATGTACACAAACACACCGATGTGTGCACACACAGAAACACACATGCATAGGCACAAACACAGGTGTGTGCACACCTGCACAAACAGAAACACAGACACACACATCATACACAGACATGTCCACAGACACACACACAGGGGCACACGCACAGACATGTACATGCAGGCACACACAGTCATACCTTAACACACAGACATGCATGTGCACACATGCAGAGATGCACAGACACATGCAGACGTGTGCACACATATGCGTGCACACACACAGAGACGGGCACAGGTGTCCCTAACCTGTCAGTTCTTCCTGGATGGTGGGCTGCGTCCAAGCAAGCTGAGAATTTTCCACGTTGACTGGAACACTCGGCTAAAATGCCTTGGCTTCTCAGGTCATGGGTAAGGGTCATTGACAACTCTATTTGCCCACTTTATTCAAACCAGAGGACAAGGAAAACTACTGGATGAACACGGTTGTCTTGGGAAGAGACCTGCAGGAAGCTGCCCCAGCAGAGGTAAGCCCGGTACTAACAGCTTGATTCTCATAAAAAGGTGGCAATAATCGTGAAAGTGTGAGAAGGAATGTGGCGTTATCCATTTAATCCCAGAACTGAGGCTGGGAGTTGTCTCACAGTGACGTGGGCCAGGCCTCTCCCCAGCAAGGGCGATTAAAGTGAAACCACTTAGGACATTTGGTCTATTTCAGATCCCTGCCGGTAACCTTTTCCTTCTTTTCACCAACTCTTTTCAAACTTAGGTTTTTTTTTCCCTTCTGTCTTTGTATTTTCCCGTAACATAGCCCTCGGGGATGTTTACTTAGATTTCCCTGTTGGGGTTCATGCACTGCCCTGGTCTGTGCCATGATCTTGTTTTTGAAGGGACTCTTGCAACTTCCCAACCCAATGACAAGCACTCAATAGGCATCAAATGGTTGCTCGTCCATGAAGACATGAGGTTCTCTTTCTCTTCCAAATCGGGGGAAATAATCATGAGGAATAGCTCATGACACGACACACTATTTCATTTTTGTTCAGCCTGAGGGTCCGCCCTGGAAGATCCTCTTTACAACATAAACAATGTGATGACCATGGAATTCAGCAGCCAACTTTGACGGTGGCCATGACTGACGGGCACAGACATTTCTCTGTTCCTTCTCAGCAGGCCACGGGTTTCAGTAACGCCAGAGGCTGAGAGAGGAATTGGTCGACGGAGGTAAGCACACATCTATTGAGCACCTACTCTGTGCACAGCCCTTCGGGGATACAGAAAGGTCAAGGGCAGAGCCTCCCCTCTCTAAGGACTTCCACTACCAGGCAGAAATCGTCACATACGAGGAAAGCTTGACTGCAAAACATCAATTCATCCAGCAACCACTCACCATCCACTGGTAAGGCCATGTCCTTCCATTCTGGCCAGAGTTCCGCATCTGTGCCTCAGTGCTGGGGCTGATCTGACAGCCTGTGTCGCACACACACAGGTTGGGGGAGAGATAGTTGAGACCAAAACGTTTGTGAGATCAAAGCCATTGAGATGCTGTCACACGTTCCCAGGGGCACGGACAGGGAACTCACAGTCACTCCCGGAGGGAAGCGAGTACCAGCTTGAAGCAGCGTGGTGTGGGGAGGTCCTCCTGCCTGGGTGCTGCTGAGGCAGAGAAGGAGGAGGCTGTTCTCACTGAAGGCGCCTGCACATCTCCTCAGCAGAGACGGGGTACAGACGGGCTTTGGAGAAGGGTGGTCCCTCCGCAGGATGCGTGGGAGAGGGAGGATGCCCGGTAACAAACAGAGCTCCTGGCAAGGGTGGGCTGCGGCCCAGCCCAGAAGAGCTCCTCCTCCCTCCAGGAACCTGGATCTTGTCGCCCCGGGAGAACATGTTCCCTGCCTTCATCCCACGGAGCAGGCTTCGTGCAGAAGCTCATCCTGTTCACAGCTCTAACTACCAAAGGCTGGGAATCTACAAGCTGAATCTTCAACCCAAACTCACCTCCTGAATGCCCATCACTGTTGCCTTCTGTCACCGGCCTTCGGACACCCCAGGAGCACCTCAGACGCACCCGAGCACAAACTCCATGTCTCTCCTGTGAAGTTTCTCAGAGCCCCTGCCGTGGCCAATGCTCCTGGCCACTCCACTGTGAAATCCACAGCATCTGTCACTCTTCTGCTCCCTCCTGCTCTTGTCTCCAAACCCAACTAACCCAGCCACCTGCAAATCTCTCCCGCCCTCCCGGCCACCCCAAGCAGCCACTGGGGACCATCCTCAACCTCCCCATCCAGTCTTTTCCCTGGGCCCGAAGCATGTTCCTAAAATGCAGACACGTCACATCACTCCAGTTCAAAACCTTTCAGTAGCATTTGTTAATGGCCACTCATTTATTCCACAAAAAATTACTTAATCTTGGGCTGGGCATGGTGGCTTATACCTGTAATGCCAGCACTTTGGGAGGCTGAGGAGGGAGGATAGCTTGAGGCCAGGAATATGTGACCAGCCTGGACAACAAAGTGAGACCCCATCTCTATGAGAAATTAAAAAACTAGCCAGGCGCACTGGTGAATGCCTGTAGTCCCAGTTATTCCAGATGCTGAGGCAGAAGGATTGCTTAAGCCCAGGAAGTTGAAGCTGCAGTGAGCTGTGATTCTGCATTCTAGCCTGGAGGACAGAGCCAGGTCCTGTCTCTAATAAATAAATAAATTACATAATCTTAGGCACCAGTCACTCCAGGAGGCACAGAAAATACACTATCATCTCTGCCATATTGGATTTATCATCTAGCACAGAGGAAAACACTAGGTGGTTGGTCCAACCCAGACAAGGACCTATGGCCACACTTCCAGCTCCCGGAGGACGATGCCAGCAGCGTTGTGGGTGGAGACGCCTTCCCAGCTGCCGGGCCGCACAGCTGCAGAGCCAAGGCTCCAATGCAGAGCTTTCTGAGTTGAAAGTCTTTGTTGTCATCTCACCTCATAGAAATAATAGCTCAATTATCACTCTAAGCCACACCATAATACACTTCCATTAAAAAATCAAAATCAGTGATACATTTAAAATGACGCTTTCAGCTGGCGTTTCAATACAGACAGAGATGAAAGCGGGAAACGGCTTTCAGTTTCTGAAACCTGAGAACAGTTCCACAGTGAACATCTCATTGGGTGTCTTAGAGACACCCCAATAATGTGGGCTGAAAATGTTAATGAATTGAGCCTCTGTTTTCCTAAAGTATTCGTTTAGTAAATCCCCCCTTGGTAAAAAGAAAAATATCGCACCTGTCATAACCTGTTTCCATAATTTAATTTCACTCTCAATTCACTTGCCTCTGCACCTGAGTGAAAGGCTCCTGGGTTATTAACAGATTTCATAATTGCAGTGTTTGTCGCACAGGACACTTAGGGCAGCTCCTCCAGAGAGCGTCGAGGATGTGGCCTGACACTGGCTCCCACAGGCGTTTGTGTGATGGATGTGGGTACTGATAGAGAAGGGGGTGGTACAGACACTGATGAAAGTGTGTGGAGGTGATCTAAGTTCAGACAGGACGTGGATATGCAGGTGGCACGTGGTGTGGGTGTGGACGTGGGCATCTGTGTGGGTGTGGCTGCAGACACGGGCCGGTGATGCAGATGTGGGTGTGCGTTGGGGTGAGGCTGCGGACACAGACAGGTGCAGATGTAGGCCGAGGTGATGTGGACAGACACAGGTAGATAGATGCAGACGCACAGTGGCAAACCCCAACTGTAAGTTTGGGAAGAGCTGCTCCCCATTGCCACTGTTTGGCAGGGAGCATTGGGCACTCACGTTCCCTCCACAATGTGCAGCCACAGACACACTTGTGTCTGCAACATGAAAGCCGAGCCCACCTTCCCTGTGTGTGCCTCAAAGCTAGTGGGGTCGGGAGGATGTCCTGAGGCTTGCTGGGTGGATTCTATTGATAAAGGGAGTCCTGGTGGCCCAGGGGTGTTTTCTAGAGCAGTGGAAGGCTCGAGGGGACGCAGGTGACATGGCCATCTCTCCTCTGCTGTCTTCATCTTGACAAAGAGCAGAACAGTTTCCAGGAATCCCCTTTATATTCACAAATTTTCAGAGAGTCTGGGGGTGGGGGATGAGAGAAAACCAGACAACTCCAGCACCCAAGATCTGCAGAAGGAGGGGGCGGAAGCACCCAGCCCAAGGCCGCGTCCACAGGTGGCTGAGCTCGGTCTCCCCAGAACACCCGCGGCGTCCTCGTGGCTCTTCTTCCCGGGCCGTGTCCTTCCATTCTGGCTGGAGTTCAGCATCTGTGCCTGGGTGCTGGGCTGATCTGACAGCCTGTGTCCCACACACACAGGTTAGCGGGAGAGATAGATGCACATACAAACATACACAGAAACACACATGCACAGGGAGATAGACACACACGGATATGCACACAAACACACAGATACACAGATACAGACACACAGATACATGCACACAGAAGCAGACAGACACACAGATACTCAGATAGATACACATACTCGTAGATACACACATGCACACAGATAAACACACAGATACACATGTGCACACAGAAATACACACAGATACACACATGAACACACGGAGATAATTATATACACAGATACATCTACATGCACACACACAGATACATACACACAAGCACACAGGGATAGACACAGATACACACACAGATACACGAGCACAAACAGATACACAAAAATATAGGCACAGATACACATACACACAGGTACCTATGTGTACATACAGAAACACACACTTGCACGTAGAGACAGACACACACACAAACACAGGGATACACACATGCAGATATATACACAGAGACACACACAGAGATATGCACACAATCACACAGATACACACATAACCACACATAAATACACACATTTAGCAGCCTCTCAAAACAATATGAAATATCTGTTACTACCATCTCTGAACTTGTAGGGTCACAGTAAATACAAAGAATGCATACAGTTGAAGTAGATATTTTTCTTTTGCAACTGAAAAACTTTTTGAATATCATAGTTTCCTCCAAACAAGATGTTATTTTAAATGAAATGGAATCACAACAACATCTATTGTACCCTCGTCCCACTTCTCTCTCTCGTAAGAATAATGGATAATCATCAAACCAAGTTAATCATTGCTTTGAAGAGTATCCTCTTAGGTAGATGAGATAGATAGATGGATAGATCAACAGATAGATGATAGATAGATAGATTGATAGATTATTGATAGATGATAGATAGATGATAGATGATTGATAAGTGATTGATAGATGATAGATAGATGATAGATGATAGATAGATGATAGATGATTGATAAGTGATTGATAGATGATAGATAGATGATTGATTGATAGACATAGACTGACTCGTGATAATAGCAGTAAATCCTCCTGCGCACTAAAGTGACTTATAATCTATAAAATGCCAAAGTTCTATAAAGCACTCAGGCAAAGAGAAATTCAAATGACAAACCAGTTTATTTTGAGCTGCACCTACCTTTTCCAGGCATATTCCAGTAAAAAGTTAATTTGACAGTGGTATGAAAAACAGAAGAGAAATTGGCAAACAGCATGAGTAATGGATAACAAGTTGCAAGTTAAATACCAAACAGATAAGCACCATGAAAGAGAGGCAGAATATATCAAAATTTGTTGTGGCTCTAGGGATCGGCTAAATTTGCTGTGCTGTATAAAACACTGCTATTAACACGTCATTGCGAGAGTTCCTCTTTGAGGAGATGACTTTGGTGAATGCGGATGTTTTTCAGCACAACTGTTCAAGCACAGAAGAAGCCTAGGAGCACAGAATGCAATTTAGTCGCCAGTCCCAACAAGCAATCCCCCACCGTAATGACTCCGAAGTTTTGGAAATCGGCTGAAGTGTTTTAACTTACAGTGCTGCGCCGAGTTTGCAGACAGGACAACCTGTTGGTCCCTGGGTTTCCCTGGATAAGAAAACAGGAGCTATTTCTCTTAATTAAATCTAGAGCGAACTAGAAGGAGCAGGTCACCTGATGGGAAATACACTCCTCTTCATGTATAAGAAGTTAGTTATGGTGACTAGTGGTGGTTTCACCTTGTTTTTCTCAGTTCTTCTTTTTTTAAGCCTTCAACTTTGGTTTTAATGCCAAAAAAAACAAAAAATTGACCAAAGTTTGGCTGCATCCCAAAACAAATGAGAAGCTATTTTCTTGGAGGACATGCTCAGATATTTACAGGACTGAATTCTTTCAAGATATTTATCTTGCTGAACAGACTTAAAAATGCAAAAAATTATAAATAAATGAAGAAAGAAGACTACATTCTCTGACAATGGACAGGAACACTGGAGCTCAGATTTTCAACAATAGATGAGGTGAATAATCAGAAATATTACATAAATAGGATTAGATATTTATTTCACATTTATTTCTAGAAGTAGCAGAGTAAACAGAAAAAAAATGTTTCGTCTTTCTTGACCTAATTATCAAAATATCAAAACGTAGCTCATACCCACGTTTCGGGATTGTTCTCAGGGTTAATGAAATAGCACGTGCTAATCCTCAAGATTAGTAGCTGATGTGGGGCGGGCGACAATACATGAAATCTCTAAGACTCTCAAATATAGACTACTTAATAAAGAACTGGACGGGGTCCAGGAGAGCCGAGGGTTTCCTAGAGATGGTAAGTGGTAAACTGTGTGGCTTACTGGAAACTAAGTTTCTTCCTCAGTGTAATGATGTATGAACTTTTTCAGCATCGAGGAAATATTACTGAGACTCATTTAGGACCATGTGGGAGCTGCCCCGGGTAGTTGGACCACTTGAGACTTAACAACTAATCCATTCACCTTTGCTCTGGACAAAGGTTTTGAGTTAATCCTAAGAAAATAAATCATTTATGAATATATAGAATACTGACTAATGAAATCTATCTCACCTGCGTCTCCCCAGGTAGGAGCCAGGCAAAGAGGGCCACATCCACGCATCTGCGTTCTCGTCTGTATTCAGAGCTGCAGCTGGATAGGCTCCTAGAAGCCACTGATTTTATTTTCCTGGGTTTATGTTCCTCAAACCTTTCACACAGAAATCAGCTACGAAGAAAGCCTCTCCTTGGAGCTGTGAGAATTCCTGAAATATTTCATAATCTTTGCCATCAAAACCTTGTGTGTACTTTCCAGCTAAAAGGGAGAAGGTCTTTCCCAGCAAACAGCTCCACGCTCCAGAGCCCTCTTGTGACCATCGTCACCAATCTGACCATACAGACAAGCTCCGGGACACCTCAGCCCGGAAAAATCCAAGCTCTAAATTAAGGCAGTGACGTTTATTCTCTTTCTAAAACTCATTCATGTTCTTAGTAACTATGTCTCCAGCACAGACCTCCATTTTAAACTGAACACACTAACACCATCAGCCTTCATTCCTCCTGGGCTGCCACCCCAAATCTCCTGGCAAATGTAAATTTTTCCCTGTTTTTCCACTGCTGTTCCCTGTTCTTCCTTTTCCTGACACGTATCAGGAGATGATGTCTGCAGAGTGGAAACAAGTCTGGATTTCAATGTGTGCAGTAAAGGCCGACTAGGCAGCGTGCACTGCTCCCTGTGGCTCTGAGCAGAGGCTCTGCACTAAGGTCCCAGAATTCAGCTCTGGGACTGCAGCCCTGCCTTAGTCATAGCGAAGTCCCAGGAGACAGCCTGAACCCCGTGCTGGACCCTAGAGACCCTGGCCCTCAGTGGGGCAGTGCAGGCAGGACTGCAGCAGCGCACGGAAGGACAGTGGTCCAGGTTCAGCCAGGAGTCGCGACTCCAAGGCCGGCCACACGGTGTCCAGCCCAGGCCCCTCCACGCCCACCACTGTCGCCTGCCTGTGTGGCCCCGCCTGGCTTCAGCACTCCTGCCTGCTCCCCACAGCTCCCACTCCTCAGGCATCCTCTATGCGGGCTGGGCTTAATCTTTTTAATTGTTAAAGGTCTTTAACTATGTAACAGGATTCATTATCCACTGTGTCTGTCAAAATGCTATTTAATAAGTTGCTTTTTTTATTAACCCCGACTGAAAACAAAACAAAACAGGGTTTTTTGTTTGTTTGTTTGCTTTGTTTGTTTTTTGTTTTTGTTTTTATCACCAGCTGCTGGAGGCAGAGCCAGAGTGTCTCTGGATGGTTTCTGCTAACACGCTGTGAGAAAGAAAAGGTGTGTCTCCCAGGTCTGGCAGCCCAGCGTCCACATCTCCTGTGACCCCTCCGGCCGTGGGGTACTGCCTCCCCATAACCCAAAGCCGTGTCTGAAAGAGAAGAGCCACTCTGATCCCTAGTGTGGCTCTTCCACATGGGCCTGCCCAGGGTGGCCATTCCATACATGACTCTGGAGGGCAGGTGATGACAGCCTGATACGAGCTGACACCAGAGAAAGGCAAACCGTTCTCCGGGCTGAGGCTCCCTCCTTGTAGAATGCCGCCCACCAGCTGCCCTGCCCGTGGGAAGAAGCGCCACGGCAGGTGGGCTTCAGGGTTAGGTGGAGATGATGCTGTTGATACAGAACATGTTTCTTATATTCTACAGATTTTTAACCATTTTATTCCTGAGTACAAAAAACAAAAGCCACTCAAAAGAAACGACAGTTGACATAATATTCGGGTAAAGCATGTTTACAGAAAAGGCCCAAAGAAGTGAACAGTAGTAGGCCAAATATATACTTTCTGGATTTGCTTTAAGTGGAAAAAGAGATACAGATTCAACCTCATTGAGTTGATCTGACCACACCTCTCTGCTAACGTTCGTGTACAGAAGCTGCAGGCAGGACATGACGTCACCACTTTCCAATAACATATTCCTGCAGCCACAGTCAGAAGAGGTCCCGGCTCCACCCTTCTCAGAATAACGGGTTGTTCAGCCGCAACCTTGTTTGTCAAAAATGACAGCCTCTTTTATTAACATGGAAAATTACCTGCTTCTTCTCCCCATTCCCTTCCACTTGACTTTTTTTTTTTTCTTTGAAAAGCAGAGATAAATCCCAGTAGCACAATTAAAGCGCTAGCTAAATATTACTTTGTTGGGCTTAACGATAGATTACAATGTGTGCATAATGACCCAGTTCCAGTAATATCATCTGATTTAGTAAGGAAATGAGAGACTGCCATATGTTCACCAATAAGGTCTCCGAAGCTCTCCTTCTTGTTCTGCCGGCGAGGGTGCTGTGGGGTCCTGCAGCCTCACTGCTGCTGAACACCAAGCTCACCAGAGCCTGCACCAGGACACACATTTCCTCAGGCCAGGGCAGGAGACGAGCTGACAGCCCGTGGCCTCCTGATTGAAGTCCCTTCACGGTTAGGAGTGGATGCCTGCTGCTTCTGAGCATTGTTCACTAAACTGGAGGCTCCCAGAACAGAGGGATCTGGGGAAAAAGGAAACGAAGGAGGCATATTAAAGTTGAACACAGAACTAAAGAAACTCCAGCTCCAAAAATGAATGAGGTCGCTCCTTCAAACGCACACAATGCGACATAGCTGACAAGGCAGTCTTTTTCATTTTTAAACAAAAATTTCAATCTTGATGGCAGAAAGTTCAATCCAGAGTAGATAAATGGAAATCCCCTTACTAAGACATAACCCCAGTCTTAGCTACGTTAGGGAATTTAATAAGACAAACTGCTGATCCGTTGAAGTCAGTACTAATGAGGGAATAAGAACATTATTTGCTTCGTCAAATATTTTCAATAATATTATGCCATAATTTATTCACTTATTTAGCAAAAATTAAAACGACCCTTGGTTCCCACAAAAATGGAAACGTGTATACGATGTACTATTCTTTGTCTAAGAAAAAGGCCACGTGTTGATAAATGTTTACGTTAATAAAACAACAAATGGAAGAATGAGCCACAAAATAAGAATAGGAATCATTATTTAAAAGGTGTGTAAGAGAACAGTGGCTATACAGCTGGTATTTTTGTCTTCACTTTGAAACTTTGTGAACATTTCCTATGATTATAGAATGAACTTTGATTTAAAACTCAAATCTCAAACTACTTAAAAAAAAATCAAATAACACCAAGACTAGAAGTGCTGACCTGACAGCTGACCCACCACACTCGGCAGGTGTCTACCTTGACCAAACTGTGCTGCCTACGAGGAAGAGGAATGCACTCAGAAAGAGGGAAAATACAGAAATTCTCAGCAGAGAACTAGAAACTGCAAAAAGGGAACCAATAGAGATTTTAAAACTGAAAAATAAATACCTGAAATAAAAACTCACTCCAAAGCAGCTCCAGCGCAGCCCGTCGATGATGGGGAGGCTGTGCCTGTGTGGAGGGGGGTGCGTGGGAGCCCTCTGTGTCTTCTGCTCAGATTGGCTATGAAACTAAAACTATTCTAAAAATAAAGTCCATTCCAGGACATTGGACTGGCAAAGATTTCGTGAGTGACACCCCAAAAGCACAGGCGACCAAAGCGAAAATGGACAAAAGGGATCCCATCTTGTTAAACAGCTTCTGCACAGCAAAGGAGACAATCAAGAGAGTGAAGAGACAACCCACAGAATGGGGGAAAATATGTGCAAACTATTCATCTGACCAGGAATTCATAACTGGAATATATTAGGAGCTCAAACAAATCTGGTACAAAATCTAATAATCCAATTAAAGGTCTGCATAGACATTTCTCAAAAGGAGACACACAGATGGCAAACAGGCATATGAAAAGGTGCTCAACATTACTGATCATCAGAGAAATGCAAATCAAAACTACAAAGAGACATCATCTCACCCCAGTTGAAATAACTTTTATCCGAAAGACAGGTAATAACAAATGCTGGCGATGATATAGAGAAAAGGGAACCCTCATACACTGTTGGTGAGAATGTAAATTAGTACAACCATTATGGAGAGCATATGGAAGTTGCTCAAAAAACTAAAACTAGAGCTACCGTGCGATCTGGCAATCCCATTGCTGAGTAGGTCCCCAAAAGAAAGGAAGAGAGATCTGCTCTCCATGTTCCCTGCAGCACAATTTACAGTAGCCAAGACTGAGAATCAACTTAAGCATCCATCAGCAGATGAATGGATAAAGACAATGTGGTACATGTACACAATGGAGTACTATTCAGCCATCAGAAAAGAATGGGATTCTGTCATTGGCAATAACATGGATGGAACGGGAGGTCATTCTGTTAATGAAATGAGCCAGGCACAGAAAGACAAATTTCACATGTTCTCACTCATTTTTGGGAGCTAAAGACTAAAACAATTGAACTCATGGAGATGGAGGTAGAAGGATGGTTACCAGAGGCTGGGAAGCGTAGTTGAGGGGGAGTGTGCATGGTTAATGGATACAAAAAAAAATAGAGTGAATAAGATATAGTATTTGACTACAATCAACAATAATTTATTGAACAGTTTAAAATAAGCATAATTGGAATGTATGTAACACAAAGAAATGATAGATGCTTTAGGGGATGGAGACCCCATTTATCCTGATGTGATTATGACGCATTGTATGCCTGTATACAAATATCTCATGTACCCTCATAAATATATATGTATGTTTATATATATGTTTTCATATATATATTTTACATAGAGAGAGCTACTCTCTATATACGATATATTTATGTATTTATTATATATATGAGGGGGTTACTTGAGAGATTTTGATACAGGCATACATACAATGTGTAATAATCATATCAGAGTAAATGGGGTATTTATCCCCTCAAGCATTTGTATATATTTTAATATAAATTATATATATTTGTATATAATAAATTTACGTATCATGTATTTTACATATACTTTTATATATGATATATATTACACGTATTTTATATATTATTTATATTTTTTCCTTAGGAAAAAATCCCATATTTACCCATAAAAATAAAAACTTGAAATAATGCACCTAACAGACTCAACAGCAGAATGAAGAGGACACAGAGAAGAACCGGAGCCTCAAGCACAGATGAATAAGCACCACCCATGGAAAAGGAGCAAGGAAACAACAGTGAACGGGGCTCAGAGGCCTGTGGGGTGATCGGGAAAGACCAGACTGGCCGCTGGAGTCCAGGAGACAAGAGTGATCGGGACACGGAATCGTGCTGGAGGAAATGACACGAGAAAGCGTGTCAAATCCGGCAGAAAACATGAGCTTGCAGATTCAAAAGTCTCCAAAAACTAAACAGGATCAGAGCAGAGAACATGGCCCGAGGCATTGGAATCAAAATTCTGAAAGCCTAAGTTTCTGAACCTAGCCTGAAAGCCCAATTTTCTAAGATAAAACTATGAATAGTTTTAAAACAGAGAAAAATGTAAAATTATGTAGAGGGGAACAGTGATGTGAATCACCAAGCATTTCTCATCAGAAACCACACAGTCCAGAAGGAAGTGGATCCAAACCTTAAAATGAAAAAACAAAAAAGTAACAATCCTGTACAGATAAAATACAATCCAAATAAAATAGCAATGTAAATTGACAGTTGATTCTGAAATGTATATGGAAATGTCAACAATCTAGAATAATCAAGGCACTTTTAAAAGAAAATAAATGAGCTGGAAGATGTATTGTACCTTACTTCAGGTCTTAACAATTCTGCTATATTAATCAAGGTAGTTTGTTTTGGTATCGGTGGAAAGATAGAGAAATAGATGAACGGAACAGAAAGGAATCCAGAAACAGGGCCCCACACACATGGTCAACTGAATTGCAATTAAAGTGCCCAAGAAACCCGCTGGAAAACGCATAACCTTTTCATTAAATGGTGTTGATCAGCTGGATATCCTATGAAAAGATGAGCTTTAACTGTTACCTCGCATCACATGCAAAATTTAATGCAAAATGAGTCACAGACCTAAATGTAAAACCTAAAACTCAACAAGGACTCTGCAGAAAAAGTATTCATGAAAATCAGGTAGTTTTAGGTTTCTTAAACAGAATGCAAAGAGCTCAAATTATAAAAGAAAAAAATGGATAAACTAAGCTTTATGAAATTTAAAAACTTTTGCTCTTTGAAAGACACCACTGAGAAAATGAAAAACAAGACACAGACTAGAAGACCATGTTTACAACACATACACTAGATGAAGAAATTGTATCTAGGATATATAAACTACTTTTATAACTCAATAATGAGAACACTAACAACCCACTAAACGTTGCACAACGATTTGAGCAGACACATCGTATGGAAGGATGGTCAGCTCCACCAGCCGTCAGGGGAGTGTAAGCTAAACCACAGCAAGGTGACGCTGGGCCCATTCACTCTGCTAGAGTGAGGAAGATTGACCACAGGCATGTAGGTGAGGATGTGGAGCCCCTGGAACTCTAATGCATGGATGGCTTGAACCATGGACAGGTCATTTCGGAAATCAGTTCAGCAGCTTTTTTTTTAAAGTTAAACATTTGCCCAATGATAAGAGCCAGACCTTTACTCCTAAGAGAAACAAAAACCTCTGTCCATGCAAAGAGTAGTATGTAGATGTCCACGACATTTAATTCATAACAGCCAAATACCAGAAATAATCCAAATGCCCCTCCACAGAGGTCGGGGCTGTAGTGAGCCGTGATGGCACCACCATACTCCAGCCTGGGTGACAGAGTGAGATCCCATCTCAAAAAATAATCAGAATAAAGGAAATTCTTTAGTCAGAATCACTGAAATAATAACTTCCTCAAATCTACCCCCTCCCCTGTGGAGGGACTTATTTCTGGGAATACCAATCCACCTGCCCTCCTGGAGTTGCACTTTCAGTTGTATATGGATGCTTCAGACTATATGACTTTCACAAATAAACCAAGGCAATTATGCATTGTGGTACATGCTCAGAAAGTTCTACAAATACTCAATCTTGAACATTATGATAAATTCTGACAACATCACTGCTCCCTGTGGGTTATTTTCCTGTGGCTGCCCAACGTGGCTGTCTTTTCCAAGTGCAGATGGATGCCACCCCCTTATCCCTGTCCCCTCTCCTGTCTGATCTTCAGTTTGGCCAGTTGAGAAGATGTGTTCTGTCCCTTTAAAGGGACTGGCTGGGCACGGTGGCTCACACCTGTAATCCCAGCATTTTGGGAGGCCAATGCGGGTGAATCACCTGAGATCAAGAATTCGAGAGCAGCCTGTCCAACATGGTGAAACCCTGTCTCTACTAAAAATACAAAACTTAGCCAGGTGTAGTAGCGCGCCTGTAATTTCAGCTAGTCAGGAGGCTGAGGCAGGTGAGTTGCTTGAACCTGGGAGGTGGAGGTTGCAGTGAGCCGAGGTCGCACCACTGCACTCCAGCCCAGGTGACAGAGTGAGATTCTGTCCAAAAAAAAAACAAAAAAAAAAAAAAACGGGGACTGCCTGTGTCTTGCAGTGACTAACACAGAATAAAATTGTCAGGCCACTCCCAGTCAGGGCAGCCCCCCACACAGCTGTGTCTCCTTCATCTGGAAATCCTAGTCATGGAAAGCCAGCCACATAGGGTACCCCAAGGAATGCACCTCTAAGACCCTTGAGGGAGTAATCTGTCTTTGCACCTTTGAGAAATGACAGCCACATTGGGCAGCCACAGAAAAAATAATCAACAGGTAGCGATGTTGTCAGAATTTATTATAATGCTCAAGATCTAGTATTGCAGAACATTTTTTAGAGTACATCACAATGCATAATTTCTTTGGTTAATTTGTAAAAGTCATATAGTCTTATGTGCCCGCATGCGAAAGCTAACTGATAAACATGTTGGCTTCGTGTGTGGATACTGTTTCCACTCTGTGAAACCCAGAGAATAAGTGATTTCAACACTGCTGAATTCCAGAGACCCCTGTTGCCTCTAGAGCTGGGCACCTGTGCAAGTTACGCTCAATCACCGGCTCTCATATGCTGGAAAATACCCGTGGCCGATTGGCTCACACTGAGAATTCTCACAATGTAGGATGCGCCCAAGCAGCATCGTTAGACTCTGGATATTCCAGAACAAGATTTCTGGAACTGTCTCCTCCTCCTGGGAAGGGCAGGGTGGGTGGGGGATTTGCTTGCTGGCCCTATGCCTCATTGAGCCGCCTGTGCCATAGGCAGGGCCAGAGGGGAAGGGGGCCTCTGCATTTTCCTTGAGCCACCTGCATTTCTGGTTCAGTGTTGACTGCTGCAGACTCAGAAGGAAGAGCAAAAGAGCAAAGCCTTGAAGATTATTGCTGATACATGAAGGGCTTTTTTTTTTTTTTAAGACAGAGTCTCACTCTGTCGCCCAGGCTAGAGTGCAGTGGCACAATCCTGGCTCACTGCAACCTCCTCCCCCTGGGTTCAAGAGATCCTCCTGCCTCAGCCTCCCAAGATGCTGGGATTACAGGTGCCCACCACCACACCTGGCTAATTTTATATTTTTAGTAGAGACAGGGTTTCACCATGTTGGCCAGGCTGCTCTCGAACTCCTGACCTCAGGTGATCCACCCTCCTCGGCCTCCCAAAGTGCTGGGATTACAGGCGTGAGCCACCGTGCCCGGCCCTGGGGGCTTTTAAATGCATGAAGAGGCACCATCACTGAAGCCATTTCCTGATTCTTCTCACCCACAGCCTCTCGGCTTTGGAAGTCTCTCCTGGGAGTGGCTGTGATGTGCCCTGACTCTGTTCCCATCACTAATTTTGCTCTTCCAATCATCATTTCAGCTCGTGAATATTCAAATAGAAGCTGGGTTTGGCTTTCTTTATAAAAATTTTGTGGTAGTGAAATGAGTACATTTGTAGTATATTCCTATTTCTTACAGTAACTATTGTATAGGGTCATGTTTGATCTAAGAATGAAAAGAAAAAGTCCTTTTCTGATTCTTGCAATAATTCTTTTGTAGCATAAGATCAAATATCCCCCTACAAAAATACTTACCACAAGAAACAGAGCACTTTAAAATTTGTAAGTCATTTTTCTGGTGAGATCGATAAGCTCAGTCATCTAAAAATAGAGTGGGAAGTCAAGAAGAGGAAGAAACCTTGAGAATTTGAAGCCTGCATTGCTGCATTTAAAACAACAGAATCAGCTATCGACTACGTCAGTAAAATATAAAGAACAAGAATCTCTCCCATCCATGAAAGCAAAAGATAGATTAAAATTACAGCTGAGAGGTAGATGGACTTTGAAATTAATGTCCACATAATAGAACTTAAAGAGGCAAAAGTACATAGAGAAAATAACCAAGAAAATAATTTTAAAACCTTAACTTCCCGTGGGATCTAAACTGTGTCCCCCAACTTTGTTATAAATGTACACTAAATTCAAATTTTAGTTGTTATGTTGAAGCCATAACCCCCAGTGCCTCTGAATGTGTCTGTGTTTGGAGATAGGGCCTTTCTAAAGAGGTAATTAAGGTAAAATGAGGTCACAGGGTGGGCTCTGACCCAGTCTGGCTGGTGTCTTCATGAGAAGACCGGACATACACAGGGGAAACGCCATGTGCAGCCATGGTGGGGAGACGGCTTTCACCCACAGAGAGGCCTCCGAAGAAACCGGCCTGCTGGCACCTTGATCTTGGACTCCCAGCCTCTAGAACTATGAGAAATAGTTCCTGCTGTTTAAGCTAGGAAGGCTGTTGTATTTCCTTACGGCAGCCCAGCAAACTGATGCCCTTTACCAGATTGAAAATTGCTCTTCCATCTGCAAATCAAAAGACAACACCACGTTCAAGAACAGTGTAAGAATGCAGGGGCTTCCACCCAGAAAGAGCCCACCAAGGGCAGAGTGGAGGGAAAACAATGCCAGCCTTTAGGCAGGGAGGAAGGTGACCCGCAAACAGATCTCATGCTTTTACCACACTCATGCTTTTTGCCAGGCACTAGGGTTCAAGAAGGAACAATCTGTAGGCTTTTGAGAGGAAAATATATTCATCCAAGTTGGCCATCCTTCAGGTGGTAGAAAAAAGCCACAACAGAAGGAGAGAAAGGGAAGGAGGGAGGGAGGGAGGGAAGCAGGGAAAGAAGGAAAGGAAGGGAGGGAAGGAAGGAGGGAAGGAGCAGGCATCACAGAGAAGCAGATGCTCATAAACCACTCTTCCTACGCTGCAAAAGTAGATAAAGGTAAATAAATAAAAACCTCAAGAATGGCGGATTCACAGCATAATAGAAGTAACTGTAAGGAAAGAAACCACTAAAAGTGAGATAAATCCAAACAATTGTAGTATAGCATGAAATTTAATTAAAAGAAGATGATTAAAGAAAAAAGGTACAATAATTTAAAGTAAATAACTGAATAGTAATCTGGTTCTAAAATCCAAGATTGTGTCAATACACACTAATAATAAGAACAAGAATTAGAGATATTTCTAACTATAAATGTACAAAATAAGTATATTAATTTCTTTTTAAAAAGTTTCATAACAGGAGCAATTTAAGTTTAAATCTTTTTAAGACATACAGATTAACACTTCTAGGATAAAAACAGATTGTAATTTTTCATTTGCAAGGAAGAAAAATATCAAAAACCCTATAGGTTATACAGAAAAGTAGCTAAAGTAAAAGAATAAATAAGTGTAAAACAAGAAAACAGAAGTTAAAACAAGCTATATTAACAAACAATATTAAAAAGTGAATAGGTTAAATGCCACACTTAAAGGTAAAGACTCTCAGATAAAACAAATAAGTAAAAATCAATAATTCAAACATGGTGATTCTAAGAGACAGAAAGGCAAGACTCCGTATCATAGCATCCCTTCTGACACTGAAAACACAGGACACCAAATTAATGAATGTGTGAATCAATCATTTATATCCACTTAAGGAATACTATGTCTAATTATAGAAATCATATTCTCAGAACATTCAGGAATATTAAAAATTCTCATATCTTTTTAATTTTTAAAGCCAGTTATGAGACACAGAATTATACTGACTACATAGAAAATACCTTTGTTCTCAGTTGGGACATCTCAACTTCATCAGTTTGTGAGTCCTTCCTAGATTAATTTATACATTTAATTGATTCCAATAAAAATATCAGTGACATTTTTATGGAGCTTGACAAGTTGATACTAAAGTTACATATAAAAATACACACGTAAGAATAACCACATTGCTGGTGAGAACGTAAAATGGTACAGCCGCTCTGGAAATATTTGGTAGTTTCCTTTTGAAACTAAAAATGGACCTACCGCGTGACCCTGTGGTTGCACTCTTGGGCATATAACATGGAGAAAAGAAGGGACAGGCATGACAAAGTTGCATGGACCCCCACGCAGACTCGCACAGAGACACACATGTATAGCTGGTGACAACTGTCCACACTTTACAGATGCATGGATGTCAAGCTCCCGCCTGCGACCCTGCACTATGGGTTTGCAAGATGTCACCCGTCGGCCGGGTGCGGTGGCTCACGCCTGTAATCCCAGCACTTTGGGAGGCCGAGGTGGGCAGATCACCAGGTCAGGAGATCAAGACCATCCTGGCTAACACGGTGAAACCCCGTCTCTACTAAAAATACAAAAAAAATTAGCCGGGCATGGTGCGGGCGCCTGTAGTCCCAGCTACTCGGGAGGCTGAGGCAGGAGAATGGCGTGAACCCGGGAGGCGGAGCTTGCAAGGAGCCAAGATCATGACATTGCACTCCAGCCTGGGCGACAGAGCGAGACTCTGTCTCAAAAAAAAGTCACCCTTCATCGGAGGCTGTGAAGGAGGCATGAGACCTTCCTGTGTGTGTGCTTTGCAACTTGCTGAAAATCTGTAATTATTTCAAATAAAAATGTTTTGTGAGAAACACATTCACCCATCCAAACCCAAAGAATGGACTCAGAGACCCAAAGAACAACGGAAGGAAGACCTTTAATGGCGGTCTTGAAGATGGCGTGTCTGGTAGGCAGGCACACCTGCGGCAGCTACAGCAGGTAATTTATCTCCTAGCACGCAAGTCCCTCCTCCAGTTCCCCACTGATCAAGTACTGTGGGGTTACAATCTTCCCGGATGTCGCCTAAGTTCCATATCCCCTTACAGGGTCATACCCCGGTCCCCTTTCCTGCTTAAGTTTTGATTTCCCAATAATGAAACTTTATTCCGTTTTATGGGCTGTCCCCTCCTCTGCATCCTGTTTGCTTATCCTGACTTTTGCTGCACGTGAGCCATGCCGTTTGTCACATGTGCAGACTGGCTACCAGTATTTAGATCTACCATGCCTTGAAAATGGACCATGAAAATGTTTTCCCACATGTTTACAGTCATTTCTCACCCTGACCTAGTAGCAAGACTCTTAACAGATCAGAGGGGCAGCTCCCCTAATCAGGAGTTCCTTGTCGCATAAAAACTATGAAGAAAATTCACCAGTGCCAAGGAGAAGCAGTAAGTGACCGCACGTCTCCACTCAAGCCAGCTCTGGGAATCCAGGAGAGCAAGGAACAGAGGCTGAAGAGGGCGTGGGTGTGAAGCTTCGCAGAAGAGGTGTGAGGTGCTATGGGACCCATGGCCAAGGG
Organism: Homo sapiens; assembly: GCF_000001405.40. Taxonomy (NCBI): domain Eukaryota; kingdom Metazoa; phylum Chordata; class Mammalia; order Primates; family Hominidae; genus Homo; species Homo sapiens. The sequence continues at coordinate 78,539,213 of NC_000018.10, forward strand.
ACGTCTGCACACCGCCCACTGCGCCCTGACCCTGGGGTGCCGGCGCCCGGCATGACTGCCTGCCCTCTCCCCCGTGCCCTGGCCACAGCCAGCCCTCCCTCCCTCGTGATGCCCAGGCACAAACCAGGCAAACTTAAAAGTGTTGGGGGAGGGTATCGGTTCAGCAAATCATTAATGCCTGGTTTGTTTCTTTTTTTGTTTTTGGTTTTTTTGTTGTTGTTTTTTTGTTTTGAGATGGAGTCTTGCTCTATCGCCCAGGCTGGAGTGCAATGGTGCAATCTCGGCTCACTGCAACCTCCGCCTCCCAGGTTCAAGTGATTCTCCTGCCTCAGCTCCCAAGCAGCTGCGACTACAGGTGCGTGCCACCACACCCGGCTAATTTTTGTATTTTTACTGGAGACAAGGTTTCACCATATTGGCCAGGCTGGTCTCTAACTCCTGACCTCGTGACCCACCCTCCTCAGCCTCCCAAAGTGCTGGGATTACAGGCGTGAGCCATCGCGCCCGGCTGCCTGGTTTGTTTTATTCATGACTCATAAGGGTCCCTCAGGGGCCACCAGTTTCAGTTGAAGATGTCATTTTGCTTTGTTGAGTTTGGTTTTGTTTCCCACTGAGCCTAATGCACACAAATGGAGCCAGGCTAATGGAGAGGAAGGAGAGCTTTTTCCAAACCAATAGAGAAAGGCCCACAGGAAATGTTTAGCAGATGTGGCAAACCCAGACAGTTATGAAATCATTGTTCATTCATAACTTTACGTAAGTCTGAGCATGCAGACAGTTGCTTTGCTTTATTTTGGTTTTACTTTCTGTTTTCTTGCTTGAGAAGAACCCTAGAGCTTCAGGTAAACTCAACCCCCTCTTCGCAGAAATGTCACTCATGCTCATCACAGATGACGCAGATGCCGAGGAAGCCACAGAGAGCAATTGGGCACAGGCGGTAAGTACCAGATTGTCTTGGGGTACTTACCAAAGTCGTGTCCCCGAAAAAGACGACTCCAAGTCCTAAGCCCTGGAAACTGAATGTAGACTTATTTGGAAAAGGGGTCTTTGTGGCTGTAATTACAGTAAGATGAGTCGTACTCGACAAGGGTGGACCCTAAATCCAATGGCCAGTGTCCTTTGGACAAAGAATGGTCGCTGAAGATGGAGGTGGAGGCTGGAGTGACGTGGCCACTGCCCAGGAGCACCGGGGGCACGGGACGCTGGAACAGGCAGGAAGGCTCCTCCCTGAGAGACATCCAAGAGGGGATGATGGCCCTGCACACGCCTTAGTATTGGCTTCCCACCCCCAGAGCTGCAAGGGAATCAGTGCCTGCTGTTTTAAGTCAACTAGTCTGTGGCACTTGCTTGGGGCAGCTCCAAGGAACCCACGGCTGCGGGTTAAGGAATGTGCATGCTCAGAGCAGAGAGAGGGGCCAGGGCTAGGGGAGGCAGGGGTCCCTCCCCAAGATGCTTGGACTGAGTCTTGCCTGTGCCTCTGGAAATATTTTCCATTTAAAGGGAAATATTTTCTACTGACCAGGTTCAAAACTGGCCTGCGGGAGCATGGGAGTCTTTTCCTGCATGGGGCCTGCAGAAGGAAATGCAGCCCGCAGCTCAGCACGGCCTCCAGACGGCCCTAGTCTCTGCGTTTCCTCAGAAACTCCTTGCGGGAAGAACACACATGTTCCAGGCCAGATGCTCTTCCCCACGTCTATGGACAGAGCACTGATCCCAGTGAGGAACGTCCACACACCACACAGCAAAACCCTTCTCACCGTGAGAAATTGACAGTTGCCTGAGAAAGACACTGTCGTGTAGGAAACAAAGCCTTCATCTCAGATTTTAGAGAAATCCCCGCAAAGAAATGACAAAAGCAGAGTGGCTTCAGCGTTCTCCGTAGACACAGATGTTCACCTCCACTGTGGGCATCTTCAGGCAGGAGCTTTGCCTCACCCCTTCTCTCGTGTGCCTTCCAGGACTCAGCCCCCTCGTGCCTCCCGGAATGCAGGGGTGCCATTGGAAAGATGGAAAGTCTAAGGAGGGTACAAGTCACAGCTGCTCTGGTCCTCAGAGCTTCCCTGCACTGGGCGTGTTGAATGCACACTCTCTACCCCATAACATACCATCAGATGCGGGAATATGAATGAGATCATCCCAGACTCCATGGGGATCACAGAGCTTGGGAAAGGAATGTCAACACTGGAAGGCAGGTCTGAGTCCAAGTCTGTGTCCTCAGCCTAAAATCTTCAGATTTAGTAAATAAAAACATGGGTTGCCTGGTTAAATTTTTACATAAGCAAAGAATAGTTTTTAGCATAAAATGCTGCATGCAATATTCAGTGTCCTGTATTTCGTCTGGCAGCCTCACCTCTCCGGCACAGCTATGGGAAGATGCTTTTGTCCGCCCAGCCAGGGCCAGGATGACACCAGGGACGCTCAAACGTCTACAGCCAATTTGGTGACCCCCTTTAATTTTTGGAAATGCCACTGCTGGCCCCTCACAGTGGAAATTCTTCATGTGCAACCAGCTCATAAATATAGTGTGTTGGAGGCACCTGGATGGTTAGGACTCAGGACAATATTCTCCCCAAATATTTTCTCAACATCCATCTTCCTGGTGGCAATTAGTGTCTGAGATTCTCTTTAACTTTTCCTTGCCGGGGTGACTGCAGTCAGCCGTCAAGGCAAGAAAAGGGAAGTCTGAAAAAGTGTAAAACTGATCATCAAAACACAAAACTTTACGTGTTTTTCTCTGAAAGCGCATGAAACTGGCTGCTTAGCTTCCAAATGGAAACCCCACACTGCATGTTCTCCGAGGCTTTTCTGCTTTCTTTTGACATTTTGACACTGAGCTCTGAAATAATAGTGTTAACTGTTGATCTTTTTTTCCTTTGGAAATTGGCTTTTGACACTAGACAGCTGGAAAATCTGAAAGGTTAGCGCACATCTGGTGCGTCTACCTCAATATAAATGCCAATGTTCCATCAAAGCTTTTCACAGATCAATGAAATAATGATCACAGGTGCCAAGACACAGGGATTCACTAAGATGGACAGCCACACAGAATTATGACAAGGTTGGTGGTTGTTTTTGTTTTGCTTTTCGTGTTTTGTCTCTATTATTCATGGAGATTTGTCCCTAGAAACACCAGAGAGAGCCTACAGTGCCAACAGCACAGCTCTCTGGCAGGGCCCCAAGAGCCGCGGGAGGGCAGGGCAGGTTCCTGGCATGCCTGAGATGACTTAGCACACTGTGAACCAGGGCTTGTGAACAGGGAAGTGTTACTCAAGATTGAGCTTGACTTTACAAAAGCAAGCTTGTTCCCCTGGAAGGCTTTCCAATTTTGATAAACTGTACTGTGCATTCATGCCTGTTCATTTGAGTGACTGCAGATCTTAAAAGAATCGTTTTCGGAAGACAAAAATGCATGTAAAATAAGGCTGGGCGATGTGAGAGGTGACACTGTAACATTGGGAGCTGGTCCTGCTCTGGCAACAGGCAATAGCTTCCTCAGTCTCCTGCAGAGCCAAGCAAGGAATGGTTTTGCTGGGGAGTTCTGCAAAATTTAATGAGAGAGGCAGGTGTGAGGCCACGTCACAGCAAGGGAACCTGCAGTTCACTTCAAATTTGGGGAAGAGTTTTGAAGCCTTGACAACAAACCACCTCTTTTTCAACATCCTTCTTCCTCTTCCTCTCTTCAGCAGCAAAGCTTCTTATTCCTACAATACAGGGTAGAGAGAGACAACTGTTTGAACTTTCAAATTGTACACTGGAAGACGAGCACCATGTTTGCAATTGATTCTGCCTCCTTCCAGCTTAGAGCCTTCAGTAGCAGACACGAGCAATTTCCTACCCTGCTGAGCTCCATGGGCTCCCAATGGATCCTTCAAAGCTGAGCTCCTGGTAACCTCACAGAGAATCGCTGTGTGGGAAACCAGAGCAGGAGGCTGGAGGCAGGTAAGAGCCGGGCCATCCACATGGTAACATGGAAACTGGGTTGTTTTTCCAGGGCTTGGACCAGGCTTGGGCGTGTGGCTGCTGCACGTGAGAAATGTCCCTTCTCCCACACACGCCAGTAGCCACACCACTCTCTGAATAGGAACACCTGCTCTATGTACCCAGCCCAATGTATTACAATATTTATTAGGCCCTCATGCTGTGGCTAGGTAAAGTGAAGTGACATACATTTTATGAAATTTGTGTCCCCATGTCTGTACCTTCATTCTGACGTCACTGCTCTTGCCAAGAACAGATCAAAACCGTTGCATGTTTGGGTTTGTTACTCCCTTGTTCTTCCCACTGTGCTGGCAAGAGGGCGCGGGCGATAAATGAGGTCAGGAACACCTGCTCCATTGCAACTGCTTCTGGACAGACCAGACCTCAGGCCACATGCTCACCAGTGCTGGGGTTGAGCCCTATTCTGTGACCCCACCACAATGAATATTGAGGCAGAAATCGTGAATATGACAAGGTCCTGCCCTCATACTCCTTAAGAAAAAGGAAAATATTTTAAATGAAATCATCTTCATTGTTACATTTACAAATGAGGGATAAAAACCAAACACATAGAAAAGTATTTTAAAAATTCCTGTGTACCCCCAGCGACATGTACTGTGACACCGTGAGCATTTTGGCGTCTATCCATCCAGATACGTTCCTACCTGCATGCAATGGCAGGAAAGATCCAGATACAGATTTCCATGCCCAAACACCCTACACCCAGTTGATGTCCCAGACCTGCTATCCCATAACCGACTCTTCCCTTAACAGCATACCTTACATGTCCTCTTAGTCAACGGACACACATCAGCTTCGTCTTCAGTGTCTGTCCAGTATTCGTGCCATGCCACTCCATAATTTCTTCACAAAAATCTCCCATTTCAGGCAATTTATGTTTATTGTTAAGCCAGTCACATTTAGCAGTGTGGGGTCGTGTACCAACTTTAGTGACACCAATGTTAATCAGTTCTGATAACCACTACATTGGACAAGCCAGGATTTTTTTTTTTAATTCCTACTTGTTTCAAACAACAGTACGTGTTTACAAGAAGGCTTTTGTAATTCTATATTTGCAAAAAGTGTGTATGTGTCTGGTTCTTTTCTGCGGATACATTTCTGGAAGTGCAATCTCTGGGTTGGCATTTTGTACACTTTAAACCTTTCTCGTATGTGCCCCCAAATCGTCCTCCAGAAAGTTGGCACTGGAGCACACCACCCACAGCGGGGTATGAGGCCTGAGACGAAAGTGAATCCTGTGTCTTCTTCAGAGACACAGAAGCTGCTGATTTCTTCCTGTTCTGGAGACTGACACTTAAATGTGTCTCAGAAGTGGTTTGGGGCAAAGTAGGGGCAAAAATTTTCATGTGGAGGCAACAAATTTAAATAACCAAACACAATGAACCAAAATTATCGATTCTCTGAGTCATTTTATAACTGAATAGTCAATTCTCTGAGTCGTTTTATAACACCTGGGACAGCGTCGTGGAGACTGAACACGTGAGTTCTCTGAGTTGCTTTATACCACCTGGGAGAGTGTGGTGGAGATTGAACACATCAATTCTCTGAGTCGTTTTATAATGCCTGAAAGAGCATCATCGAGACTGAACACGCGGTGAATTGCAGCCACTACTCAACATCATGCTTTTCACGTCTAGTCTGGATGGAACATTCTAGAAGGGCTCTAGGAGACACGTGGATCCTGGAGTAAGTTGGGTAAAGAAACATGTTAAAGGAAGGTAGCTCTTATTTTACCAGAGCCTGTCCTTTGGTTTTTGTTAAATCCAGAGTATCTTAAAATTTAAGAATTACATTTTCAGGTAGAAGCTTCAATACTGTTTATTTGAATAAAATATAAATAATTTATATTAACAAGGCTGCTTAAAGTTTATTGAATTCTCAATTTTTTATGACCTTATCATCTCCTTATGAAATAACTGTTACTGAACAAGAATTAAGTCTTATTGTTAGTGATCAAGTTTCCCCCCAATCCCCTCTTGCAAATAGAGCTTTATACCTTAATGCATTGACCATGGTCAGGCTTTGAGGATCAAGGGCCATATTTCCTAGCCCTAATAGTTCCACTTATTACTTTCACAAATAATAGACAGTTATTCTTGTTTTCCTTCTAGAAACATTGAATTTTTTTCCTCTGCTTTGCATCATTTGAGATAGGTCCTTAAGAAGCAGCTAAGACCTGGAACTCTAGCACGGTGGAAAGCTGAGGCAGGAGGATATCTTGAGTTCAGGAATTTGAGACCAGCCTGGGCAACACAGTGAGACCCCATCTCTGCAAAAAAAACAAAAAATTAGCCAGGCGTGGTGGCATGCACCTGTAGTCCCAGCTACTCAGGAGGCTGGCTGGAAGGATCACATGAGGCTGGGAGATTGAGGCTGCAGTGAGCTGCAATCACACCACTGTACTCCAGCCCTCCAGCCTGGGTGACAGAGCAGGATCCTGTTAAAAAAAAAAAAAAAAAGGAAAAGAAAAGAAAAGAAACAGCCCCCGAAAGTTGTTGATTGCTTTTTATTTTATAGTAGCAACTCCAATTTTATTTTCCTCTGGCAGTAAAGTATTATTAAAAGTTGTTCGATTTGATTTTTTGCACATCTAAATGTTTCTACAAATGGTCATTTAAGATCTCTGTTTAGTGTACTGTCTTCCAAAAAATTTCAAACTGAAAAACTAAAACAGGCTACTCAGAAAGCTGTATGTGTTTTCACGTATTTCTTTTTTACAATAGGACCATAGCTTCAGAGTTGAAGAGGTAATGCATATTTTTTGTTAATCTATTCATTGGCCTCAAGAACCGAAGCTTAGAAATATTTGTAAGTATGGTGTCACTCCAATGCTTCCACGAAGAGCTAGGATCTTGAACTGTGAAGAGGAGAAACAATGTAGCCAGCAGAGAACCAGTGCATGTGTCTCTATGTGTTTTCACACCAGACGGAGGGTTGGGAGACCCCACAACAGAAGTGCAGATTAACCACACTGATTTGTTTTGCTCTCATGGAGAGTCATAGAAAACACATTGTTGATTAATGTTATGATGCGTTTAAGAGAGGAAACTTTACACCCGGGAGATGCGAGTAGCTTTCTTAAGAAGTAATTAACAACTTCATGGAGCTCCTACTGCACCCATCATAAGCTTATCTGTTTGTTTTAGTAACTCTGTTTTTCACTCATGTTTCTAACTTTTGAAGAACTCCCTCTTCTCTGAGTCTCCTGTGAGTCGCCTTTTTCTCTAAGTCAGAAAATGACGTAGTGTGTTCCTCTGAATAACATTGCTACCTTCTATCACTGGAGCTCTCAATCTCTTGGTTGTGGACAGCTGAGCCCCTTGGCAGCAATTGTTTTAACGTCATGAAATGAAGTAATGCAGAAAACTGATAATAAGTGAATATCTCTCTGCTTCTGCATTCAAATGGGTACTCAGCACCGGAACACATATGCACCATCATCCACATCCTCCACCCCCGAAAATGGCAAAGTGAGTGAACCTGCGGACCGGGAGAGCGTCACAGCCGCCTTCCCACTACTCTTAGGTATTTCATGTATTTGAAGGCCTGAACTGTCTTTCCAAACCCTAGTTGGAAATGAGGAGAAATGTTTGCAAGTTATTGAAGGGATAAAGAATGAGAAAGGTGGGTGGGAGGAGAAGAAAGAAGAAAAAAGAAGGAAGAGGAGGAGGAAGAGAAGCAGGAGGATAGGGTGGATGGGGGAGGAGAGGGTGGAGGGGGGAGGAGAGGGTGGAGGGGGGAGGAGAGGGTGGAGGGGGGAGGAAGGGGGAGGAGGAGGGAGGGAGAGAGAGATAGAGAGAGGGCTTGGGCAGCGGAAGAGAGGAGAGTGGGAGGAAGGACACAAAACAGAATGTTTTAATGAAATAGCAACAAATTTTACACAGACCACTTGCATAGGAAATATTTCTTTTCTTCCAAAAATTACCCGATGGAACCCTAATTTCCTAATTCTTCAACAGCTAAAAGCAACCTTGAGTGTACACATAAGGGCTCCTTATTAAACTGCGAGTATTGCGGGGAAAGAACAGCAACGCATTTCTAAACCGGCAGAGGGTTTTGAGCGACAGTCTCCGTCGTAACATTTCCTGACTTTTGGAGGAGGAAATGTGCCTGTCAACGGGATGAAATCCGTGTTCTCCCCAGCAGGGTCTCCGGGCAGCCCGCAGCCTCCCCTACAAGACGCTGATTTTTCAAGTGTTAGGGAAATTGATATCAGTTGGTTTTATGTTCAGTGTTAATCCTGCCTCTTTCAGGGATTATCTGTAATCCTATTAATTTCATACAGCAATCCTTTTGGGAGGAAGTGGAACTAGACTGAAAAGTTTAGCTTGATAATATTTTCAACCTTGTCGCTGATCTCAGGCAGCGATTAAAACCAGCCTCTACCAGGCAGGGATTCGAGCTTCTCCTGGCGTTCCACGCATCATCAGATTCTTGGTTCAGGTCCCGTTGCAGTCAAGCAGGGGCAAATAAATGTCAGGAAATTAAGAATTAAGGCAACCTGCATGTCGATGCGAGCCAGGTGGGAACCCATCTTTAATTATGGTTTACATGAATTAGACCTAAAGAGACCAAGTCACTGTGATATTTACGCCCTCCCAAGAGACTCCATGCAAATGAAGACGAGGGGAAGGAGGAGAGGAAAGCGGTCCGTGGACGCAGGATCTTTGGGTGTGGGGCAGAGCACGGCCCCGGGCCCCTGGTGTGGGGGTCCTGAGTGCAGGTCCCGTTGCACCATCGCGCAGCGGGGCCCCTGAGTGGGCTCCTGACCCCTTGTGGTATCCGCATCCTTAGGAGAATGTCCCCCAGCTTCACCTTCCAGCCCGGCCGGGGGCCCCAGCTCTGCCCAGGCCTCTCCCCGGGGCCCTCTGGCCTCTCCACTGGTCTCCAGAACTGCCTTCCGGGCCTTGACCACGCCCTGACCCCAAACACACATTGGGTTTCTCCAGGTCCGTCAGCCTCGGGTGGGAGCCACCTCCAGTCCGCTCCAGTCCCCCAGCATGGAGGAACCCTGGTCCCGACCGGCGAACTCATAGCGGGGCCCCAAGGCCCTGGGTGCTGTGCGGTCAGTCCCGCCCACGCCAGAGTTCCTGCCCTCGCCCTGCCGTGTGCTTCCCAACCAAAATTCCCCCAAATCCGTGACCCATAGACGTGGCCTTTGCAGCCGTTTCCTCCCAGACCCCTTGGGATGTTATTTCCAAAGCAAGCACTGTGGAAGGAGCTCGATGGGGCCTCCCCAGGTCCCGCCAGGCTGCTCCATCTGCACGCACCGAGCGTAACTCGCGCGTCCTGAGCCCGAACCCCATTGAGCACAGGCCCAGGTGCTCCGGGATGACCGGCCCACGGAGGACGAGGGCCTCAAAGACGGTGTTCTCACTGGACAGGGGTCCTGAGAGGGCCACACATGCTGCACACACGTACACACTACACACATACACACTGTACACAACTGCACACATGCACACACACTGTACACACACACTACACACACGGCACCAGCTGCACACATGTACATACTACACACACTGCACACACGCACACACACTGTACACACATGCACACAAACACACACCATACACACACGGCATACACACGCAAACACACACAGCACACATGCAGACACACTATACACACACCACACAGATACACAGCACATGCTGCACACATGTACACACTACACGCTGTACATACACTGCATACAGACACAGACATACACTGTACACACTGCACACACACAGACACACACCATAACATGCTGGCTGCTATACACACTACAAACAAACACACTCACACTATGCACCCACACATGCGCGTGTTATGCAGGTGGAGTGGCCTGGGCCAGGCCTTACAGGCTCCGTGGGACCTCTTTCAACAGTGCTTGCATCGGAAATAACATGTTACACCATACACAGACACACTCGCACACACTACACACTCACTGTAACCCTCACACACTCCCAAACAGTACACATGGAGACACACTCACAGATACCACACACATTGTATGCATTCACACACTGTACAGAGACACATACCGTACACACACACCCCTCACACCTACACCTGCACACCATACAAACACACACATAGTATACACAGTCACACACACACACTATACACAGACATACCAGACACACTCACACTATACACATGCACACACAGCACACACTACTTGCACAAATATACACACAGATACACACACTATACATAGACACACAAGATAAACATACACACCTCACATACTATACACATGCACACATGCACACACACCATACACAGACATACTCACACTACACATACTCAGTATACACCCTCACACACATAGACGGCATACATGGACACACACACTGCACATGCTACACACAGACACACACACTACACATACAGAGGCACACACACTACACATGCTATACACAGTCACACACTCATACACAGTATGCACACCATACAGAGACACACTATACACACACAAAGACACACACACCCACAACACACACTCACACACCTCACATCTATAGACATGTGCACACACATACACTCACAAATACTATACACAAACACACACTACACTTACACATACTACACACACACTATATACACTCACACACTATACAGAGACACACACTACACACACTGTACATACACAGATACACATATATACACATTATATACACACTGTTTTGAACACACAGAGACACACACACTAAACACACAGAAAGACATAGACACATGTACATATATGAACAGAGACACACAAAGACACACTCACACACTATACAAACACAGAAACACAGGGACTCCCATTCACACACCGTGCATGCTACATACACACCCATACACACAGACATAGACGCACACGCTATCACACTATCCACAGAGACACACTACACACACACAGACACATGCACCACACACATTAACATTCTACACACACCCCACAAACACACACGCAGACACACATGCCACAAAGTCCCCTGCACAGCAGGCCCTCAGCACACAAAGGTCTTGTTCCCCTCGCACTCATGGAGACCTGCAAGCGAGCGGGCTGTGCTAGTTCTGAGAGGCAGCAGACAGTCTGTGACCGGGTTTTCACTGGTCTGCAGCAAAATAAGAAACATAAGAACAAAAATCTTTAAATGTTGGGTCTTTCTTCAAAAGATGGTGATAATAGATCACATTCTGTGTTTTGAGTGTGTATCAACTGTTTCCAATTAAACAGATTTTAAAAGTTGATGAATTTATATCAATCTTTTAATTTTACTTCTTCATGAAATTCCAACAACTGAGGAATACGGATGAGGACTCCTAAATTCTCTGTTCTTCAATAATATTTTATCTCCTCAGGCTCCTTTGGAAGCTGTTTTTACTATTTCAGGAAACTTAAATTACACCAGAAACTTTGCAGTTCACTTAATTTAAAACAAGAAAGACTGTACTTGTTTACATTACCAGTACTTCTCTCTCACCAGAATATGAAAACTTTGAAAATACCCTTTGAAATTACATGAATATTTATGGAGATATGTTCTTAAAACTCCACTTGCAAATGAAGATACAGAATGAGTCACCAATCAATAAACAATATTTATTGACTACTATTAGTCCTATACTCTGTATTAAATAATAACATGAAAGAAAAGATTGGAGAAGAATAGATAGAAATGGAATATTGTTTGATGTGTCTTGATATCATGTGAACTTAATTCTTTACAGAACTTCTCATATGATTACAATTCTAGTAATATTTTTTAAATATCTATCTGCTGGGAACTATTTAAATATATATTGTTTCTAATGTTCTCAGGGATTGAGTAGAAAAACAAATAAACATGTGGCTGTCACCAACAAGTGCATATTTCAAGAAACAATCAGATCACTGTTCAAATTCCCTGAGAACTGAAGTCAGCTCTACAGAACTAACCAGGCTCTTACCCTCCCATGTGTCACAATTAGCCCCAGGAGCTAGTCTGCTAGGAAACCCATAAGTCATTTCTGGACCCTCGGAGTTGCTGGTCTGTCTCCACCATCTACCTTGCAAAAAGAATTATTTACTGGATGTAAATAGTGCCTAAAGGTGTCATTTGACTACTGCACTGTCAAGCTGAATTATTCATTTCTATTTGTGAGAAACACCAAAAATATAGTGAACAGATGTTGTTTGCAGGGGACAAAAGAAAGCGGGAAAATATAGGAGGAAAGGTAAGCTACTTAACATACTGACAAAGCTGTTATATTTTCTCCTTCTTTTCCATTTGTGAGGAATAAAGCTCCTTTGACTAATCAAAAATTATGGAGCATTATCACACATGCAGATGGATGGCAGTTTCTCTAAGTAATATAATATCATAGATGTAAATGTGTGGCAATGTAGACATAAAGCTATATTTGCTCAGAGCTGTAATACCAGTGGTGTAAACTACTGACTGTAACCTCAACCTCTGGGATTCACGAGTGTAAGCATGTAGCGAACGCAACAGAGGCAACATTTTCATTGAGATGTAGTTTAGAAAGTGGCAGATACTAGCGTTTCATTGGTAAAACTCCCACTGGTAGCAGATATAACATTAGTACGGAGCTAGCCTCAATAGACCACAAGCATCTAAATTAAATTCTGTTGGGTACTGAGACTTTCAGAAAAGTCTAGTTGCCTATAGGCTGCCGAACTCTACAGTTCAGAGCTGCAACTAGTGAATGTCAGATGGCAGGTGATACTGCCCGGTAGGAAGTAAAGTTAGTGCATATGGTCACATCAATTGATGCAGAAAAAACGTACAGCGAATGTCAATGCACATTCAAGATAAAAACTCTTAGAAAACTAGGAATAGAGGGAGCTCCTCTAACTTAATAGAAAATATCTACCCAAATCTCCTACAGTTGACATGACTCCTAATGGTGAGGACTGGATGCTTTCTTCTAAGGCTGAGAACAAATCAAGCATGTCCCCCAGCACTCCCATTCAGGATCGTAGTAGAAGGCCTAACTAGTGCAAAAAAAGACAAGAAAAAAAATAAAAGGCATAGATTTGAAATGAAAAATCAAACTCTCTTTATTCACAGATGGCATTGGTGTTTATGTATTAATAGATAATCCCAAATAATTAAAAAATAATAAGCAATAATAGTGCAGTCACAAAATGCAAGGTTAAAATACAAAAGTTCATTTTCTCATATATATCAGCAAAAGACAATTGGGAATTGAAACTATAAAAACAATACCATTCATAATAGCACAAAAAATAACATACAAAATATATGCAGCATCTGTGTTTTAGGAAAACACAATAATGAAAGAAATAAAATATTTAAATAAGTATAGAGACATTCTCTGTCCTTGCATTGGAAAACTCAATATTGTCAAGGTGTGAATTCTCAAGTTGATCTATGGATCTAACACAATCCCAATCAGAATCTCGGAAAGCTATTTTGCCAATATTAGCAACTGATAGCTGAAGTTTAAATGGAAAGGCAAAAGACCAAGGCTAGACTACAGAATATTAAAGATGAAAGAGTTGGATGACTCTCACTACCTTACTCTAAAGCTACAGAAATCAAGCCAGTGAGGTATTGGCCACAGAAAAGACATAGATCCATGGAACAAAACAGACACAGCAGAAGGAAGCATACACAAAGACAGTCAACTGACTTTTGACAAAGGCACAAAGGCAATTCCATTTTGGACATCCATATGCAAAAAAAAGGAAATGAACCTAGACCCAGAACTTCCACCTTACATTAAAATTAACTCAAAATGAGGCCAGGCCTGGTGGCTCATGCCTGTAATCCCAGCACTTTGGGAGACCAAGACAAGTGGATCACTTGAGGTCAGGAGTTTGAGACGAGCCTGAACAACATGGTGAAACCCCATCTCTACTAAAAATACAAAATTAGCTGGGCATGGTGGCACATGCCTGTAATCCCAGCTACTCAGGAGGCTGAGGCAGGAGAATTGCTTGAACCCAGGAGGCAGAGGTTGCAGTGAGTCAGATCGTGCCATTGCACTCCAGCCTGGCCAACAAGAGCGAAACTCCATCTCAATAAATAAATTAATTAATTTAATTTAATTAACTCAAAACGTAAAATGAACAATTATAAAACTTCTGGAAGAAAACATAGCAAAAGTGTACACGACCTTAGGGTTGGTGATGAGTTTTCAGGAAGGTACACTATCCATGAAAAAAAATTGTTAAACTACACTTTATTAACATTTAAAATTTCTACTATATGAAAGAGATTACTATGCAGATATATTGTTAAGAGAAAAAAACAACAAAAACAAGAAGAAAATATTTGCAAAACACCTATGTGGTAGAGGACTTGTATCCAAAATATGCAAACAACTCATAAAACTAAACACTTTTAAAAAATCTAATTTAAAAACCAACAAAAGATCCAGCCAGATACTTCACCAAAGAAAATACACAGAAAGCAAGTAGATATGAAAAGATGCTCAACATCATTTTCCATTTGTGGGAATTAAAACAAGAGACATTACTACATGCCTATTAAAATGTCTAAAACTGAAAAAATTGACAAGAATATGGAACGCTGGTGACCCACATGGGTGGGAAAGCAAGATGGCACGGCCACTTTGGAGGACAGCTTGGCGATTTCTTACAAAGCCAAACACAGTCTTAGCCTGTGATCCAGCAACTGCACTCCTTGGCATTCAGTCACCTGATTTGAAAACCTATGTGTACACAAAGCCTGCAGAAGGATGTTTGGAGCTGCTGTTAAAATAATTGTCAGGAATGGAAAACAACCAAACTGTCCTTCCCCACGTGAAGGGACAGACAAACCATGGCGTATCTGTACAATGGAATATTATTCAGTCATAAATGCTCTGTAATTAGTTAGCAATGATAGTTGCACATGTACTAAAAACTACTGAATTGTACTTTAAATTGAACACTTTTACAGTAGGTTTTTTACATCTCCTTTTTTTAAAAAAATAGAATGTGATATTAAGCCACCAAAGACATAGATGAATCTTAAATGCATATTGCTAAGTGAAACAAGCCAGTGTGAACAGCCAACACACAATATGATTCCATTTGTGTGGCATTCTGGAAAAGAGAAAATGATAGAGACAGTGAACAAACCAGTGGTTGTAGGGGGAGAGGGCTCGGTGAAGCACAGCTGATATTTCAGGGTGATGAAACTATTCAGTACACTTCTATAATGGTGAATACATGATATGTTGTGTTTGTCAAAACCCATTAAACTTTATAGCACAAAGAATAAACCCAAGTGTATGCAAAGTTTTTAAAAAATCATTTGGAAGCCAGACATAGAAAAATAAATATCTCATGTTCTCGCCCATATGGGGGAGCTAGAAACGTGGATCTCATGGACATAGAGAGTAGAATGATGGTGCAGGGGCTGAGAAGTGGAGAAGAGAGATAGAGAATGGTTAGTTAATGGAAACATACACTTAGGTAAAAATAATAAGTTTCAGTATTCAATAGTACAGTAGAGAAATTACAGTTAACAATAATTTATTGTATATTTCAAAATAACTAGAAAAGAAAAACTGTAATTTTCCCAACACAAACGAAAGATAAACAAGGTGATGAATATCCCAATTGCCATGATTTAAACAGTACACATTGTACACAAGGATAAAAACATCAGCCGTATGCCAAAATATGCAAAATCTGCACAACTACAACACATCAGTGAAAATCTGCATAACTACAACACATCAGTGAAAATATTTTAAACATCATTTGGGAGGTGGGGAGATTCCAGCATGGAATGCAGCCTGTGACAAAAGAATTGTGATTGTATCCCAGGGTGTGAAGCAGCCTCCCTGCAGGGGCGAGTGGGTGCAGCATGCTGAATAAGTGACTTTGGAAACAGGTGGGATCCATGAGGCACAAAGACCGGGCCTAAGAACTGTTCTCTGGCTGATAATGTTGTTTCCAGGGGAGGTGTGGACTAAGAACTCTGAAACCACGCTACACACGCAGAGGAACCAAGCAGCTAAGTGCATGGACAGTGATGGTGGGTGTTAGCATCTTCCAGACAGAGTGGGAGGTTATAGAGAATTGGGGAGAAAGGGCTGGAATGAGCCATGCAGAGCTGAATGAAAGCCAGTGGCATCACTACAATCATGGGGCGTAACACGCACACACACAGATGTGCTGCCACATACCTGTGCACGCGCCTGGAGGCAACCACCCAGCAGGAACATCGCACCCCACCCCTGTGCCTCGGGGTTCCATGGGCTACATTTATCAGGCTGAGGAATGCCTCCTGCTGTTTGATGAAAGACTTTATCAGGAGTGGATTTGGGATTTGTCAAGTGAGACTGAAGCAAGAGCCATCTTAGAAGCCTAACAGATGGCCCCTGAGTAAGAAGGGCATTCTTGGGCTTTTCGCGACGGGCATGTTTCCAGCCCTTGTGACACGGGGTGCTGCTCCCACTCATCCTTTTGGGGGGCTCCTCCTCTGGCCCCGGGCATGGTCCCTGCAGGACCGACCTGCTGAACTGCACTCGACTTAACTCAAGATCTGCAGGTCTCTGGCGAATTGTCTCTGAAGATCTCTTCTCTCCAGCTCTCTGCCCTGGGGACTCTAACTCTCTTGTCTAACTGGATGCCCAGCTCTGATTCCCCCATTCAGGGGGACCACCAGGCTCTCCCTGGGTCCCGCACTGTGTCGTGCCTGGGAGACTCTCCCAGTGATGTTAGGAGAGTCTGGATGCTGTTTAATCCCCAGCATGCCTCTCCCGCCTCCTGTCTTTAATGGATTGCTCTTTTGTTGCCTGAGGTCCGATGTCTGGAGTGCCACTTTTTCATGCATTTCATCTATTTTTTTAGTTGTTTCAAACAGAAGGGTACCTAAGGTTCCTATGACTCTATCTTGACCAAAAGCAGAAAAGTCTGTTCAAGGTATTTATTTTTCAGGTAAGAAAGACTTGTTGATATTTAAATGCTGGTGGGGGAAAAAAACCACAGAGAGGAAAAAGTAAAGACAAAGCAGGCAAGAGGCGGAGAAGGCTCACGATGGCTTTAAGAACCTGCTGAACTCGGCGGCTGTGACTTTAGCATCAGTCTCCATTTACCTGATGTTCTTGGAAGCTCTCGGCAGCCCAGGCTGATCTGGGATTGGGTCTTATCAGGAGTTGCCTCCATTTGCAAGAACGTGGTGAAATTGACAGAAGACACAGTTACGTCATGGTTTGGGGGGAACTGCTAGCAACGAGCCATCAATATTTAAGGAGAAAGTAACAGAATCCAGGGAATGGGAGCCCCAGGAAAACTGAACAAGTTTGGGGAGAGACCTTATAGTAATGCTTGCTCTCGTTGAAGGAAGCCGTGCTTTTCCCCGATCTGTTCACTGTGCTGTGTGCCTTCCAGGCATTCGCAGTCCCTGGGACCCTGTCCGTGTCCATCTCTAGACTCCGCCTGCAGCTGGGTTTCCTCGTGCCTTCTCAGCTTCCACACATGGAGTCCATGATTCTGACTTCCACACAGGATTCAGCTGAAATCCCGCCTGTTCTTAGACTGTGTTCTCTGTGGGCCCTTTGCTCACTGATCTCGTCCACGTCACACTCTCGTGATTCTGCACTTAATATCCATCTGCCTTGTGTGGAATGCTTCTCTTCTTGGAGGACAGGAAGCGCGTCTCAGCAGTTTTTGATCTGTAGCAACTGGAATAGTGAATTCAATCAGTATTTTTTTGAAGGGTGGATTTTAATTAGCCGGGCATGGTGGCACAAGCCTGTAGTCCCAGCTA
This sequence comes from Homo sapiens, assembly GCF_000001405.40. NCBI lineage: Eukaryota > Metazoa > Chordata > Mammalia > Primates > Hominidae > Homo > Homo sapiens. The sequence goes on from NC_000018.10 coordinate 78,556,951, forward strand.
CATGGGAGGTGGAGGCTGCAGTGAGCTATGATGGCGCCACTGCACTCCAGCCTGGGTGACAAAGTAAGACCCTATCGCCGAGGAAAAAAAGAGTAGATTTAGGTGTATTATTGTATACTACCAGACACTGTCAAGGTTTCACACTTTATTGTGTGGTTCAGTAAGCAACACCATAGAATTTCTCTAATAGGCAACCATTTGACTTTCTAAGTCAAATTTGGTAATAAAAAGAAAAAAACCATTAGAAGCACGTTCCCTGAAAGGTAAGTTGTGCTGTTCTCGGAGACGTGGACCTAGGCATTCCTAGGATGAGTTCTCACACCTGGGACAGGAGTGCTCTGCCCCGGTGCCACCTAGTTCCTGCCTTGGTCAAGACAAAGGGGCCCTCCTCTCCTGGTCTCATAGGGTGACCATATAATTGATCGCCTCAGCCATGATGTTGTTGAGAGTGAAAGGGGCTCTATTCATAATTTCGGTAGAACAGCTGGCAGGAAGCAGGATTGATCTGTGCATTCAGGGTATGGAGTACCAGGCTTACAGGGTCTGGGCTGCAACCCCGTCTTAGGAGGGCAGACAGCGAGCCAGGCTGTGGAACAGATGTCAGAAGGGGATGATGGCCCCAGCATGCCATGGTATCAACTACCCCCAGAGCTGAACGGGGCTCTCAGCTGTGGTCACCAGGAACTTCAGTCCCCTCTGCTATTTGTGGACCCCAAGCCCACATCTTTCCTTTCCTAAATAACAGCAGCCTTTATCTAGTGTGCAGAAAGGAAAACATCTTCTTACACTGGGGCCGCGGCCGTTGGACCAAAGTGCCAGGCTCTCCAGCCTTTACTTTCCAGTCCCATGGCGAGGGGTCCATGTTCTCCTCTCTGGGCAGAGAGGGAGTCAGCATTCAAGGAGGGAGAATCATCCTGAGGACAGAGTTTAAAAAGTCGTAAAGCCTTCAGTGTCATAATTCAGAATGTTACTTTGCCACATATCCAAAAACGTTCACTTACATTATTAGATAATGACAAGGAGCATCACATAGCCAGATAGTCCTGTTTAGGACTGGACACACAGGATCCTAAGGATGAGAATAGACGCGTGACGAACAGGACACACAACCCAGGAGCCAAGGAGAACTGCCCGGCTTGGGGATAATTCCTATGTAAATGGTAACATACAAGTTTTCTCCACACTGGGGTCCTCGGCGTCATTTTAATATCTGAGTAAACCTGGATTGTGCCCCATAGGATTTAGCCCAAGATCTGCAGGTGGCACGTCCACTTCCCGGTCAGCTCAGCCCATACACGTGGAAACCACACTTTACGCTCCATGACCCCTGCCCTCCCCACCCTACATCTCCAGTCTTCCCCTATCTATCTGCAGGCGCTGCTGCCCCCGGCCCAGGCCCTTGCCTCCCTCTGAGTGAGCTGGCGTGGCCTTCCAATGAATCTCCTGGCTTCTGCACTGGCTTTCTTCAACCCCATTGCCCAAGAGATTCCAGAGTAATGTTTACTTAAATGCAAATCCAGACTCATCACTCCTCAGCTTTAGACCTTTGAGGGTCCCCTGTGGCTCTTTGAACCCCTCCTGTAGCTGCTTCGTCTTCCAGATCCCAGGTCCAGCCCCCCGTGGCCGCCCTCCCTCCTCCCCAAGTGCAGCTTTGCCAGCCTGCGCCTTCCCTCATCCACTTTCTGGACAATGCTCGCCCACGGTAGGGTGTCCTGTTATCCCCTCCGACCGAGATCTGATGTTCACAGCTCTTAGCACAACCTGTGATTGTTTCACACGTGAGCTGTTTCCTATCCGCCCCCTCGGCCAACAGAAAACCGTGTGACAGCAAGGATGGCACTGCCGTGGCCCACGTGGGTTCCATGTCCTTCATGGTGCCTGGAGTTTGTATGCTGAGATCACTGTAGACACGCATGCAATTGTCAGGAAGAGAGAGATGCCTGGCGTCCTTTACCCAGTTCCGCCACTTGAAAAATGACAGTAAAATCTCAGCACGAGGACAGACACAGACGCATCCCTCACACGAGGGTCCCTCCTGCGGGCCTTTTGTAGCCGCAGCCACTTCCCTCCCACCCCCTCCTCCCCAGCCCCTGGAACCGCCGAATCTGTCCTCCACCCCTGTAGTTCCATCACCCTCAGGAGGGCTGTGTACACCGAGGCCTTGCGGACATGGCTCCCCCGCGGGGGCGTGGCTCCCTGGGGTGAGTGTGGCTCCCTGATAGTGGGCGTGGCTCCTTGGTGGTGGGCGTGGCTCCCTCACGGTGGGTGTGGCTCCGTCGGGTGGGCGTGGCTCCCTCAAGGCAGTTTTGCAGACATGGCTTCCTCCACGCAGCCTGTTTCGTTTGAGTCCATCCTGGTGGCCAGCATGTTGGGTTTGTGCCTTTCATTGCTAAGTGGTGCTCTCTGCTTGGGTGCACTGCAGTTCATCAGACCCTGGAGACAGTCCCACGTGTCCCCCTGGGTGGATTCTGTGGGTTGTCTCTGTTCATTCAGCTTGAGATCTTGGGGCTCTTGGTCTAATGAGCAGCGTGGGTCTGAAGCTCGGACACCATGCTGCTTCTGAGACTCTGGGCCTAACTCAAAACGTTAGTTGTGGTCGGCTTCTCCTGACATTGCTTAGTGGATACCTGGAGACGCTAACTCCAAACTTGTGCCAGGTGGAAGGGAAGTCCAGCCACCACCCAGCCCCATCCCTGCCTGGGGAGCTGTGGTAGTCCCAGCTTCCACTGGGGCACCCACTGACACTACTGGGGGACTCCTTGCCCCTGGGCGGGTGAAAGTCCTGACTAACCTGGCCTCCTCGGAGACTACCCTGCAGGGAGGGGCAGGGACCTTGTTCCTTCCCAGGGGAGTGGACATCAGCTCCCCAGTGACCACGCCAGGCCAGGGTTCATCACAGGCCAGTGGGGGGCCAAATGGCAGCTCCCCACGCGACCTTCTCTGAGACCACCTGGTGGGGGCCGGGTTGCCCCATGACAGCCTGACGAGGGGAAGTCGGGGCCCCAGCCTTTGCTGGTGTGAATGACCCCAGCTGCTCAGGGCATTTGGCTGGGGTGAGGCAGTCACTGTCTGAACGTTTTCTGTATTACTGGGCTGTCCCATTCTAGGTCCTCTGCCTAGAAGGATGAGGCTTCTATTGGGTTGGTTTTTGTTGTTGCTGTTTTGTTTGTGCCTGTAGGTGTTCCCCGGTCACCACTTTCTTCACCTCCCAGTCTGGGATGTATGAGGCCATGGGAAAATGCAGGCAGCCACCGCCCTGGCTTCCCTGGTCCTGAGATCTCCAGACGGCCTCCTAACCACCGTCAGGGCCCTTCAGGTTTAGGCAAGGATCACGTCCAGCGTTTCGGTTGTGCTTGGTGGGAGGGATCAGAAATGTCCCGCTACTCCGTCTTGCCAGGAGCAGAAGTCCCCTGCTCACCAGACTTTATGCTCTTCCAGGGCAGGAATTTTTGTCCCTTTGTTCATTGGTGTATTCCTAGTGCTCAGAACACAAATGAGTCATCAATAAGTATTTGTATCTTTTTTCTCCTATCTGTAACTGTGCTTGCAACTCAAAAGCAGTGAATGTGTGTCATGCTCATTTATCTTCCCTTTTCAATCATTTTCCTTTTTTACAATAAGAAAGTGAAATAGAATATCTTTCACAAAATGTAGAGGGGTTTTTTACTTGTTTTCTAATATGGAAAACTTTTAAATTTCCTAAGAATGTAAGTTGCAATGTTCTATTCCTACATTCTTTTTTAAGCTAATAATTAATTTATTTTCATTTTCTCTGCAGGTAAATGCATCAATATGAATTCATCAAAATGTCTTTGTTCAGTACCTCTCTGCATGCCGCACTATTCACTGCAATATTAATAAAGGTAGAGAGAAGTGGTCCCAAACCTAAAGAAACTTCCAAGGCAAAGCAGCTAACCATGGTCTGTGCCCCTCTCAGTGACCGGCTTTTCTAACAAGCAGCTAACCATGGTCTGTGCCCCTGCTCAGGCACTAGCTTCTCAAACAAAGCTGCACTCAGCCTTTGGTCTCAGATCCCAATTTCATATCCTGAATTATGAGATTCAGTATGAAGACCACTGTCACTTTAGTGCATTTCACTCTGTCCCATGCATTTCACATGACACCTGACACCCAGCAGGACCATGGACCAGCCAGCCTTCCCAGTGTGAGGGAGCCTAGCCTAACAGGGACCACCTGTTCACGGCCACTGAACTCCTGACTTGATGAACGCTGAGGAGGAGCCATCCATGATCAAGTTGAGGAATTTTGGAGCTAGAAGGAATTTTAGAACCTTCTCAGACAGTGATCATGAACCATTCTCAGATCAATGATCATGAAGATCAGAAAGATTCTTTGGATGCTGCAGATCCAGGCAGCTTCTAAATCACAGAGGTCTGCAGCCACCTGTAGGTCACCTTGCTGCACTCACGTGGGCCTGTTTCTCACAGTAATAGTTTAACTGTGTGTGGGCACCTAGTGCTTGTCTTCACTGGCAGGCTCAGCTGGACTCCTCTCCTGTAAACATGCTTCAGTGACACCACACAGATGCAAGGCTCATATGTTTCATCACAACATGTGAATCACGTGGTCCTCTCAAATCCATTATGGGAGCGATCCCACCAGCCTGGACTTTAGCATGTCCTTATCACAGTTGTGAACATGCAGACTGTATGGAGCCAAATGCTTCTGCCTGTTTTCAGATTGGCTGCAACCTTTGGATGGGGCTGCTCTGTAAAGCCCAGCTCCCGGGGGTGTGAACCTGACCACACCCTGGCCATGCAGCTCCCCCTGGCCATGCAGCTCCCCCTGGCCATGCAGCTCCCCCTGGCCATGCAGCTGTGCTTTGACTTTTCCCAGCAAACATGATGCATCATTTTTTTTTCCTAATGAAACAACACCTGGACCCTTCCACAAGCAGCCACCCGCTTTCCCGCAGGAGCCGTGCTGGATGTATGTTGTGTCCTGCTGCTGAGGATGCATTTAAACTCTCACCACTTGGCTTGTTTCAGTCTCTGCTGTGGTTCAGTTTGTCAGAAACAAAAGTAGAAATAGACGTGCAAAAGGAAGACTGTTTTGAACGACATCTTGAGAATGGTTTGCGGTATCCGTGACTCGGGCATTATTTGTGGTTACAGTGAGAGCTGAGAAGCTCTGAGATTCCTCCATCCCTCTGCCCTTCCCACTGAAGGCACAGAAATGGAGAGTGTGCTGCCTGCGTCCCTGTGCCGTATGTGCGTGCTTGATGAAGCTGTGAAGGTTTTGGCTGCCCTTTCGTGGCTTCTGTTGTTTTCTTGGGGGCTCAGTGGGATGGAGAGTCTGTTCTGCAGCAGGACATGCCAACAAATTGCATCACTTCTGCCTCGGTGACTGCGGACAATGACATGCCATATGCCAGCGGCAGGAAATGAATGGGCTCATTTACACTGGCACCGGCGCTGCGGCCTGTCAGTCTTCAGAGGCCGGCCACTGCAAATTGGAAGGTGGCGGAGACGCAGAAACCTCCCAAGCTTCCAGGCCACATTAGTCTGGAAGCTCGGAGCAGGGGCAGAGGGAACCCAGGCGAAGGAGGTCCCCTTGCTTGCTATGAATGTTAGCCTTGCAGCTCCAGAAAACTGACCGAGTGAAACCACCACTCTCTGCCCACCCCCTGCACCAAAGGAAAAGAGAAATGGAAAACTGTTGAGTGCATTCAGCTGCAAGGAGAAAACAAAAACACAGTAGGTGCCGCACCCCGGCATGCAGAGCGGCTTTCCTACACACACAGAGGCTGCCACAGCGGCCTGCCCCGACGGCGACCCCACCGCCTCGCCTGGGCACCCGGCAACGCCGCAGTTCACATTCGACCTCCGGCCTCTCCGGCCGCGCGGCGTCTGTCTCCGTGCATGGCAGCCGGGGGTGGTCGGCAATGATTGAAGAGGCCGCGTCCTGGCGACCAGCGCTGCTAATGAACGGGAGGGAGCGGGTCAGGGATCGCCCGCATGGCAGCCCGGCAAGGGCGGAGCCGCCGTCCATTGTCCCTCGCATTTGTTCTCAGGGCAGCGAGGGGGGTCGGTAGCAATCACGCGCTCTCTTCTTCATAATCACTATAATTAGCGTCATAATCTGAGCTGGGTGAGCTTGGGGCAGCTTCCTGGCAGAGTAACTCACTTTTTAAATAATAATAATAATAATAATAATAATAATTGGCATTGCAGGGCCTTTTCATCCAAGTTTAGACGGCCTTATGGAGATCAACCGAGTCTGGATTGCACCCTGCCAGAGAGGAACCTGAGACACTTTGCAAGGAGCTGGGTGCGAAGCAACCTGGCCCGGGTCACAGGGAGGTGCCGGTACGGAGGCCGGCGTCCAGTGAGATTGGATTCACAGGTTCTGGGCCCATGGCAGCCTATACGGAATGCCTGAGACCTTCGATACAATGGACTGATGTTAACTGAAGGCATAAACAAGAGGTCTCTCGTGCTCCTGGACATGAGCAGGTGGAGGATCCTTAGGACACAGCCCGTGCTGCTTCCCCCGGGCCCCGTCGTCCCTGCCATCCACTCACCTTTCCCTCCTGGTTCAAGGACTCCTGTTAGGAAAGAAATAGAGAATGGAACGATACCCACTGACCTGGGCCCAGGCACTTCTCATTTCCAGTTGGTTTGATAAGACATAAATATAGATTTCCCGGGTTTTGCCCTCATAAGGAGTGCATTTAAAATAAAATTATACCAAGTCATTCTGATTCTAAGCAAGCATCTAGACATTCATAGGTGGGAGAGAATGTGTTCCAGGCCTCCAAAGAAAGATCGCACTCAAAACCCCCAAACCCCCACACCCCACACCCCCACACCCCTCAAACCCCCACACCCCACACCCCCACACCCCACACCCCCACATCCCACACCCCACACCCCTCAAACCCCCACACCCCTCAAACCCCCACACCCCACACCCCCACATCCCACACCCCACACCCCTCAAACCCCCACACCCCACACCCCCACACCCCTCAAACCCCCACATCCCACACCCCACACCCCCACATCCCACACCCCCACACTCCTCAAACCCCCACACCCCACACCCCTCAAACCCCCACATCCCATGCCCCATACCCATATACCCCCTCACCTCCCACACCCCCCACACCCCACATCTGCACACCCCACAACCTCATATTCCCACACCTCCTGGACAGTGTAACCCTGCAAGCTCACCCCTGGCACCCCTTGCCCCACCTGCCCAGGTGGATGAGGCCATCAGCCTCACACTGAGTCCCAGAACAGCCCTGGCACGCAGGTGTCCATCATGGTTTCCCTGGTGTCCCGAGCCCCAAACCGCTCCGTGGAAAACACCGAGCTGAATCAACAGGGGGAGAACCCGGCCCTTCTCCTCCTCCCCTCCCTAAGGCAGGGGGAGAACCCAGCCCTTCTCTTCCTCCTCTCCCTAAGCCAGGGGGAGAACCCAGCCCTTCTCCCCCTCCTCTCCCTAAGCCGTGCGTCCTGAATGTGACTGCTGCATCCTAAACTCCTCCTTCCTCCTCAGGAGTTTATTCCCACCATTGGAGCCTTCTGTTTTGAGAGGTCTTGAGAAAACTTGCTTTTAGTCCCTTAAAAGCCCCACTTTTAAACCGATGGCCTTTAAAACTTTGGGCCCTGTGCACTGCGTCATGTCTGAGCGCTGGCATCCACCGCCTTGCAGGGGCCGGAGTCAGGCCCCTTCCAGATGGCCCTGAAGTGCACAATGGGGCCTCCATTAGACACTTCACAGATACGATGAATGCGCTTCTCCCTCACAAAGACACACGTGAGGGGAGTGAAGTTGTTTGCAGTCTGGGTTTCACAGTCCTCCGGCCCAAGAATGTCATCCTTTTCCTTTTGGCCGTTCCCGAGCCCCACCCCCCACCCCCGCCACTGGGCTGGCAGGGAGGTCTTCCAGAGTGGAGCCACGCTGCCCTCACCCCGGGGCTCCTGGCCTTGCAGGGAGATGGTGGTGCTGACAGGCGGCCCGATGAAGTATGTCCAAGGCCAGGTGATGCAGTGGAGTTTGAAGGAGCAGTGAGTTCGAGCCGGGGCCTGTGACTTGGGGGAGGCGGCAGCCGCTCCTGAAGCCCTGGGATGAAGAGCACGTGGAGACAACATGGGCAGAGGAGTGGGAACCAGGAAGAGAAGCAGCTTGGAGAACCATCAAAGCTTCTATGAGGTGGTGCAAAGCCACAGTGAGCAGAGGTGCCCTCATCTGGATAGAAACACAAAAGGAGAAACAGGTTTGGTGAGTGTGTGCATTGGTGTGTATGTTCGTGTATGCCAATGCTATGCATCTCTGTATGTATATGTGCTGTGTCCATGGCTGTGTGTGTATGCACACGAGCATGCATGTGCTGTGTGTTCATGTGCATGTGTGTGCATGTGAGCATGTGTGTTGTGTCCATGTGCATGTGTGTGCACGTGAGCATGTGTGTGCTGTGTGTTCATGTGCATGTGGGTGCACGTGAGCATGTGTGTGCTGTGTCCATGGGTGTGTGGGTGTGCACACGAGCTTGTGTGTGCTGTGTCCATGTGCATGTGTGTCCATGTGAGCATGTGTGTTGTGTCCATGTGCGTGTGTGTGCATGAGCATGTGTGTGATGTATATGTGTACATGTGTGTCCACATGAGCATATGTGTCCTGTGTGTGTGCATGTGTGTGCTGTATGTGTGCATGTGAGCCTATGTGTGTGTTCTGTGTCCATGTGCATGTGTGTGGATGAGGGAGGGAGAATTTTAGGTCTGTTATAGAGATATCCAGTTAAGCGATGTGAAAAAAACAACAACCAGGTCTAAAGTTTGAGACTGGAGATGGAAATTTCACTAAAGTTCTAGGCCGAGTGGGATGACTGCATAAAATGAGAAGAGGCTGGGCAGGAACCTCACATTTGGAGACATTAAAGTGGAAAATTCAACAGAAGCACCAGGACAGGGGTCAGGGTACCAAGCAGGAATCTCAGGGGGCACCCTTGAGACTCAGTTATAGGATCCTGGTACCCACTTAGATGGAGATTATAAAAGGGCCTAGAAACGTAATATTTGAAGAGGATTTTGTCAGGAGACATTTTAGCAAACTGTGATTTTCTAAGAGGAAGGCGTAGGGACTGCTTGTCCTTCATCTGATAATCAACAGAGTCTTCATCACAACCTCTAAACCAGATACATACAATCTCATTTTGTCCTTTAAGAAGATAATGTGTGACCCTGGCCTGAGAATGAATGGTAAAAGCTTTTCTGTGGCTGAAAATCTGCAAGAAGCATAGGAAACTCCAAACGCTTGAGAGAAGCTCAGGATCCCCTTGAAAAAAGCAAGCTTGCATTTCCCATGCAAGTGGTAAGGGTGTAAGTTAGTGAAGGAGACAGGGGAGGCAGTCTTTGGAAAACTTAGAACAGTTTCCAATCAAAGGTTAATCACAGATTAAGGAAATCAGACATCATCCCTGAAAAAATTATCCAAAGAGGCAAAATCTTTAATTTAAGAATAATTAAAATGTCTAAATAGCTTTTTTTGAGCATCTGGTTCCACTAAGATGGAGCAGCCCTTCCTCTCAGGCCCAGTGTTAGGACTAAAGCCCTGGGCACAACACAGGAAATACAGAGAGAAGACTCTGGAATAAGGAGAGGAGCTGGACAGATGAGGTCCCCAGGGCTTGAGGGTGGCCTGGGGCAGATCCCCAGCGTGTCCTAGTCCAGGAACTGCAGAAACCTCCAAGCTGGAGCCGCCAATAGGCACAGAAAGAAAATCCAGGAGAAGGCTATTTCCTATGACAGGGAGAAGGCCGGGGAGAAGGGCGGCCCCAGAGAACAGAAAGGTGTGTCAGCAACACCCATTCTGCTCTACCAAACACCCATGGAACACACAGGCCCCCCACAGCGTCACAGGCTGACCAGACACTGAACCTCCACAGCACTCTCAGAGGTGATGGTGCAACTCCGCTGACGTCCCAACCGTGGCACTGAGTAGGGGTTGGAACTGCCGTGCCCAGCTTGCCCTCCCATCCACCTTCCTGGTGTCACCTGCAGCCAGGAGCTGAGCCAGCACCTCTGCTCAGAGGCCATGAGCTATACGAGTTGCTGCCCACCTTCCCTGGAAGGCATCAGTAGGACCAACAGGAAACTGAATGCCCCCCTCAGCTCATCTGCAGTGAGGCAGTGTGAGCTGGTCCCCCACAGTGGCCAGAGAGGTGTCAGGACTCAGGAGGGGGCTTGCAGAAAGCTGAACGCACCCACCCACACCTCACCAGGAAGACTGCCTGCTAAGACACGTTCCTAAGTAGGATCCAGAGTCTCAAATGTCATCAAAATGGCCAGGATCCAATCAACTCACTCATCACAGGAAGATGCAGAAAAAAGTCACAATGCAGATGAGAGGACAATTGACAGACACCAACACTGAAATGAACCAGTGCTGAAATGTCTGACAAAGACTTTAAAGCAACCATCATAAAATGCTTCCGTAGCAATTATACATTCTCTTGAAACAAGTGAAAAATGGAAAATCTCAGCAAAGAAATAGATCCTATAAAAAAGGACCAAGTGAAGATGATAGAATCAAAAAAGGCAATAACTAAAACGTAAAACTTGCTGAGTTGGCTCAGTGGAGTGAAAACGGCAGAGGAGAGAATATATGTATTTGAGGACAGAACACTAGCATATACCCAACCTGCACAATGGACGGGAAAAAAGATTGAAAGAAATAAAAGCGCCGTCAGGGACCTGCGGGACGAGAAATGAAGAGCCGACATTCTTGCCCTCAGAGTCCCAGAAGGAAAGGAGAGAGCGTGAACTAAAACACCTTTCATGGATGGACTTCCCAAATCCTGCAAATAAATAAACAAATAAATAATTCAAGATAGTGAGTGAATCCAAAATTGGACAAATCCAAAGAAATCCATGACAAGATACATAATAATTAAACTTCTAAAAATTAAAAACAGAGAAAACATTCTTAAAAGCAGCCAGAAATGACACTTTACTTACAGGGAAATGACAATTCCCATGACAGGTTATTTCTCATCTGAAACCACTTCAGAGCCACAGAAAGAAGGAGAAAGCCAGAGCCACAGAAGGAAGCAGAAAGCCAGAGGAAGTAGCAGAACATTTCCTAAGCACCAAAGAAAAAATCTGTCAACCATACATTTTTATATCCTTCAAAAATCTCTTTCAGGAATCAGGGAAAATAAAGACATTTTAAGAGGAAGAAAAGCTTGTCACTAGCAAAAATACCTTTAAATAATGAAGGAATTTCTATAAATAAGAAGAGGTCGGGCACAGTGGCTCACGCCTGTAATCCCAGCACTTTGGGAGGCCAAGGCGGGTGGATCACGAGGTCAGGAGTTTGAGACCAGCCTGGCCAACATGGTGAAACCCATCACTACTAAAAATACAAAAAAAAATTAGCCAAGCATGATGGCACGCACCTCTAATCCCAGCTACTCTGGAGGCTGAGGCAGGAGAATTGCTTAAACCTGGGAGGCAGAGGTTGCAGTGAGCTGAGATCACACCATTGCATTCTAGCCTGGGCAACAGAGAAAGACTCCATCTCGGAAAAAAAAAAAAAAAAAAAGAAGAGATTACAGAAGAATGGTTGGAACTTCAGATAGGAAGGGTAAGCATTGAAATGGGTAAAAAATTGGTAAATATAGTATAATGCCTTCCCGTGAATTTCTTAAATCATATTTGATGGTTGAAGCAAAAATTATAAAACACTAAGTCATGTGCTGATCACTGCATGTACAGGAGATATTTAAGACAATTATATTTTTAAAAGTAGGGAGGATAATGGAATCTAAGTGAAAGTAAGTTTGCTATACCTTACTCAAAGTAGTAAAGCATCAATACCAGGAGGCTGTGATAACCTACGCATGTGTATTACAATAGCTGGAGCAACTGCTAGTTAAATTATACAAGGCAATATGTTTGAAAACATGACAAACCCCTCAAGATGTATGCTTTAAAAGTTTTCACAGGAAAACAAGAAAAGAGAACAGAAGAATGAGAAACAGAGGTTACAAACAGAAAACAGGCAATAAAATGGAAAACTTGCATCTGAATACATCACTAATTACCATAAATGCAAATGATCTAAATACACCAATTAAAAGGCAGCGATTAGCAGAATAGGTTAGAAGAAAAGAAAACATTATCCAACAGTAGCCTGTGTATAAGAAACTCACTTCAAATATAGCATCAGGTAGTTTTTTAAAGTAAAAGAATATATATATATAGCAAACAATTTTTTTAAAAGCAGGAATGGTTATATTAATATTAGACAAAATAGACTTCCAAGCAAAAAAAAATTATTAGAACCAAGAAGGGATATTACATTTGAGAAAAGGATGAATCAGTCAGGAAAAAAATAACAATCCTAAATGTGTATACTCCAAAAAACAAATGAAAATTAGAAGGCCAATATATCAAATATATGGGGTACAGTTAAAGCCGTGCTGACAGGAAAATTCATAGCACTAATTGCTTACATTTTTTAAAGAATAAAAATCTCAATAATCTAAGTTCCAACCTCAAGAACTAGAAAAAGAAGAGAAAAATTAACTAAAGCAAGTAGAAGAAGGGAAATAATAAAGAAAATCAAAAATCATTGAGATTGAGAACAAGAAAGCAATAGAGAAAATCAATAAAACAAAATGGCTGATTCTTCAAATCAATAATTATAACTTCTCGAAATATTTACAAACTTAAAAAGTCAGAAGACAAATCACCAGTGTCAAGAATGAAACAGGGATTTCACTGCAGTTCCCGCAGCTATTGAAATGGTAAGAGAATATTACAGGCAACTTTACGGTCACAAATTCAGCAACTTAGAAAACACAAACCAGCCCATTAAAGCCCAAAATATACCAAAACGCTACCAAAATAAATGAGATCATCTGAAGATTCTATAAGCATTACAGAAATTGAATTTGTAACTTAAAAGTTTTCAAAAAATAAATCCCAAGGCCTAGATTGTTTCAATGAAGACTTCTACCAAATGTTTAATATTGATTCTTTATCATCTCTCTCAGAACATAGAAGAGGAGGAAACACTTTTCAACATGTTTTATGAGGCAAGTTTTACCCTGAACCAAACCCAGACAAAAGGGAAAACTATAGGCCAATGTATCGAATGAATCTAGATGCAGAAGTCCTCTTATTAATATTAGCAAATTGATTCCAATAACATATTAAGAGACTTATACACTGCTGCCAAATTAAATTGATTCCAGATATTCTAGGATTGTTCAATATTTCTAACTCTACCAAAGAAATCCGCTATAACAATCTAAAAGTGATAATACGCTCAGATCAATTGATGCAGAAAAAGAATTAGACAAAATCCAACACCCATTTATGTTGAGAAAAAAAAAAAAAACTCTCGCTAAAAATAGAGGAAAATTTCCTCAACTTGAAATAGAGCACCTACCAAAACATCCTACTGCTAACATCATAGGTGAATGACAAAGCCTTCCCTCTCCAATTGCAGGGAACAAAATACACCCACATGTGCACACACACACAGGCACAGGTGCACACACACACACGAATGCATGTAAAACTGGTGAGATCTGAATAAGGTCAGTGGATTGAGCCAGTGGCCACTTCCTGGTCATGACATTGAGCTGTGATCATGCTGGATGTTACCACTGGGGGAAACTGAGTGAAGGGTGCATGGGATCTCTCTTTATTATTTTTTTACAACTGCACAATTGTCTCAAAATAAAACGTTAGTAAAATAGCTCTTCTTTTGTAGTTTGCAAATTAAAACCAGAAACATTAAGCTATATTGATTAAATAGCAGCTATGTATTATAGTCATTAATTATAAAATTACATTTGAATGGATGTCATAAAGATTTTAATAAAATAAAACCTAACAACTCTGAGTATTTTTGTAAAACAAAGCAGTTTTTGACTAGATTAAAAATGTTCAGTGACCAAAAGAAAGCAGTGTCACAGTTAAAGCTGATAGAGTTTGAACAACATGACTAAGTGTGAGCTCTTGTAAGGCAGAGCCACATTGTACGTAAGCATTTACTTTTTAAGGTCTGGTTGTTGTAAATTTTCTACTTTCTACTTAATATTTGATGCAGTGTATACCTGCCTCAATTTCTACTTTTGTGGAAAATAAGGTAGGAAAGTTCATAGTTTTACCAATTTCAGATACAGCAAACACTTTTCTTGCCACTCCCTGATCGGTAGCTCAGCAGGGGTACTCACCTGATCCCTGGGCTGCTGCCACAAAAAGCCCCAGACAACTCCTCAGGCACAGTCGCACCCACTGGAGCCTGGTTCAGGGATGTGCCTTCTGCCGGGTCACTGGCTGAAGTGGGCGAGTCATCACCACCTTTAGCGCAGTTTGCTTATCTACAGAAAGGGCGTCATGGGGTCCTCCTCCTTCCAGGCTCATAGTGAACATTTAGTGCTCTCACCTAGACAGACCACCTAGCACAGAACCTGGAACCCCACGGTGTTAGCCGGCATTCATCCATAAAATGATTTCCAGCTAGATTTTCAGCCATGGCCTCTAGGGAACCGGAAATGTATTGATGATGAGAGTTGACGGGTGGATTCCCATTGTGTCTGTTTCAACTCCAAAGATGTAGCGGCAGATCCACAAGCAGATCAAGGGACCTCAGTCACAGGCCACTCCCTGGAGGCCACTGCCAGTGTCCCATCAGCAAGGACTCATTCTTTTGCGGGCTTCAGAGCTCAAATTCCTGCAAACATACAAATGTTTCTTAAATGTGTGTTGTGCAAATTGTCAGATTTGAAGTCAGAAACAACCGTGTTTAAATCCAAATTCCTGCCATTTCTAATTGGGTGGCCCTGCACACATTGCCTAGTCTTGACACCCCCCATTCTTCCCACTGTGAATCACATGGAGTGACTGACCTCATGGAGCAACAGCATCAGGAAGTGGCGCCTGTGAGTGTGGACCCGTAAGAGGTGGCGGAACCCATGAGTAGTGAAGGGGCCCGTGGGTGGTGGCAGAGCCCGTGAGTGGCGGCAGGACCCGTGGGTGGTGGCAGGGCCCGTGAGTGGTGGCAGGGCCCGTAAGTGGTGGCAGGACCCGTGGGTGGTGGTGAGGCCCATGTGAGTGGTGGCAGGACCCATGGGTGGTGGCAGGGCCCGTGAGTGGTGGTGGGGCCCATGAGTGGTTGCAGGACCCATGGGTGGTGGCGGGGCCCGTGAGTGGTGGCGGGGCCCGTGAGTGGTGGCAGGACCCATGGGTGGTGGTGGGGCCCCTGAGTGGTGGCGGAGCCTCTGTAGAGGGTCCCCCTCCCCCCACACCCCTGCCTACCTGTGCTGGGTAGGAGATGAGAAGGGACATTGGCCAGCAGTGTGTCTGCACGATGGGAAGCCTGGCTGACTTACCAAGTTGTAAAGCAAGTATCGGGGAACAGCAGTCTCCAGAGATGTCCTTGTCCCAGTCCTGGGAAGCTGTGAATGGTTACAGGTGAGGAGGACGGCAGTCTCCAGAGATGTCCCTGTCCCAGTCCTGGGAAGCTGTGAATGGTTACAGGTGAGGGGGACGGCAGTCTCCGGAGATGTCCCTGTCCCAGTCCTGGGAAGCTGTGAATGGTTACAGGTGAGGGGGACGGCAGTCTCCGGAGATGTCCCTGTCCCAGTCCTGGGAAGCTGTGAATGGTTACAGGTGAGGGGGACGGCAGTCTCCGGAGATGTCCCTGTCCCAGTCCTGGGAAGCTGTGAATGGTTACAGGTGAGCAGGAGTGAGCTTGCCCATCAACTAAGTTTAACTAAAGAGGTTTCCCAGGATGGACCAGGTGCTCTGACATAATGGCAGAGGTTCTGCAATGTCGGGGAGAAAGGCCAGAGAGCTGGTGGCAGGAAGTTGCTGTGTGAGAGGCCAGCCAGTGCTGCTGACTTTGGAGGTGGAAGAGGGACCAGGAGCCAAGGGGTGTGGGCAGCCACCAAAGCTGGGAAACTCAGGGATGGTTTCTGCCCTAGGGCACCCAGAAGGAACTCACCCTGCAGACACCCCACTTTTAGCCAATGAGACCCCTATTGAACATTAACCCCAGAACTGTGAAGAATAAATGTGTGTGGTTTTAAGCCACTAAGCTGCAGTGATTTGTTGTAGCATTGCTAGAAAGCCACACCAGCAAGGAGTTGGCATGGGGCATGGTGCAGGCAGCCCTGTTACTCTGGCTGAGCCTACATATGCACATCCTGTGAGAATCACATGAAAGCAAAGGGTGTGGGGCATGGAGGCTTCAGACCTGCGTCCCTGCACAAATCTCATGTCAAATTGTAATCTTCAGTGTTGGAAGTGGGATATGTTGGGAGATGATTGGAGCATGGGAGCGGATTTCCCCCTTGCTGTTCTCATGACAGTGAGTGAGTTCTCACAAGATCCATGGCTAAAGTGCGTGGCACTCCCCACCCCCCTTCATCCTGCTCAGGCCATGTAAGATGTCTGCCTCCCCTTCACCTTCCACCATAATTGAAAGTTTCCTGAGACCTCCCCAAGCAGATGTAGCACCATGCTTTCCATACAGCCTGGAGAACTGTGAGCCAATTAAGCTTATTTTCTTTAAAAATTACCCAGTTTCAGGTATTTTTTGTGGCAGTGAGAGAATGGATTAATACAGAACATAGGTGCCAAAGAGTGGAGCATTGCTATAAAGATACCTGAAAATGTGGAACCAGCTTTGGAACTGGGTAACTGGCAGAGTCTGGAAGAGTGTGAAAGGCTCGGAAGAAAACAGGGAGATGAAAGTTTGGAACTCCCTAGAGACTTGTTGAATGGTTGGACCAAAATGCTGAGAGTGATATGGACAATGAAGTTCAGGCTGAGGAGGTCTCAGATGGACATGAGGAACTTATTGGGAAGTGGAACAAAGGTCACTTTTGTTTCTTAGCAAAGCAATTAGCTGCTTTGTGACCTTGCCCTAGGAATCTGTGAACTTTGAACTTGAGAGTGTTGATTTAGGGTATCTGGCTGAAGAAATTCCTAATCAGCAAAGCTTTCAACATGTGGCCTGGATGCTTCTAATAGCCTATGTTCATATGCATGAGCAAAAATAACCTAAAACAGGAACTTATGTTTCACAGGGGAGCAGAGCCTACAAGTTTGGAAAATTTGCAGCCCAGAAATGTGTTGGAAGAGAAAAATCAATTTTCTAGGGAGGAATTCAAGCAGGCTGAAGAAATTTGCATATGTAAAGAGAAGCCAAATGTTAATTGCCAAGACAATGGGAAAAAATGCCTTGAAGCCATTCCAGAGATCTCCAGAGTACCCTACCCATCACAGTCCCAGAGGCATAGGAGAGAAAAGTGGTTTCCTGAGCCAGGACCAGGGCCCTGCTGCCCTGCACAGCCTCGGGACACTACTTCCTGTATCTCAGTCACTCCAGCTCTACCTGTGGCTAAAAGCAGACCAGGTTTAGCTCAGACCACTGCTTAAGAGGGTGCAAGTTGTAAGCCTTGGCAGCGTCCACATGATATTAAGCCTGCCATTGTGCAAAGTGCAAGAGTTGAGGTTTGGGAGCCACCACCTAGATTTCACAGGATATATGGAAAGGCCTGGATGTCCAGGCAGAAGCCTGCTGCAGGGGCAAAGCCCTCGTGGAGAACATCTGCTAGGGGAATGCAGAGGGGAAATGTGGGATTGGAGCCCCCACACAGAGTTTCCACTGGGGCAGTGCTTAGTGGAGCTGTGAGAAGAGGGCCACTGTCTTTCAGACCCCAGCATGCTAGATCCAATGACAGCTTGCACTGTGTGCCTGGAAAAGGCACAGGCACTCATAGCCAGCTCATGAAAGCAGCAAGGGGGCTGTGTCCTGCAAAGTCACAGGGGTGGAGCTGTCCAAGGCCTTGGGAGCCCATCTCTTGCCCCAGTGTGCCCTGGATGTGGCATATGGAGTCAAAGTAGATTATTTTGGAGGTTTAAGATTTAACGACTGCTCTTCTGGGTTTCAGACTTGCACGGAGCCAGTAGCCCTTTTGTTTTGGCTGATTTCTGCCTTTTGGAATGAGAATATTTACCCAACACATGTGCCTCCATTGTTTCTTGGAAGTAACTAGCTTGTTTTTTATTTTACAGGCTCATAAGCAAAAGGGACTTGCCTTGTCTCAGATGAGACTTTGGACTTGGACTTTTGAGTTAATGTTGAAATGAGTTAAGACTTTAGGGAACTGTTGAGAAGAGATCATTATATTTTGCAATGTGAGAAAGACATGAGCTTTAGGAAGAGTCAGGGGCAGCATGATATGGTTTGAATCTCTGTCTCTGCCCAAATCTCATGTCAAATTATAATCCCCAGTGTTGGAGAAGCCTGGTGGGAGGTGATTGAATCATGGGGACAGATTTCCCCCTTTGGTGCTGTTCTTGTGATAGAGTTCTCATGAGATCTGGTTGTTTAAAAGTGTGTGGGCCAGGCACAGTGGCTCATGCCTGTAATTCCAGTACTTCGGGAGGTCAAGACAGGCAGATCATGAGGTCAGGAGATCAAGACAATCCTGGATAACATGGTGAAACCCCATCTCCACTAAAAATACAAAAAAAAAAAAATAAGTAGCTGGGCATGGTGGCACATGCCTGTGGTCCCAGCTACTTGGGAGGCTGAGGCAACAGAATCACTTGAACCCAGGAGCCGGAGGTTGCAGTGAGCCGAGATCACGCCACTGCACTCCAGCCTGGGTGACAGAGTGAAACTCCCCTCAAGCTTATGGCAGCAGAGAGAAGAAGAGCCAGCATGCTGGAGAGAAGGAAGGGCCCCCTCCCCTCTAGCCCAGCTGCTAAGGGCTTGGGCCTGGGGTCAGCCCTGGTGCTACTGGCCCTCGGAGAAGCAACACCTGCCTCTGCAGGCTGTCACCACAAGGTGCAGAAAACGCAGAGTCCTGAGCTTCATGAGCACAGCCCTCTGAGGGGTTCCTGCTCCTTCAGACCCAAACCCAGCAAAGCTGAGGGCTATGAAGAGAACTCCAAAGGCATCAGAGATGGAGCCCATGGCAGAGATAGATGTCTCCATGGGACCCAGGCCATTCTTCCTAGGTACCAGCAAAGGGCACCCTCAGATTATTCTGGTAGTGATCCAGTCACGTCTGTGAGAGACAAATAGCCCAGTCGATTCAGTCAAACAGCCAATGTGATTGACTTTCTGTTGTTCACTGACTTGACCAATTATTTGACTGCAATGACCTGATTTTTTCAGAATGGCGTACGCAAAGCCGCAACCCACACAATCAGAAAGAAAGGGAGGATTGGGGAAATGAGACAGCTTGGAAATCATCACGTTCCCCACGACTGAAGAGAAAGTGGAGGGTCTGGTTCGTTCTTCTTGTTACCTCAATAACCATTACCTTTCTGCGGGCTGGTGTAGACACTATCTCAGTAAAAGTAATATTAGGCACTTAAAAAAAATGAAGCATATTTGTGACCCTTCAGATGAAGTATAGTATAAATTAAAACAAAAGTGGCTAATTTTCAGGCCTCGTGGTCAGCAGTGGGGATGGAGAGGAGCTGCCAGCCCTGCCCGCATGGCACTCTTCAGGTGGGAGGGGGGCAGTCATCGCAGGAAGCCTTGGGGATGCTGGGCATTACATTGCAAACTTTGACCAGGAACTGGGTACTCTTCCTTCATTAAAGGGTTATCTCACTGCAGTGCCAGTCAGCAAGTGAAATTACATCAGGCCTCGGCAGTAGAGCAGCCTTGTTTGGCTCAGAGCCCTGTGCTCCAGCCTCTACCCAGGGCCTTTCCTTCCAGAGGCTTGATGCAGTCTCTGCCTCCTGCACCCAGGGCTGTGCTTTTCCAATTAAGAGCAGGCGGCCCAGCAGCACCTGTAAAACAGCAACGTTGCAGAGACACACTATAACAATTCTTTGATGTACAGAGCTAATTTTAGAGCCTTTGAAATCAATTCCTATCACTGATGGGTAAAGTCAAAATGGAAGGCCGGTGAATCAGGGTGAGGTCAGACTCATGTACAGGTCTAGGTTGATTGGTTTGCAGTAAAATCCCTAAGAGCGGCTAGCTTTTAATGAACTTCTAAAAGAAGTGAGCTTGTCTTTCCCGAGAACATGGAGCAGAAAGGTGAGCCCCTCGTGTCTGCCACCTAAGTGACTCGCCAGCCCGGCTGTGTGTGGACTTGAGAAACACTCACCAGGGCCCCCCATCCCCCACCTCCCCACTAGGGAAAGAAGGGCGAAGGGCAGCCTGCACTTCCTGCTCACCAGGGCACCCCACCCCCACCTCCCCGCTAGGGAAAGGAGGGCGAAGGGTGGCCTGCACTTCCTGGTGCTTGTGAAGTTGCATGGGGAGTGAAACCTGCTGGCCACCCAGCTTCCCGAACACAGAGGACATCAGCTGGAACACGGTCATCTTCTGCCTTTAACCAGGGGACTGACCAGTGCGCAGCCAGCAGAGAACGCCATCCCAACAGGCCATGTTCCACGGTGAAGAAATATTTCCAAAGAATCTCTCACCAATCAGAGCTGTGCAGCCCAGAGTCTGGTCCAGGTAGGATTTCCACATAGGGCAGAATCGGGGATATGGTTTATGTTAAATACATGGGGGTTGAGTAAAAACATACACACCCTACACACCCTAGTCCCCTGATCCAGTCAGACTTTTTAAATTACCACACTTGCTGAGACATTCCCAGTGTCATGAATTTCACCTACACGTTTCCACGAGACACATAATGGTCCTTTCTGTTTAACTACCACATCATCACTCTTTGCTGCAAGGGAGTCTCTGTTTTGGAATTTAAATAGCATTTTGATTGAGATTCAAAACTGGGTGAGCTTAATAATGAAAGAATTGAAAAGCCCATCAGCCTCAACCTAAGAAATAATCACGGTTCTCAGTCCTGCTCAGTTTCATTCCATGACGTTCTCTGTCTTCACGTAAAACTTTCCAAACATCATCAGAGTCCACAGAACACTCTTTGGAGTCACTGATTCACGGATCATGACAATGAGCGGCTGCCCCACATGCCTTCCAGACACTGTCTTCCCAAGTACTCTCGGCAGCGGGAACCCACTTCAGCAGAGGAGATCTGGAGCTGGCTTTTGGACACAAGGGATTTTAGATGACAGAGAAACATCCAAACTGAAAGTGCCTTCTTAGCTGGAAACCCAGGACGAATGATCAGGGAGGACCTGGGGAAGGGACTCCCTCCCTGTGAAAACCCAGTAACCCTCACAGGTACCACCATTGTCAGGATGGAGCCCCATCAAGTATTAGCTTTGCTTTCTCCAAAATTCTCTGCTTCAGGTGGCCCAGCTGCTAGATGTGATGACATACATGGGGAATGTGGCCGGTCTAACATCTGATGGTCTAATGAACGGTCTCACATCTGATGGTCTAATGAACAGTTTCATGTCTGATGGTCTAATGAATGGTCTAACGTCTGATGGTATAATGAATAATCTCATGTCTGATGGTCTAACATCTAACATCTAACGTCTACCCGTCTAATGACTAAGGGTTTAACATGTAAGCATCTAACGTCTGATGGTCTAAGGTCTAACATCTAACTTCTACCTGTCTAACATCTAAGAGTTTAACATCTAAGAGTCTAACATCTGATGGTCTAATGAACGGTCTAACGTCTGATAGTCTAATGAACAGTCTCATGTCTGATGGTCTAATGAACAGTCATGTCTGATGGTCTAACATCTAACATCTAACGTCTACCCATCTAATGACTAAGGGTTTAACATCTAAGAGTCTAACATCTGATGGTCTAATGAATGGTCTAACGTCTGATGGTCTAACATCTAACATCTAACGTCTACCCGTCTAACGTCTAAGGGTTTAACATCTAAGAGTCTAACGTCTAATGGTCTAAGGTCTAACAGTCAAACATCTAATGGTCTAAGGGTCAAACAGTCTAATGTTTAACAGTCTAACATCTAACGGTCTAACAGTTTAACATCTAACAGTCTAACGTCAAAGGATTTAAAGTCTAAAGGTCTAACTTCTAATGATCTAATGTCTAAGGTGTAATATCAGTCTAATGGTCTAACATCTAACCGTCTAACACCTAATGGTCTAATGTCTAAGGGTTTAATGTCTGACAGTCTAAAGTCTAATGATCTATTAATAACATCTAACATCTAAGCGTCTGAAGTCTAATGTGTAATGGTCTAATGCCTAATGGTCTAACGTCTAAGGGTTTACCATCTACAGGTCTAATGGTCTAATGATGCAGTCCTGACTCCCCTACATGCCTGGTATGAATTGGTCATTCTTTCCACCTCCCAGAGCCTTTTCATCCCTGTGTAAGTGGGGATAACAACTCCCAACTTGAAATAACCCATGAGAAAGTGCTTGGTAAATTCTAAGGAACATGCAGAAAGCCATAGCATATACAGCTGGTGCTCAGTGGACGTATTGAGCTGCTGTCCCAGAGCCTGGCTCTGTTCCCCTTCAGTATGTAACTCATACTTCATATCTAAATTAGATTTATTTTCTCTGTGCAGTTCTAAGTTCTAGTATTTAATTTAGAAGGGGCCAAGTAGCCTGAGTGGGGGCAGGGAGGGGGTGACACTTCTCATTTAAAAATAGTTGCTAATTAATTTTTTGCACATGAAAGGGTTTTATGAAAATTGCCCAATAATTAAAACCTATGCATAATGATGAGCATAAATATTTTCAGATACAAAACTCTGGTATCCTCTCAAATCACAGAAGCACTCAGCTGTGTCAGGAAGCTACCCCTGTGAGAGAAGTTGCCAAATGATCACCCAGTGGCCACCCCCGTCCTTCCACTTGCAAAGCCTCCCCTGGGAGAACCACCACCCCTGCTTCCTCCCTGCTCAGCTTTCTCCGAACCCATTCTCCTTCCCTCCGTGCTCAGCCCTGTCTCTGTCTCTGAGCCCGTTCTCCTCCTTTCCTTCCTCCCTAGTTTGCCAAGGGGTTCTCTTTCAGGAAGTTGCTTGACTCTTCCTTCAACATGAAATCTTCTGAGGTTGGTCCTGGCCAGCAAAGCCCTTCCTTGATGCACACCCCAGGAGGCATTCAACACCCAGGGGTCCCCAGGACTCCAAGGCCAGCATTGGCTCAGGCAAGAGCCCCGTTGTGGATTCTCCTCACCTCTGCCGGCGCCTGCCTGGCCCCTCCTCCTGGCTGCCTGCATTGCTGGGTTCTGTACAAGAGGCCAGTCCCACCTGGAGGAAGCCAGGGTAGATGGAGCCAAGTGCTGAGGGAGGAGAAAGCAGCTGTTACTTCCAACTGGACGGATTCCCCAGAAAAGGAGGCCCCAGGACCATGGAGCTGAGTGGGAGCAGGAACAGAGGCAGAATCGAGGGCACTCTAGCCTGCAGATGAAGGGCCCCCGGGGTCTCCATCTGGAGGGCGAATATCTGACTTAGTCCTAAAACAACAGTGAGGGCTGCAAGATGTGTCGAGAACCGGCTGTAAATCAGGTGCAGCACACTCCCTGGCAGCCAGGTTACCTGAGCTGAGCCGACGGGCTTGGACGCGATGAGAACCACCTGCCCCACAGTCAGGCGCAGAAGAACACGTGGGGGTACTGATGTCAGCACCAGCACCTCTCAGATCACACTAAAATCCTGGGGCCATGTTGGCTCGAAGAAAGTAAGGGTTAGAATTGTGGATTCTGGGGAAGAGCCAAGTGCTGGTTTCATAAAGGTCCTCAAACTCCCGACAACCCAACAAGAAGGTGTCACAGGCTGGACTGTGTCCCCCCGAAGATGCTGAAGTCCTGACCCCCGTAAGTACGGGCGCACATGCAGTATCCAGAAATGCGATCTTTGCAAACAACCAGGTTGATACGAAATCTTTAGGACGCTAACCCTACAGGACTCCTGTCCTCACGAGAAGAGGAGAGGAGGACACGGACACAGAGGACAGCCGAGAGATGAACCAGGGAGGGAGAGACGTCTGAAAGCCCAGGAGAGAGGCCTCGGGAGGAGCCACCCTGCCCACGCCTTGATCTTGGACTTCTGCATGGAGAGCTGAGAAAGTTAGCTTCTGTTGTTTATGCTGCCTGGTCTGTGGGATGTTATGGCAAATCCTCAGGAGACTTGCACACTAGGGGCCACTGGGCTGGAGCCAGAGAACCACCTACCAGTCTATAGTTGTTCTGGAATCTAGCGAAGGACTGCCGAGTGTCAGAGGCAGAAGGGAGAGCTTGGGGTGGACTCACCGACCCAGCTGTCCTTAGAGGAGAAACTGAGGTGCGTTTGTGTCTAGCGCCCCCTGCCCAGGGACAGGCCAAATCCCAGCACCAGGCCACAGCACTCCTCTTTCAGCCTTCTTTTAGGTAATAAAATCCTTTTCAGATCATGGACTAAACAATAATAATCTTAGTCTTAGAAATGAAAAACCTTTGCTAAAAGAGGTTTTCTTCTTGATAAGGAGTGAGGCTTTTAAATTTCATTTCTGATGCACCAACATTTTGAGACATCAAAACTAAGGGGAAGGGAGTGAAGAAAAACTCACTGGGCAGTGATTAGATACATCTAATAGTCAAGGCTGGGCATGGTGGTTCACACCTGTAATCCCAGCACTTTGGGAGGCCAAGGCAGGAGAATCACTTGAGGTCAGGAGTTCGAGACCAGCCTGGCCAACATGGCGAAACCCAGTCTCTACTAAAAATACAAAAATTAGCCAGGCGTGGTGGTGGGTGCCTGTAATCCCAGCTACTCGGAGGCAGAGGCAGGAGAATCACTTGAACCTGGGAGGCAGAGGTGGCAGTGAGCCAAGATCTCACCATTGCACTCCAGCCTAGGCAACAGAGCGAGATTCTGTCTCAAAAAAATAAATACGTAAAAATAAAAATAAACATCTAATAGTCAAATAAATGCTCTAGTTTGGACATAGTTGTTGGTTATCCTGTAATAAAATCATAACCTAAGGTAGGCTTAATAGTTGAGAACGAATAGAAGAAACTGACATATGCAAATGAGGATAAGGGCAGGAATTTAACACATGAAGATGTCCTGAAAGTGAAGGGATTAAAGCAATAAGCTAAAACCAAACACAGTGGAAATGAAAGCAACACATTACCGTTTGATCGACTTTGGGGAATACAATGAAAATGAAAGCAACATGTTACCATTTGATTATTTTTGGGGAATAACCTGCAACGCCAAAAATCCAAGGAGGAAGGGCGCGGGCTGCACCTGTCGGGCTCAGCGGGCTCAGCAGGCTCACGGTTCACCAATGTATGCCTGCATGGCAGAGCCCTTCAAGGGGAGAGAGATTCCACCTTCCAAAGACAAATGGAAATGAAGAGCTGTGTAATTATTAGTTTTGTTGCAAGCAGATCAATCATTTGCGATGAACAACTCTGCGGTCACATCTGATCTTTCAGCAGACCAGGGCCCGCAGTGCGACTTGGGCAGCACGGCCCATGCTGGCTGGATTACAGCAGGCTTGGCAGCGGGGAGGTGGGCCTGCATCCGTGTCATCCGGACTCTTGTAATTATGACAGATGATTAAATGTGTTATTTTCAGCAAAGCAATGGCAGCTGGAATGGGAACTCAGGGCTGGAAAGAGGCAAGGCTGTGGCTTGGAAGGCTCTTCCGTTGCTGACGCGCACAGACTGAGTACCGCGGCGCCCCAGGTGGCTGGGTGCCCGACGCCTCTCACTCTGCCCATCAGCTCCCGGCTGCGTTTCGAAGCCCGCCCCACCCTCAGCAAAGCGGCCGGGGTGTGCCAGAGAGACTGCAGGCACAAAGATGCTTCTAGCCAAGGTGCAGAGGTCAGCCCAAACCCCGAACTGTCTTCAATGATGCTGTCAGAAAGGATGCAGGGGCCCAGGGACAGCTCTCAGTCCAGACAACCTAGCGGGAGATGGTGTGGGCTTCCCGAAAGGGGTGGAAGCTTCTGGAGCTGCCCCCTTAGCTTCCACTCACTCCACTGACTTCAGGGCAAAGGACAAGGCCCTTAAGGCTCCCCTCAATCACAGACGCTGTCTTCCATTGGTGTCACATTATTCAGAGGCACTTTCGAAAGCAATGGGGGCGGCCTGGCCTGTGCAAGCTTCGCCTGAGAGCTGGCCACGGACCCTTGAAGCATCTGGCGTCCTCTGACAGTGTCCTTGACTCCGCCAAGGTCAGGTTTTCTCCAAATGCAGGACTTCTTGTCTTGGCAGCTGGAAGGAGAAGCCAAT
Organism: Homo sapiens; assembly: GCF_000001405.40. Lineage (NCBI taxonomy): Eukaryota > Metazoa > Chordata > Mammalia > Primates > Hominidae > Homo > Homo sapiens. Next base: position 78,583,068 of record NC_000018.10, read on the forward strand.
CTGACACTAGAAGGATCATCCTCGCGAAGGACTTTCCGCACAGGAGGCTCTGTCCGGCGGTGGCTCTCAGCCCAGGCTCGAACCAGTGGAGTCTGCTCCCACTGCTTTCGAAAGCTCCTCTGAATGATGGCATGGCACAAACAGAAGACAGAACCTACATTTTCATCAAAAGAGAGAGGATGAGGCCACCCAGGATCCTCCCAGGCCTCCTGGGCCAGTCAGGGGTGGAGCACGTTCAGCTCCCAGACCATGGGGGAACTCCCTGCAGGCCTGTGGGGTTTCCTCTCTCCAGCCTCATGCTCCTGAGGCCTGTGGGGTTTCCTCTCTCCAGCCTCGTGCTCCTGACCTTGGGGGTAGTCCCTGCAGGCCCATGGGGTTTTCTCTCTCCAGCATCGGGTTCCTGAAGCCTGTGGGGTTTTCTCTCTCCAGCCCCGTGCTCCTGAGGCCTGTGGGGTTTCCTCTCTCCAGCCCCGTGCTCCTGAGGCCTGTGGGGTTTCCTCTCTCCAGCCTCGTGCTCCTGAGGCCTGTGGGGTTTCCTCTCTCCAGCCTCGTGCTCCTGAGGCCTGTGGGGTTTTCTCTCTCCAGCCTCGTGCTCCTGAGCTGCTGTTGACTTACGCTTCTGCTCGCACACGCACAATTTAGAGCTCAGCAGCCCGACGCTGACCCCAGAACTTCTCGGTTCCCGACGTTTCTGGCCAACCTACAAGTCCACTTCAACCCAGCTCCCTCACGCCCCATCCCCACACCCTCCCGCCTTTTCTATCTATTTTTCTTCCTTAGGAGAAACATTTATGAAAATAAACAAACACCAAAGGGAAGAAAAAACAGTGGCAATGGAAGTTTCCACCGTCAAATCCCCAGCGAGCATTTCTCATCCAGCCTTGTCACCTGCCACGGGTGGGACCACCCAGAGGGCCCTGGAAGACTCACGCAGGAGGGGAGGCAGGGCCAGGCGCCCATCTCAGCTGCCAGACACAGCCGACAGCCTGGCCTTGGCTCTGGGTGGAGCGAGAGGCTTTGTTGGCACAGCTGCTCCCTCTGTCCAGGGCTGGGGCTCCCCCCTCTGCCTCTGCACTGTGGAGCATGGTGGGACGCACAAGCCAGCGCCTTGGATTGCTATGTCTCCTGAGGTCCCCTCAGGTTCTCACAATTCCCTGGGGCCCTCCTAAAGTCACTCTGGCATCGGGGAGGCCCCCAGAGACCCCCAAAGCAGCAGTTGCCCCTGTAGCCACACCAGGGCGCCCCGGGCTCCTCAGCCGGGACTTGCAAACTCCTGCAGTGGGCAGCACACCTGTGGGCAGAGGCTGCGGCGAGCAGACTGAGTCCTCTCTGAGCCTCCCTGTCTCCTCATGTTCTGAGCAGGTGTGGGCAGAGACCGCGGCGAGCAGACAGCATCCTCTCTGAGCCTCCCTGTCCTCTCTGAGCCTCCCTTTCGCCTCGTGTTCTGAGCAGGTGTGGGCAGAGGCCATGGCGAGCAGACGGCGTCTTCTCTGAGCCTCCCTGTCTCCTCCCGTTCTGAGCAGGTGTGGGCAGAGGCCGCGGTGAGCAGGTAGCCTCCTCTCTGAGCCTCCCTTTCGCCTCGTGTGCTGAGCAGGCGTGGGCAGAGGCCACAGTGAGCAGACGGCCTCCTCTCTGAGCCTCCCTGTCTCCTCGTGTTCTGAGCAGGTGTGGGCAGAGGCCGCAATGAGCAGATGGCATCCTCTCTGAGCCTCCCTGTCCTCTCTGAGCCTCCCTGTCACCTCATGTTCTGAGCAGGGGCTCCTCGGCCGTCTGTCCTCTTTGACAATCAGTGACTTGGGAGTGGGCAGCAGTCATAATACCAAGGATGGGGAGGGTGAGACAGTGACTCTGAGTCATCTCCTCTTATAAGAACCTCAGTCATCGGGGTCAGGGTCCACCGTAGACCAGCCTGACCTAGCTACAACCCCGTTCCCAAATCCTGTCACCTTCACATCTGTGGGGTAAGGACTCAACACACCTTTATGGAGGGGCACAGTTCTACCCACAGCACAGGGTTATCTCTAATGAAGAAATCATTTCTGCTTCTATAGAGATTTAAAAATAATAAAGTCTCAACGTTTGAACCCTCTTAGGTCAGGAGGAAGCCCATGCTTTCAGCCCTACCCCAAGCTTAGGAGGAATGAAGTGACCTGCTGTCCCCTTCAGAAAGAGTGACCACTGACCCCTCCTGAGATGGGAGCCGCCAACTGCCCACACCAAGGGTGGCTGAGGGACTCCACTGCTGTGGGGAGGGAAGGACACCCACAAAAGCCTGGGCGTGAGTCGAGTTTTTCTGCCACCAGCTGCGTTGCTTTCAGCCAGTCACTCGACCCCTGCAAACCCCAGTTTGTCCATCTGCACAGTGGGATAATAATGTCAGCTCCCCAGAGCGTGAGTGTTTGGAGCTGAGCACAGGCCATAATGAGGATTCCTGTGCTGGTTTTCATGATAAAGAAAGGGAATTCCGGAGTGCTCAATATTTTACATGAGTTGCAGGTGGGCCGGTAGCGGAAGTGGGCAGCTGTCCTTCAACCCAGCCATAAACTCTGTTTATTGGTGACTATTGTTCTTATTCTTCTCTGCTGAATCCAAATCACCTTTGCTCTATGGTCCATAAGATGAAAGTTTGTCTCTTTCCTCCTGCTAAGTAGCACATTTTCCTGGGATACCTTTATTAAGTTTAGGACAGGAGCATCTTTGTACTGACAGCCCAAAGGTTTTCCACATTCCTCTGCAAACTTTGGAAAGTGGCAACGAATGTGCCCAAATATGTGGGAATAATTGTGCCCATCTATGAATGCCGTGGAGAATCAGAAAGTTCCCAGCATTCCAGGAGAGGTTGCTCCTTGCTACAAAAAAAAAAAAGGAGAAGGAAGGAAGGGAGGGAGGGAGGGAGGAAGAGAGAGAGAGAAAGAGAGAGAAGGAAGGAAGGAAGGAAAAAGGAAAGAAGGAAGGAAAGAGAAAAAAGGAAAGAAGAAAGAAAGAAAAAGAAAGAAGGAAAGAAGAAAGAAAGAAGAAAGAAAAAGAAAGAAAGAGAGAGAGAGAGGAGGGAGGGAGGGAAGGAAGGAAGAAAGGAAGGAAGGAAGGAAGGAAGGAAAAGAAAAGAGAAGAGGAAGAAAGAAAGATAAAAGAAAAGATAAAGCTTTGCAGGGTAGAATGTTGATGAGGAGTCTGACAGAAAAAGCGCTCACGGGTTGTGCTCAGAGAAAGGACAGAGCCAGCACACATGGGCTGGTCAGAGGAGCCTGCAGGCACCAGGTTCCCGGGTCCCAGGTAAACAGCACAGGACCCCTGAGTGCTCCACAGAAAGGCAGGTGCTCACAGGACCTCAGGCCAGGAGTAACCTGGGAATGTGTTCTTTCCACTATCCTTTTCAAGCTGCTTCTAAATACATGCCAGTTGTGCAGATTTATTCACGACTTAGTAATTATCTAAATCAGGCCCCAAAATAGCTATTTTTATATAATTCAGAGAGTTTTCAAATAAACGTTTAAAATGTATCATGTTTTATAAAGCTGTGTGTACAGTCTCATAATTCTTAGAGAAAAATAACCTAAAACTTTTACTAAACCTGTAATTTTACAACCCACAAGGAACTAAACTTCCACCCAAATGCCGTTTATAAAACAACAGACACTTATGGGAAGATCCGAATATTCATGATCCAGATATCCGCACAGGCCCCGGCATTGTTTTGACACATTTCATACACAGGCAGAATGTACTTGGCAATGCTGCAATCAGCCCCGCCACCAGCTTGATGTTGGCAAACCCAGTGTGTTCCAGGTACAGGCTTGTGTGCAGGACGCATAATTACAAACACTAGAGACACCTGTGGCCTGGTTCAAAATTTCATCTTCACCCTTCCGTGCCATTCACTGATTTAGTAAAAGCCTTTAGCTTTCATGATAGAAAACAACGTGTGACTAAAGCTGAAAAGCAAAGATTTCAAGAAAAAGTAAATGAGATATTTTTCCCATAAAAATGAAGGCAGTTCTTAAATACTTTGAGAACTATCTCAAAATCCACAAATTCTTTTTGGATTTCTTGTACAGTGGGCAAAAGTAAGCCTATCCACCGCCCGCCCCCCCAACACCAAAAAAAAATATCTATAGTGAGTTCAGTAACTGACAGAGCTTTGAAGTGTTCGCGGCATCTTCCACCAGAGTTCACAGCTGTGGCAAACAGTCTGGTGCGGCTCTAATTTCTAATTATGACTCACAACGACTGGGGGCGGTTGTCAATGTTACTTGTCCCGTGGTGAGAAACAAAATGACTCCATGTTCTGCTGCCAACCAAATCATCCAATTCTTTAGCAAAGCTAAGAATAATCAACTAAATAACAAAAACCAACAGGAGTGATGAACATCTTAGGAATGGCTACTGACGTCCCCAGGAGGATATTCTCACGCGGAACCCAAAGCTCCAGGAATTTCTCCAGTTTTCAGAGAAGATGCTGAACTTTCCACTTCAGAGAAGTTGCTGAACTTTCCACCTTACATTTCTTCCTCGGGCTCTGACATGCACTGGGCCCAGCAAGGAGGAGTTGCCCTTCTAGAGCACACTCTGCTCCCCCCACACTCAGACACCGCATGAAGCCGTGTCCCTGCACACCCACTGGACACTGAATCAAAGAGCCTGAAGTCACACTCTGCTCCCCTGGCACTCAGATAACCTCACGGAGCCCTGTCCCTGCACACACACTGGACGCCGGATCACAGACCCTGAAATCATGCTCAGTCTTCCTCACATGAAGGACAAGTAGCTGCATCTTGAGATCCGTCCCTGTGATGGACACATGGGGTGAGCACAGGGGATATACACAGAACACTATAGCCTGAGGTCCGACCCTGTGATGAACATATGACAAGGGTACAGAAATCTGGAGCTCGAGATCCTTCCCTGTGATAGGCACATGAGGTGTGTGCAGAAGGAAGGGGGTGCCGCACCCCATCTGTAAGCAGGAGCCAAGCCACATGTTGCTGGGACTAGCAAGGGACTTGTGTTCCCATCGAAGCACAAGAAAGACAGGCTGCAACTTAGAAAGGTGACCGCTGCAGAGACCAGCCGTCCAGTTGGGGCCCACTGCTGTGGCGTCTTCCCTCATTCTTCCCTCCGCTTGGACTTGATCGATGGCCTGGACCAGCGTGAAGACCACCTGTGAGGGCTGGGGCCCCAGCCACCCAGTCAGGGGTACTTGACCCTGGAGGCCAGGGATCAAATATCAGAGTGACGTGGATTTTAGTGACTCTGTTCTGGTTCTTAAACGAAGAGAAACGGTCACAGGAGCGTGAGTGAAGCCGACTACACATCCATGTCCGAGAGCCTCCCTGAGGGCTCTCAGAGAGCTGCATCACCTGCCTGTTGGGCACCTTGTCTTGGCCTGAGACCCGCATCTTTTCATCTCAGAGGGTGAAGCATGCATACTCTCCTCAAGAAGAATTTCGGGAAGACTTTGCACTGTACTTGGGGGATTTTTCAGGGAGCTTCTCTGAGGGAGTAAAGAGTGGTCCCAGGCACTGGGTGTCATGTGTTGTCACCTGTCACCACTGCCTGCCAAGCCCCACGCTTGTCAGATGCAAGGCAGAGCAAGCTGGAGAATGAGGGACGCCTCACAAGGCTGGCAGTCACATCCCTGTGCACCCACCAGAGCCACACACACCACCATTTCTCTTTAATATGAGCAAAATCTAATACTGAGGGATTTTCTCCGGGTAGCAATGTTCTGTCAGAAAGATTCCAAAAGAATCTATGAGGCTCTCATGAAGAGTCATCTGAAGGTTGATTGTGGGGAACAAAGCTCACTCTTCAATGTGAAGACAGCTTTCGGCAAACACCCTCCTGCAGCGTTCACTGAACATGAATGTGCAGAGAGTCGTCGATACCTATAAAATATCTGCAGTAGGTTTTGCCTTCACTGCCCAGCATTTCTGAAGACATTGGTGGTAAATTTGCAGTGAGGTTTGGAACACACACGCCTATCCTTTGCTGACTTATGTACCGCCTCTTCGTGCCCAAAAAAACCATTTTAAAATGTATTCCTTGCTTTGCTTTCAGGAATTTGTTAATTTGGGCCTTTTAACATAGGGTATCGCATTACACTAAAACCTGACCTTCCCTGGCAGGAGGTATCATAAAAGTTATACAAAAGAGCTCCATTCACAAGGATGTTGGTGGTGCAGTCAGTCTGAATAATCAGACCTTACTTAAAAGTAAGGGAACACAGAACCCATTCTCCTAGCCATTCATTTTAAAATTAGAGTCTTTCAACTGCTTTATACAACAGGCCACACAGCGTGGTCAGGTAATAAAAGTAACAAGCCAACATGAAAATAAATAAATAAGAAAGCATTAAGGAGGAAAGACTAGGAGGATAATCCAAAGGGTTACACATCTGTGGTTGTTATAAGGAATTATTTAAGTTATCATTTTCACCAAAGCTGTTCTAGCTCAGTAAAAATTCCCCTTATGGTGGGAGTGCAGCAATGCATGTCTGTTGCTCTTGCTGTAAAGTTTAGTTAGAACAGAATAGCTTGTGTTTGGGCCTCACCTCGTGTTTGTGGACATCTGAAGTTAAGAAAAGCATTCGTCTTTCGGGCAATCAGAGCCCAAAGTCCCAAACTGTGTGAATATTAGTTAATGAAGATGCTAATGTTGCTGTCATTTGCCACCGAAGTGATAAATAGGCACTGCAGACTTGGATGCAGACACACAAGGGTTCCCGCCCAATCTGTGTTAACATAAACTGGGTGTGCAGGAGGTGAAAATGAGAAAACAGAGATGTCAGCTTGAGCTCGCTGGTGGGAACCTGAGCCAGGCCAGTTCCAGGACCTGTAAGGATGGTCAACATCACTTCTGATTTGTGGGCCGGGTATTGGGAAAGCAACACCGATTTGAGCTTCAATAAGACCATACCATGAAGCCACAGATAAACATATATCTGCACACTATCACTCTACATGAGCAGTCACAAACTATAGCTGGGCGCTACAAGAATTTCCATCCATTCTACTGAAAGGACAGGCACCATTGGATCAGAGGACGGAGCTGTGGCAATGACGTCACTCTGCAGAGCTGATCTCTGCCTTCTTTGCACTGTCTACCTCCTCAGGCAGAGTCTCCCATCCCATGGAAGCTGAAATTTTATCAGTTTAACAGCCTGTGCCCCAACAGTTTTAACAGAGGCCAGCTGACTCCTGCTAGCTTAGACGGGGCCACTGCCCATCCCTGAGCTGATGGCCATGACATCTCAGTGCAGGCCGGGTTCTGTGCTCCCTACTGGAGGTAGGCAAGAAGTCAGCCACACCAACGCCTCACAAACTCATGATGCCAGGTAAAAGGGCAAAATAAGGACGTCTGAAAATCCTGTCATGCATTAAAGCAATGAAAAAGTGGCAAAATGATCAGCATTTTCAGAACTCAGGGAATTAACCAAAAATTTGCAGCAATCCAGGGATCTTTTTTTTTTTTTTCCAGGAAAAATGACTGAAAAGAACATGACTGTAAGAACAGTGAGCACACTGGAATTTTAACGTGGCTTCCTCCCACCCTTCCTTTCCAGCTGTGCAGCACACCTGAAAGTCAGAATCCAGCAGTCATGGTGAAACCCGGCAATCGGGCAGGCATGGGAGGGGCAGATTCCCAGAGAATCCCGAGTACTCAACCTGCCTGTTGGGTCCCAGAAGGACCCCATTTGCAAGGCTGTCTTCGTCTGACCCGACTCACAGCCCATCCAGTATGAAAAGCCTTCTCCACTGCAAGTGTCCATTTGGTTTCTCTTTGCGACACTTCTCCTCCCCTGTCTGATTTAAAGGATAACTGCATAAAGCAATACTTAGAAATATATGTTAATGGGCACACAATATATAAATGTGTAATTTATATGATGATAACCACACAAAGGAATGGAGAGGGCGTGGAGCTATATGAAAGCACAGTTTCTGTACACTATTGAAAGTAAATTAGTATTATATATTCAATGTCATTTTTGTTTCTGTGTTTCTACTTTACTGCCTTCTTTGAGGTTGAATAGATATGTCTGTGTATCGTTATAATTCCTTCACCTTTTCTTTTCCTTTTTAAAGTTATTTTCTTATTGGTTGCCCTAGGGACTTTAATTAGTATCTTAGCTAATGAAAATGTAGTTTAGGTTAGTACAAGCTCAATTTCAATAGTAAACAAATATTAACCCAAACTAGATTAAACATATAGAAACAAATATTAAAATGACATACATAGAGCTAAACTTGTCAGTAACTGAATTAAATGTAAATAGACAAAGCACTCTAATTAAAGGCAGTTTGGCAGAATGGATTTTAAAAAGAGGCCAGGCGCGGTGGTTCACGCCTGTAATCCCAGCACTTTGGGAGGCCGAGGTGGGCGGATCACGAGGTCAGGAGATCGAGACCATCCTGGCTAACACAGTGAAACCCCGTCTCTACAAAAATACAAAAAAATTAAACAGGTGTGGTGGTGGGCACCTGTAGTCCCAGCTACTTGGGAGGCTGAGGCAGGAGAATGGCATGAACCTGGGAGGCAGAGCTTGCAGTGAGCCAAGATGGTGCCACTGCACTCCAGCCTGGGCGACGGAGTGAGACTCCTTCTCAAAAAAAAAAAAAAAGAAAGATCCAACCACATACTGTCTACAGAAGACACACTTTAGATTCAAAGACACAAATAAGTTGAAAGTAAAAGGATAAAAATAAATGTTGCTTGCAAAGAATAACCATAAATAAAAGAGCTGGGGTGACTCCATAAATATCACACAAAATAGACTCTCAAACAAATGTTGTCACTAGAATAAAAAAGGATATTCTGTAATTATAAAAGAGTCAGTTCATAAAAAAGTATAACATTTGGCCAGGCATGGTGGCTCATGCCTGTAATCCCAGCACTTTGGGAGGCCAAGGTGGGTGGATCACCTGAGGTCAGGAGTTTGAGACCAGCCTGGCAAACATGGTAACATCCCATCTCTACTAAAAACACACACAAAAAAAAGTATAACATTTGTAAACATATATGCACCTAACAACAGAGCCCCAGGATATATGAAGTAAAACTGACAGAATTGGAGGGAGAGACAGAAAATTTTACATTAATAATTGGAGACTTCAGCCTAACTTTCAATAACAGCTATAACTAGACAGAAGATCAATAAGGAAATAGAGGACTTGAACAACACTATAAACTAATTAGACCTAACAGACATATATGTAACACTCCACCCACAAGAGCGGAATACTCATTCCTTTCAAGCACACTTGGGGCACTTTCCAGGATAGGTCATGTTCAACCATTAAGCAAGTCTCAGTCAATTTAAAAGGTCTGAAATCCTACAAAGTATATTATCTAAGTACAATGGAATAAAATTAGAAATCAAAAATATGTGGGAAATTTATACTAGAAGGAAATTAAACAATAGACCCCCAAATAACAATGGGTCAAAGGAGAAATCACAATGAAAAATTAGAAAATACTGTGAAGTGAATGAAAATGAAAATACAACATATGAATATTATTGACTGCAGTGAAAGCAGTGATTCGAAATTTAAAGCTATAAGTGTGTACTTTTTTTTTATTTTTCATATCTCCATCTCTAGGACATCTGTAATCTCTTTAATTTCTATTCGACAATATAAGTGTGTACTTTTAAAGAAAACTGAAATCAACAACTTTATCTTTTGTATTAAGAACCTAATAAAAGAAGAAGAAAATAAACTCAAAGTAAACAGAAAGAATAATAAAAATAGTAGTGAAAATGAACTAGAGAACAGAAAAACAACAGAGAAAATTTTTAAATTATGAAAATTCTTTCAAAGATCAATCAAACTGACAAAACTTAAGCAAGACTGGCAAAGAAAAAAAAGAGAGAAGACCTAAATTACTAAAATCAGTAATAAAAGAGGGGACATTACTGTCTACCTTACAGAAATAAAAAGGATTATAAGGGAATACTATAAACAATTGCATGCCAAAAAAAAGCCTGTATGAAATCGAAAAATTCCTAGAAAGATATGAAGTACTCTAGAAGAAATTGAAAATATGATTCCAGAAGGAATTAAAAATCTAAATAGACCTATAACAATAAGTAAAGTTATTGAACTCATAGTGATAATTTTAAAAAATAAAAAATAAAACTAACTAAAAACTTCTCCACAGAGAAAAGCCCAAAGCCAGATGGCTTACTGGTAGAATCTACTAAATATTTAAAGAAGAATTAACACTAATTCTTTATGGAGAGAGAGAGAGAGAGACAAGTGTAATGAACTCTTACAATTTTATGTTAACTTGGTTTTAGCCATTTTGGTTTTTGCTATCTAGCTCAAATAACAGGTTCTCATTTTCACTTCTGTGGCTGAGGCAAGATACCCCTCACCCAACACCCACACACAGCCTCAGAGCCAGCAGGACCTCAAGATAACACCTCCTCATGGGAAAGGATTTCCACAGTTGTTTGCTTTGAACTGTCCAATTGCTACCCTGCCTCCCAAATGCCTAAGTTCTCCACCTTGAACCTCACTAAAGGCAAGGGCCCCAGATTCACACTTCCCCTGCCTGCACTCCCTGACCCCATTTGTGGGGTCTCCAGGTATGCCACGCACCCCTCAGGACCTGTGAGGAATAAAATATTTATTTCCATTCTATGTACCTGCTAATCATTAAAAGTGTGCTCTCCACTATAAAAGTCCTACAGTAAAACAAGGAGTGGAAAATTTCAACCCATTCTGTAAGTCCAGTATTACCCTGATTCTAAAAGCAGATAAAGACATTACGAGAAAGGATAACTACAAACCAGTGCCCATGATGAATATAAATGGATTATCAAAAATATATATATGGCTAAACTGAATCCAGCAACATAGAAAAAAAAAGATTATGCCCATGACCAAATGGAATTTATCCCAGTAATGCAAGGTTGGTTCAACATACAAAAATCAGCCATGTAATGCACCATATTAATAGATTAAAGGACAGAGCACATGATAGATACAGACAAAGCTTTTAATAGATCTTAATAGATGCAGAAAACACATTTTACAAATCCAACATACTTTCATAGTAAAAAAAAATTCAATAAACTAGGAATCATGGGGAACTTCCTCAACCTGATAAAGGTCACCTATGAAAAACCCGCAGCTAACTTATTACTTAATGGTAAAAACTAAGCTTTCCCTCCAAGATCAGAAACAAGACAAGGATATACATGCGACCACTTCTATCTAACATTGTTCTGGAGATTACAGTCCTGGCAATTAGGCCAGGGAAAGAAACAAAAGGCATTCAGACTGGAAAGGAAGACGTACAACTACCTCTAGCTGCAGGTGATGTGATGTCATATATTGAAAGCACCAGGGAGTTGCATACATGCATACACACTATTAGTGCTAAGTTCAGCAAGCTTTCAAGAAGGGAAAGGTATACTTCAAGGATCAGACATTCAGCATAAAACAAGTATGAAGGGAGAAGAGGTGAAGAACTAAACTGGAAGGGTGCACAGTAGTCCCCAATCTTTTTGGCACCAGGGACCAGTTTTGTGGAAGATAATTTTTCCACAGACTAGGGTAGGGACAGGGGCTGCGGAGTGGAGGATGCTTTTGGGATGAAAATGTTCCATCCACCTCAGATCATCAGACATTAGATTCTCAGAAGGAGCATGCAACCTAGATCCCTGCCATGCACAGTTCACAGTAGGGTTTGCACTCCTATGAGAATCTAATCCCACCGCTGAACTGACAGGAGGCGGAGCTCAGGTGGTAAAACTTGCTCACCCACTGCTCACCTCCTGTGTATGGCCCAGTTCCTAACAGCCCATGGATGGGTACCAGTCTATGACCCAGGGATTGGGGACACCTGCTCTAGAGCCAGGACATATGGGGCCCTTGAGTCATGTTAGGACGGCACTTACCCCTCTTAGTCACCACTTTCTTATTTGTAAATGAAAACACTATTTGCATAATATGATATTCATGTATGTTAAATCTCACAATGCTATGTACACAACATGGTGCCAGGCTTCCGGTAAATTCTCAATAAATGTTAGCCCTGCTGTGATTTCTGAAATAATAAAAATGTGTTCAATTATGAAGTTCAAACTAAAAGGCAGATGGGGCTGCCTAGGGAATGGCCATTCCAAGACACCAAACTTCGCATGTTGACATCAAGTGAAAGCGTGTATGAGGATGTGATGAGAGGAATTGTTGCTAAAAATAAAGAATTCCAAACTTCTAATGAATGTATCTCATGTATGATACTATCACTTTATCTCTTTTAATTTCACAAGAACCCTAGGAGGCAGATTCTGTTAATATACTCAATTTTCAGGTGAGGAAATTCATGCTCAAAAGAGCAAGTTCTTTTTATAAAGTGTGAACCAGAGCACTTCGGTGCAATACCGCCTTTACTAAAAGATCAGGGGATAAAAATTGAAGTTGGGTGTGGTTATTTAAACATATATTACAAGCATAAGTACAAAATGCACTCCAGGGATAATAAGATGACTCAGCCACCATCCTTGCCTCAAGGGACTGTGGCTCCTAGGCTAACGAGTTCCATCAGATCTAGACATGGGCTGGGCACTTTCTTCACACTTCAGCAACAGAGCTGGAAATGTCTGGACAGCATGTGCTCACGTTGTGGCCTTTAGAACCTGGAAGCACCAGAACTGAAGCTGCTGTTCCCGGTTTGGATTTTTGAAGACACCTGTGCTGAGCACTGAATGCTAATAAACACTTAGATATAAGTTGCTGTCTATGCCAAGTTATGATTGCCAAAGTGTGGTTTTCCCATTAACTGATGCCTCATGGGCTCCTTTCCAATTGACTTCTCAGTGCAACTATCCAAACCCCTTCCCCACCTAGAAGCCTACCCATTTATAAAGATGATAGTTAAGTTGTACCTCTATAAGAATTCCCATAATACTTTCAAAACTTCGATCATTCAATGCCTGCTGACAAATGATGGAACCCAGCATGGCCTGGGTCTCCTGTGGCCAATGCAACTGCAGTGTGGGTGGAGCCCTGCTGGGAGTCTCTAAACCTCACACGCTGTGCTCAGGAGGGCAGATGACACCCCGCCATGGCACAGCTCTGGAGCTGGGCTGGAGCCCCAGTTGTCTCAGCTTTGATAAGGTTTGTCATGGCACCTGTGTGTTCTTTCAGGATTGCAGACCACTGGAGCTGATGGTGAGACTGAATGAGGAAGACACAAAGCCTTCACTTTATTTCTAACAGGGGCAGCGTCTCCTCTAGCCAATCGATTTTGGAGGTTAGAATGGTAAGCGGTGACAAGCATCAGCCTGGAATTCGACAGACTTGGAATCACTTCCTGGTGCCATTTACCAGTTGTCAGGCATCGGTTAAGTGGTTTAACTCCTCTCAACCTCCATTTCCTCACCTATAAAATAGACACCGTAATGTCTGGCACTCATGAGTCATTGTGAGGAGCTGAATTTCAACCCAATAAATATTTTTAATCTTTGAATGGTACTCATTCTTTGATAATATGTGACATAATTAAATCAATTGTTCACTTAATCAGACTGTGTCTTAGTTTTCAAACTTAGGAAAAAGAGATAACATCTTCCTACCTTAGTTGCATTGCAGAATTTGAGACTTCCCACAGGGAGATAAAAAAAGGTCACATATAAGCATCACTGAAAAGCAAGAGTGACATTGAATCATCATTGCAGTACAATTATATTTTTCCCACAAAATGACTTAAAATTGTAGTATTTATTATTATTTTTCTCAAGTGTAAATACAAGGAAATCATGCTAAATGTTACATTTAAGAAAGTGCCATAAAACAACATTAGTAGGAGTCATATGAGATAAGGGAGCAAGAGGAAGAGAGAGAGAGCTGTCACCAGCAGGAGCCATTGTGATTCGAGCTACAGAAATTTCAAAGACACTAAAGAGAAGTGAGTCAGAGCCCCGGCACTTCTAAGATGCTTTTGTGAACTGGAGCTTTCAAATAGTTTATGAGGTAATCACAGCAACCTTAAAAAATCTGGTCTAGGAGGGAGAAGGAAACAACACACCAACACTTGGAAGACAGCGGCTGTTCCATCCGTGCAAAGCAAGCTATTTAGTGATGTTCTTCTCACATTAAATGAGCCAGGAGACCACACACTTAACTATGATTTTAAAATTAATTATGCCTCACCTCATCATAGTACTTAAATTGCATTTAAGTTGTTTATTCATGCGTCGGACTTGTCAGATGAAAAATGCATTTTTGTCCTGAGGCCAACCTGCAGTGCCTGATGGTGAACGTGCCCGGTGTGATCCCAAGGCCCATGGGGAGCCTGAAAAGAGGGTGGCGAGGGGTCTTGCATGCGGTGCGACCCCCACGGTTAGAGCTCCGTCAGTTCTGCAGTGGGTGTCGATTATTTAAACGATTACACTAAAAGTAATTTCACCATCATTATACCAGATTTGCATTTTGTTTAAATAAAAATTTTTTAACTGTAAACTTTAAGATGTTAAGGAATGTAATGATTAAAAAAAACTTCAAACAGAGTAATTCAAAAATAGATCTCAATCTTTAACTGTAAGTCATCACAGCAGGTCAGTCTACAGAAAAATTCCCCAAAACTTAAACAGTGTGGAATTGAATACTTCAGTGTATTCTTCTATATAAGCTTTAAGAAAAGAAATGAGGAAACCCATGGAAAATGATACAAAATGTTAGGTTCAGAGGAAAATGTCCTATTGACCGACAAAATCCCATAAGTATAGAACCTTCTGAGTAGTTCATAATAGAGATGGGGAAATCTCTTTCTTCGCCTCTCCCCAAATTCAGGAGAAGATAAATATAGATACAGGTACATTTGCTGATTAAGAAAGATTCTTACAATGTTGAAGTCTGATGATAGCTCACCATCTTTCCCCAGTGGCAGGTTGGAAGGTGGTACCATCTTTCCCCAGTGGCAGGGTGGAAGATGGCACTATCTTTCTGTGGTGGCGGGGTGGAAGGTTTTACCATCTTTCCCCAGTGGCAGGGTGGAAGGTGGCACCATCTCTCCCAAGTGGTGGGGTGGAAGGTGGTAGCTGATGTCTAAAGTTTGTATCCTAAGGTCCCCCACAGTCTAAAGCAGTATCTTTTTCAGGCTGTGAAGGTAGGAAAGACTTCATTAATCTGATGACATGAGCAAGCCTCTCTCTCTTCTGAATGTTTTATTGTGGCTCAAATGCTTTGGCTAAAACCAAGTTCTACTTCTGGATAAGCAAGTTGCACTGTTGATCATATTTGCAGGGGTGTTTCGAAGTTATCAGAAAAGTCTTCGCATCCTAGACAAGTCAAAAGTTCACAGATTTGCGCGAGCACAGGTGTGCCTCTGCTGAAGCTGCCCTCTCCCTGTAAGCTGTTTATTCTTTGCACGGGGTACGCATCTCTACACTGGAAACAGCCAGCCCGGTCATGGGCCCAGACCACAGCATCAAACCACTGTGTTTCTTTTTCCAGTGGATGGAGAACTCTTTGAGGGTAAGGACCATGTCTTCTTTATTTAAACTCCCAGAACCTTGACTAGACCCTTCCCAACAGTTGACTCATTGCAAATATTTACTAAACAAGTGAATGAAATGAAAGGCCAGAGTTCTCATCACTCAGCCATCTTTACAGACCAGATGTCCATTGCCAGAGCAGAAACAAAATGAAAACAGATTTCCATGTCCAAAGCTGCAGACGACAACCCCTCTAGCTCTACCACCATCCCACAGAGAGAGCAGTTGGCTGATGGCTTCACCACAAGGGCCACACCCTGCAACACGGTGACCAGCGTCCAGTAGCTCAGCCTCACCTCGGTAATGAGCACCTCCCCTGAATTAAGGGGATTGTTTCCAACTCCAAACCTTGTTAAGAGAAAGAAATGCATGAGCCAGTTTGACCAACTCTCACAAGCTATGCCAGGCCAAATCTTTAGGGCAGAGAAAATGTTAGAAAGAGAAATCCATGGAGGAAGAGCATGGCGGAACGAGGTTCTGGTTCAAATCCCCAGGTCAGTGGGAGGTTCCTCTTCACCTTGTTCCTCCAGCTGCTCCTCCCAGTCTCCAGGAAAAGCTCACATGTCACCCCCACAGGGAAGAGGAGTGGCTTTCTGTGGCCTGAACCTGCACACAGCAGGGGATTTGTGAGGGTTTAACACAGGAATCACTGTAGGACAGCCACAGGGGTCATGCCAGGGAGACCCAAAGGATACCATGCCTCAGTGCTTTGAACTCCGCATGGGACATGCTCACCAAAAAATACGGATCTCAGCACATCCAAAAATATTAAAACACTTTTCTTTTTGTTTTTCCCACCCCGCCCCCCATAAGATGTTGGGCTTGAATGGCTCATGATACAATATTTACAGAAGATAAAATGATAATGATGAGGAAATCTACTTTTTTTTTTTGAGACGGAGTCTCACTCTGTCACCCAGGCTGGAGTGCAGGGGCGCGAGTTCTGCTTCCTGGGTTCATGCCTTTCTCCTGCCTCAGCCCCCCAAGTAACTGGGACTACAAGCACCTGCCACAACACCCGGCTAATTTTTTGTATTTTTAGTAGAGATGGGGTTTCACCGTGTTAGCCAGGATGGTCTCGATCTCCTGACCTCATGATCTGCCTGCCTCGGCCTCCCAAAGTGCTGGGATTACAGGCGTGAGCCACCGCACCCAGCTGAGGAAATGTACTTTCTAAAAGCTTTCCACTGGATATACTTGGCCACCAATCAACAGAAAGTCAAAGAATGGGGAACAAGGAGCATAAATATTATGAACAAGATTGTTTGTTTACTTATCTTGGGGTTATGATACTGCATCACTAATGTGATGATCTTAACAGGATCTTCAAACGTTCCGTCCTCAAAATCTCCACTCCATGAGGCTGTGCTGTAAGCCAGAGGCCATCATCCTCCCTCTTGTCCCATCTGGTCAAGCATCAACAGCTCAGCCTCCCACCGTTGTGCACCCTCACCTCCAGGGTCATCCAGATGGTCAGTAGACATGTTGCATGACCTCCTGTTCTGTGTGGGTCACTCAGGGATGCCTCCTATCTTCTTTATGGCAGCGCTGTCTTTTTCAGCTCTGCTTCTGGCCACCCAAAGCCCTCCACTCAGACTGGGCAAGCTGCCCAGGGGCACAGAGGCACACACCCACCGTCATGCCCCAGAATCCCGAATGGGTGTCCGCACCAGCTCCACTCTGAACAGACAAACACTCCTTACTCTCCTATTAAAGGGCTTGGAATATTATTTCGTACACAAGCAATAAAACATGGCTTCAATAGATTACTCAAGTTTTCAGATGCCAAGACACAGAAAAAAGGTGGAGGTTTTTAAAATTATTTAAAACATCTTTTGCTGGGCTTATTTTCTTTGCTGTTTATTTGTGTTTATCAATGATATGAAAAGAAGTCCCAGGAGAGGGGAGGAAATTCTCGTTTACATATCGACTAAACCTGCTGGAGCCTCCTATTCAACCAGCAGTGACCCTGCACCAGGGCTGAAGAGTCTGTGTGAGAGAGCGAATGTCCAAATGAGCAGGGCGGCCTCTGGGGTGGGGATGGCTCCCCCTCGATGGAAGTCCGCCTTCAGAAACAGAGCCTGATAACAATCACTTAAAATGGCCCATTAGCATTTATTAACATATTCTGTAAATGGATCCTTAGGCACATGGGGGTTGGAAGCAGCTTCATCACCTGGAAATGAGCACACGTATCATTGACGCTAGGACCACTGACAGCCAAATACGAAGCCTTTCCGGAAAACCAAACACGGTGCCTTAGAGAGACACTGCTGCCAAAACATTTGGGCTTAGAAACAGCAACAGCACATCACGGCAAGGGTAGCTGAGGCTCCATCACATACCCAGGACCAAGAGGCGTTCTTTGGGAATGCAGCAATTATTCTCGTGAATGTGCAACATGTCACAGTGTCTGAAGCTGGACAGATTTGTGTCTGTCACTGCTTTCAACTGAGGCTCACTTGGCACAGGTCTGCTGACACACCCATCTCGGAGGCAATCTAAACATAAAAACAACATGATTTAGATGTGTTCATGCATTTATTACATAGAAACAGAAGATCCCCACATCTAGCCGGGATGGCAACCATAAAAGCACTGGAGTTGACTCAAGCCATGGCTCAAACCGCAAAACACTTAGGAGCCAGGTGTCCACAGCATCAGTGGGCGCTTTAAACCCCAGCAAGTTCAGCACTTTCCCCCTTTCTAACATGACTCAGGCCTTCCCAAGGAGGATGGAGAGGGAGAAACTGAGAAACAAGAGTGTGTCCTAAATAGTCAGAGATAAAGGTGAGATTATAGCATTCCAGAAGCCACACCTTCTTCTCTTCTGTATAATCCCAAGTCTTCTAGCATGTGAGGGTTACAGGCATCCCAGCAGCACGGCACACGTGGAGGCCTCGGCTCCTGTGGCTCTCCGGAGCTGTCCATGGTTTGGGTTCAGGTGGCTTCATGTCCATCGGCGTCCGTCACGAGTTCCAGCTTGGTCTACCACCATGTGGCAGAATTCAGGCTCACAGCCCACGTGGGAAGCTGGGTTCTGAGGTCAGGCTCACAGCCCACGTGGGAAGCTGGGTTCTGAGGTCAGGCTCGCAGCCCACGTGGGAAGCTGGGTTCTGAGGTCAGGCTCGCAGCTCACGTGGGAAGCTGGGTTCTGAGGTCAGGCTCACAGCCCACGTGGGAAGCTGGGTTCTGAATTCAGGCTCACAGCCCACGTGGGAAGCTGGGTTCTGAGTTCAGGCTCACAGCTCACATGGGGAGCTGTGTTCTGTGTTGTTGAATTGCCTTGTGATTCATGAGGCATCATGGGCTCCAGTAAAGCTGGAGCGGGAACAAAGGGAGGCTTTTTGGACAGTTATTTTGTGACTGAAGAGTGGAAACTCAAAAAGAGAGAATTTGAGCTAAATTCTCCTCCTCTGTGACCCCAAGAAAGAACTCCTCCAATCCCCCACTCCTCAAGCCTGGGCTGCCACCCACACCAGTGCTCACCCCAGCAGGCTGGGCTTGTCTCATCTCTGCAGGCTCTCCAGGACGTGCCCTCGGGAGCCAGACATCCTCAAAAGGCTTTCCCAACACCTCAGAGATGGCCGTGTTGGCAGACCCTCGCCAAGTGAGCCTCGGGTGAAAGCAGTGACAGACACAAATATATATGTCCAGCTTCAGACAGTGTAACACGTTGCAAATTCATGAGAGTAATCATTGGGTTCCCAAGGAATGCCTCTTGGTCCTGGGTATGTGATGGAGCCTCGGCTACCCTTGCCATGGTGTGCTGTTGCTGTTTCTACACCCAAACGAATCTTGCTGATAAGTCTCTGGTGCGATCATCTGTAATTCAGGCTACTAGAAATATTAGAGAAAACCCGGGTCATTGGAACGGTTCATCCATGTGATGACTGCCCCTTGTGAGACCACGGGGGTGGCCTCCTGGCCCACCATAGGAGAGTCTACTTCCTAAGTGATGTGAAGCAATGATACACGTGATGTAGGTGACACCGGTTCACACAGCAGAGCCCACCGTGCATCTTTGTGCTCCCTCAGAGGCAGCAGCTGAGGCCTGAGACACACAGCGGGAGAAGGAGGGAGCCTGGGTCGTGTGCAGCCCTAAGTCCAGGGGACGGGGCCGAGGACCAAGGTCCTGCCTCCAGCCACCGCCTGAGCTCTCAGGGCGTGCACAGAGAGGCAGGTTGTGCTGTTCCAATATCTGCCTCTGCCCCTCAGGACCCTCACAGCCTCAAAAACCCAATCAAGGGATTCTTTTCTTATTTTTCGCTTCTTTGTTTTCAGTTAGCTTCCTCTGACCACCACAACTCCTGGCATGTTCTGACAAGCACATAAGAGACAAGGGTCGCACTCACACCCACGGACACACACTCGCACACAACACTAAAAGTGTCTTTGTGTATCTTTCTCTCCTGTGATCACGGCATCTGCTGTCAGTGTCTGCCCTCATAAAGTTTTTAGATCAATATTAGAGTCCAATAAGCATTCATGTCACCAATTAATCAACAAGTATCTGTAGACAGTCCGCATACCCTTTGCATTCTACCGGGCACTGTGAGAAACAGCAAAGAATTGTGCTAAATGTTTCCTGGGCCCGGAGAATTGACTGCTTGGTGAGAACACCCAGCTAACATCTGTAAACAAGTAAATGCCCACAGATCGCTGGCCTCTGTAGCTCCAGCCCCAGAGCTGCCGAGAAAGGACCCAGGGCACCAGCGTGTTCGGAGGGTGGCCCTCCTGGAAGAAGCACCTTCAGAGTTAGGCCAGAAGGAATGGGCGTGGGGAGAACTTGAGGAGAAGGACCTGCGTGTCATGAGGGAGACGCTGAGCAGGGAGCAGAGGGAGAAACAAAAACAACAGAGGACATGGCACCCATTTGTCTCAGGGAAAAACAGACGAAATAAAAGCAGCCCAAATGGAGGGATGAGGATGCATTCGGATGGGATCAGTTGGTGTCAAACTCCATTCACTGAGATGTTCTCACCCAGCATTCAGGGAAAGCAAACCTCAGTACGTGCAGAGTGACTGCACCAACAGGATTCCAAAAATACTTCACTCCCGCGGCTCTTCCTGCCAAAACCTCGAGAAAGCTGACCTCCCAGAAATGTTAGTGTTGACCATAATGAGATCAAACTCTGATTGCCCTACAGAGGGGCCCGAAGCCACGAAACATCGGTCTCTCTCTGCACGCGCTGCCCGCTGCACCTCCCTCAGACCTCCCCCAGCCCCACCTCGCCTCTCTGTGCAGGAAGCAGGCCCCGTGCTAATCATGATTGATTTACTGTGCTCTTAGAGGACTGTCTCCATCACCCCTCACACCAGTAAGCTCTAAATGACCTTGCTGAGACCACCGTTCATAGGACAGCCAGCTCCACAGCTCCCCAAGGCAGAAGGGAGCCCGCAATTGTTAATAGGCTCCACAGAAGTGTAAAGATTGCAATGAAAACGTGTAAAACCAACTCCTAATTAACTCACTTCCTCGAAGACCAGGATTTACTCCCGGCAAACCCTCACTAATGAGAATTTCAAGAGCTGAGAGAAACCAGATGTACACAATCTCCCGGACAGTGGAGGAAATCCTAGGGTGTATGGGATTTGGTATATCTTCAACCTATCATTAGTGCTGAAAGCACTCAGAGCGCTAGTCAATAAGTCATATTACCAAAATCTACGGTGTGGCCATTCTAAAGGAAAATCAATCATTTTGTCATAAATAGGCTGGTTGGGAGATTGTATTGAGTTTCTTCTCTAATGTTAAGCACGGTGTTCTATGTGGCACTCTTTTAATTAAAAACAGACAGGCTCTCAAAGCAACATCCATGTTTGCCGGCACCTGATTACATAGTAACATGCACAAATATTCGTGTTTGTTTTAGCATCGTGCTAATTTATGTTTTATGTTGTACTGATTGTCTGAATCCTACTAGTTAAACAAAAAGTACCATTACATCCTGAAGGATATTAAATTATGAGGTTGGCTACTATTATCTTCTGTGTCATAATTTAGATAAGGTATATAATTCATTCCACATCTCATATTTATAGCATGCAGTGTGTGTGTCATGCTCTGTGTTCAAACACACCTGCAAGTAAATTTAAAATACATTTTGACCGCTACCAATTTACCGTGACTGTATCCATTTTTAATAACATTCCCATAGCAGTTATAACAAATGTGATCTTCTGTTTACCCTGTGGCTGATATCAGCCATGGGGGGAGATATGAAAAGCCAGATACCGATAGCCAATATCAATATTGTGTTTCAAAAGGATAGATAGATAGATATTCATCATTACCTATGTATTTTTAAAGAAAGTTAAACTTGGAGGAGCCTGGGATGAAAAATCAGGACGTGCTGTTTTCCGAGGGTTGTGACGAAAAGTCCAAGCACGTTTTGTCTCACGTCTTCCCCCATGAAGAAGCCACAAAGCTCAATGGCTGTCCTGGTCCTTGTGGTTTTATGGTGATCTCCTGTGTTTGGTGCTTAGCTTATGCCAATAAATTATTCACTGAGACCGAGTCTTCATCGACCACCCTTTGTGCTGGTTACAGATTAGGTGTCTTTTGAAGCTGCCACCAGCCTCTTCCGCAGCCAGGACATGTGGTGGATGCTATGACTTACAGGAGGATTTCCAAAGTGGATACTGTGACTTACAGGAGGATTTCTGCAGTGCATCCTCTTCCAAACAAGCGCCGATTCAGGTTCTTTGAGCATCTGGTTCAACCACTTCTGAAAGCCAAACAGGCAAATCGGATTTAGCTCTGATGAAGCCATGTGTCTGTCCCATGGCCATTTTTTAAAATGGAGCACAGAAATAGATGAGCCATCTGGGTGCCCCGCGTTCCCCACACGAATGCCGCCCGTGGTGTCAGGGCCCGGGAACTTGTTAGGAGGCGTTTTGTCCACACACGCCCAGGTACCGGCTGGATCCCAGGCTCAGGCACGCCACTGCCAGACCCGGGAATCCATCACACGTATTGCCTCCACCTAATAAAATGAGGAGACGTACCAATTAAAAGAACATTTAATTGTTTAATGAGGTTCTCCAAGATAGGCAGAAAGATAAGCAAAGGCAAGAAATGTCCAGATAAACTAAATGCTACATTTTAAGAACTGCACGGAGACGGGGTTTGCTGCTGTTTTTCAATGAACAGCTCGCACTCAGAGACAATACTCCAGTATCTAACAATTTAATTCATTTACAGCTATGTGTAAATTCCACCAAATGAGCTGTGTGGAAGCTAGTTGTTGTTGTTGTTGTTTTTCTATGTCCTTTGTTTGATCTTAATAGGCAGCCTATCTCGTGCATTACTAAGGAGCTTGGACTCCAGTCAGGATCTCGAGGGAAGGCAAGGAGCTGTGTTCGTTCCCCCGTAGAGAAATGTCCAGCCATCCTCCCTCTGCATCCTAAGGACATGGCCCCATCCGTCGGAAAGGTGTGTGGGGGCACGCACACACCACAAACACACACAGACACACACAGACACACACACTAACACCATACACACCACACACACAAATACACACACCACACACAGCACACACACCACAAACACACACAGACACAGACACACACCACACACACTAACACCATACACACCACATACACCACACACACACCACACACACCCACATCCCACACACACACCACACACACATCATACAAACACACTCACACACACAACACACACACCACACACACCATACAAACACACACCCCACACACACTACACACACACATCACACACACACCCCCACACCCCACACACACCCGCACACCCTCCACACACACAACATACAACATACAAACACACACACCCACACACACACACCCTCACACACAGCACACACACACAGCACACACACACCATACACACACACCCACACACACCACACACACCATACACACACCTCCACACACACCACACACACCACACACGCACACCATACACACACCATACAAACACACACCACCACACACACCATACAAACACACACACCCCCCACCCCACACATGCACCACACACACCACACAAGCACACCGCACACACCATACAAACACACACACCCCCACACACACCACACACACCATACAAACACACACACCCCACACCATACACACACCCCACACACACACCCACACACCACACACATCACACACTCACACCACACACACCACACACGCACACCACATACACACCATACAAACACACACACCCCACACACACCCCACACACCATACAAACACACACACACCCACACCCCACACACACCACCCACACCATAAAAACACACACACACAAATCACACATGAATCACACACACCACACACACCAGTCACACACCACACACCACACATACCATACACACCACACACACAGACACACCACACACATCACACCACACACACACACCACATACCACACACACACTACAAACACACACCACACACCACGCACACCCGACACACACACACTCTTTCCTCTCTTCTCTGTAGGTTAGACACCTGTTCAAAGCTGAAACAAACGCAGTTCAGCAACTTGAAATGTGAAGTGTGGACTTAAAGGCTTAGTCCTTTTTCTTCATATTTGAGGGGCCCTCACCTGCCAATGCTCCCCAGAATTTCATTTAATGAGGTGCCCCCAGGTCTGCCACATCCCTTCTTCTTTTGAGAAGGTCCTGAGGTCGCTCTGTCCCTCTAAGAACAGGAGTCAGGGAAACTCCCGGGACACACCGCTCCTGCATGAAGGCGTGCAGTGGGATCCACGTGTGGGTGCAGCTTTGAGAAACGTGACAGACAGGAGTGTCCATGTGGAAATTATGAGATCATCGTGAACACACGGGAAAGAACGGACGTAAAGTTCACAGCTTTAATAATTAAATCATTTCCCTCCACCAATGCCGGTGCTGCATCTATACCGAAAAGAGGCTGAGCCTGTCTGGCTGGAAAATCAGTGCCCAGCTGCGGTTTGGAAGCTGAGCCCACAGCCCAGCCGCTTACATGCCACGATTACGTTTAGACTCACTTCCTCGGGACCTGGAAACTTAAAGCCGACCTCCAGACAACCTAGCATAACAACAAATGGAAAAATCAAAGTGCATTTGGCAGAGTGCGCTTGAAGTATTTTCTATGCACACGTTTATTCGTTGAGTTGTTTAAGCACTGGGGCTTCAGAGTGATTTTTAATGAAGAATCTGCGTGTTCGTGTCAGGAGGCCAAGGGGTGTCTCCAGAACGGGTGCTGTTCCCGGTGTGTTTGCGGTCTGCGGCTCATCTCATTCTCTTTAGAGACCCCTCCTTGTTCACTCAGGGAGGGGTTAGTTTATTTAAGCAGCACTCGCATGCCCTGGCTCCATAAGGGAGGATTTGCAGGTATTAATCCGAGCTGGGGGGTGACTCCTGCCCAGTTGAGCAAATGAGGTGAGTGGGGTGCGGGCTGGCAGGGCTTCCACGAGGCCTCCTCCCTCGCAGGGGCTGACCCGAGTCCCACTGTTGGAGCGTGGATTTCTGACAGCGAGGAAAAGTTAACCCAGCTCCCTACCCCGTCTGAATAAAGTTATTACGGCAGATCAAAGTAATTAACAGTAGCTTAGCGCCATTGATTCTGTGGACCCGCCTTGAGGTTAGGAGGCCTTTCCTGAGCAACTCACAGCAGTGCTCTGCCCGGCTCGGGAATTCTCTCCCTTGCACGTTTAGACAACGCACACGTGTGTGACAAGAAAACGCTCGCGTGCTCTGATGCGCTGTTTAAGTGGACACTCGTACCTTTTCTCTTTTTCATATTTTGCTCCTGTCCGTATTCCCACTTTACAACTTTTCTCCAGATACAGATTCAGCGATCCATACACCACACTGCTTAGCTCTTGACTGAATTCCATCTGGATCCAAGTCATCTTGTATACATTATCCATTACACTAAATTTACCCCTTTATATGGAGCCCATTTGTTTTCTAAGTGGAATGCTCTCCCAGCTGCAGTGAGTTTCTGAAGCAAAGGGCCCCATCTGATATCATCATTTTATGTTTCAGGGGCATTCAGATATGAAAGCAGTTTGCCGCATATTAACCTCAATCAGCGTTTTCAGACACATGTACTTCCTAGACTGGCTTAGTGTCTCAGAGATGACTATGATATGAATAGCAAAGGAATTACCACAAAGCTTTTCTGTTGCAATAATATATACATATTTATAATTTCATTAAACCATAGATTTAGGAAAGCCTTTAAAAACTCATTCAACTCACTTCTCCACTTGTAAGCTGATGTTTGAAAACACAGAGTAATAGCTTCCATTTATTGAGTAAGTGGTAGGAAGGAAACGTGGGATTCAGCACTTTAGGCATGGTTTCTTATACTTAGAATGGCCCTACCAGGTGGCTATGAAGACCCCACTTTACAGACGAGAAAACTGAGGCCACGGAGAAAGTGCTGGGCCCACAGCCACAGGCCAGTAGGGCAGACCCAGCATTTAGACTCCGCCTTCAGGCCAGTGTCCACACATTTAAAGCAAAATGTCTTAGCCTGTGACCTTCCTGTCACGCGCACATATGAGTAGACACATACGACTCCCACTGCGGAAGGACTGCCCCCAATGCCAAGTGCATATTGATGTGTGTGTATGCACAGTCACATACATAGGCACGTACATGACATTGTATAAAATCATATAAGGAAATGGGTAAAAACAGAGCTGTAGACACTCAGGATTTCTCTATTTAATCAGTTTTTACTGAGTTCAGTTAAATATGATGAAGATACAAGTTTTTATGACTTTTTCAGAGATGCATGTATCTGTATAGTGCATAGCTGCCTTCTAATACCTTCTAATACCATGTGTAGTAGGCAGCAATAAACCTTGCACCAGACTTTCTATAAGAAAAAGTCTAATCTAACACACTACTTTTCTTTTTTTTTATTATTATACTTTAAGTTTTAGGGTACATGTGCACAATGTGCAGTCCAACAATGATAGACTAGATTAAGAAAATGTGGCACATATACACCATGGAATACTAAGCAGCCTTAAAAAACGATGAGTTCATGTCCTTTGTAGGGACATGGATGAAGCTGGAAACCATCATTCTCAGCAAACTATCTCAAGGACAAAAAACCAAACACTGCATGTTCTCACTCATAGGTGGGAATTGAACAATGAGAACACTTGGACACAGGAAGGGGAACATCACACCCCAGGGCCTGTTGTGGGGTGGGGGGAGGGGGGAGGGATAGCATTAGGAGACATGCCTAATGTTAAATGACGAGTTAATGGGTGCAGCACACCAACATGGCACATGTATACTTTTCTTAAAGATAATAAGAAGTTGTAATATTTTCAAGTTTGAAATTCTTCTATTCTCGAAATTGAAAACAGCCCAGCCACATATCTATTCATCCCCATCCCATAATCCCCCTCCCTGTGTGTACCTGCCCCCACCCCAGGGGGAAGTCACCCTTCTACCACTCCTTCCCTAACCACCGCCCTGTTCTTTAAGCCGCTATGCAATGCAGAGACTTATTTTATACACTCTTTAAATCACGAATTAGAAAACCTATCAAGGCAATATACATGTGCCATATGAAAATGTGTCTTCCATAAAAACTCGTTCAGTAATCACCAAGACACATTGGCCATGTTGATTGTGATGACGTCTGCTTGGGCTTTTCATAACTCAAATGCCTTTCACGAAACCCGAACAAGGTCATGACACGAAGCCTGTCCTCTCCATGACCACTTGCCTGAGGCCTTGCAGCCAGGCTCAGCATAGCCCGGCGAACAGGCGTGTGCACCGCAGCCCCACGGAAGCACAGCTGGGTGTTTCTGACTCTGATCTTCCCACCCACTGACCCTTCCCAGGACACATCAGATGCTGCTGTGGGGGGAGCAACGAGCAGCCTGCCAGGAGGATGTGTGCTTAGGGCTCAACAGGCTAGCATGTTCGGATTTCTTCCTCCTGACTCTCAGGCCAAGTAAACAGTCATCCCGACTGCAGTTTGCACAACAGATCTTTGCTCCCAAAGTAGTACCCCAAAGTGTTCTTATTCCCATTTTACACATGAGGAAACTGAGGCTCTGCGTGTTCAGACTTGCTTAAAATTATCCAGCTCCTACAGAGGTAGAATTGGCATCAAAGCCCAGGCACCCCCCGCTGCAAAGCTCACGCCCAGCAGCTCCCGTGGCCAAACCAACCACTTCAGAAGCTAGAAGCATAACCTTTCTGTCCCTCCCAGAAGACCCCACTTCCTGACTGTAAAGGAATGAGGACATTTATCATATGGAGAGGCCCCCGGCAGGGAGCCGAGGCCACCAAGAGCTCCATGTCCCTAAATCTCTGGCTGTGCTCCAACTTTGGACAACGACAGGGGGGCGACAGCATCCTGGGGACAAAGGACTTCTGGAAACCCAGGGGGTCGCTCCTCTCCCCAAGTGTCAAGGCTCATTTCTACTCCATCATCTCTTGTCCTAACTTTTATGGAAGCCTGATAAACCACTTCTAAGCATGTATGTAATGTTTGCTTTCATGGGACAGTCTCAGTGAAATTCTATCTCGGTCACAAATCTCTGAGCTTTGTAAATGTCAAACAGAATCAGTTTTCTAATACTTGGTAATGGAGGCATCAAAGTTCCCCTTCTCTCTCTCTGACAGGAGCCGAGCATCTGAGGTTTCCTGCTCCTGAGAGAAAGCCCCGGCTGCCCAGGCTCAGGTGAGTTTTAGGGTCTCGGGAACCGTCCATCCCCCAGCTTCACTCACAACAGCAAGCTGGCCGGGACACCCCAACAATGCCCCCTGGCCCTCAGGGACCCTCCGTGGCCTGCTGAGCCATTAGCTACAGAGTCTTCATGGATTCACCAGTGCTGTGGCTTCGTGACACTCAGGAAACAAAACTCAGGCAAGATGATGAATTTCAGAGAGAAATTTGAGAATTTAAGGTGAAATAGTGGCACACCCTGAGGCCCTCAAACTGTGTAGGGACGGATCGCTGGGCACCAGGCCCAAGGGGCACTCCGTCCCCTGGAAGTCACCAGAAGTCCTGGGCGCCGCGGCCACTGAACTGCCTTGCGGCTTCCTGCTGGATATTTTAAGTGCATGAAAGAGGTCGGCAGACACCTTGTTTGGATTCATAAATGGGCTCCCACCTCATATTCCAGGCCTGAATTTAATTTGTTTAATATTCCCAACACTAACGATGCCTGTTTAAGACATCCTGTTAAAAGTTTGTAACATTAATTTAATGGAAAAATGCCAGTATCACTCTAAGAACTCTATTAGATTTTCTCCCTGTTAAATTAATGTTACTAACTTTTAATGGATGTTGTAATTAGATGTTATTATTCACGGGAATATTACCCAAATTAAAATCAGAACCTGAGAGAGACACAGCATAGATGTACAAGTGCATAAAGCCGTGGCATCTGGATGCTGCGCCGGCCGGCGGCGGGCCGGACGCCCGGCCTGTGCTCCCCAGAACCGGCCTCAAAGTCAGGCACTGGGGTGCTGGGCAGGGCGTGTGCAGGCACAGGCTGCAGCTCCCATTTAGGAAGGAAGTGATGGCTCCCCACACACCCTGCAGGAGGACAAGGAGCCATCTTCCAATTTCACAATCAATTTAAAGGGTCACTCTCCATCCGGCCTGATTGGGTTCGGCAGTTTGAAATTGACTGTTTGGGTTGTAAAGCTCTCCTGCCTTCCTAGCCAATTTTAAAAAGAGGTGGCTAAGCTACCAGCTTATTATGAGCTAGAGAGCAGAAACACAGGGAATGTCATGAATTTAGAGCTGCTGGGTCTGACCCTGGCCAGAGATGGGAAAACAACAAAGCCCTATTGCTTGTCTGGGGTCTCATGGACGTGCCGCCGTGCCGGGTCCTAGAGGAAAAGCTGACTCCACACCTGCTGCTGGCAAGAGGCTGGGGTGGGGACCCCAGGCTGGGCTCAGGCTTGGCAAGAGACCCACCCTCTGCACCCAGTTTTCCTCACGATGAGGTCTCAGAACCACACAGCAAACCCAGTCCATGTTTCACAGGCAATTCCCCACACTCAAGCGTTCTGTTTGGGAGAGGGACATGCAGGAGCTCATGGTTATGGGGACACTGGCTCCCCACCAAGCAGGTACATGATGTCCTCGTGAAACACAAAGTCAACACAAAGCTGGGGGACCCCAAACAGAGACCACTGATAAACCATCCACAAATACCCTAATGGCATTCGACTGTGGTTTTAAACTCAGGTCTGAAAGCGTGTGCTTTGGATTTCTGCTACCTCTGTTCCTTTCCTTCCAGGGTCTGGTGGCAGTGTCAGTCGCCGAGGGACAGAAGAGTGAGTCGGGACAATCAAAAGGAATTTACAACCCACAGATTAGGTGATAAGCCCAGAATCATTGAAGTGATGACCCCCCCACTGCGGCCTCCCTCCACACCCTGCCAGAGAAAGGACCCCTACACCACACCACACCCAGCTGGAGTCAGCTGCACTCCGGAGGCCACATGTTGTCTTGCCATGCCGCATGTGCACACCCGTCTGCCCACAGGCACAAGCCAGCCGCAGCTTCTTTCACGTTCCCAAGCCTCGCCTAAGCCCTGGCACAGAGTGGGCACGTGACCATTTTGGTGAAGGGACACGTTCATGAAGAATGGATGAGAGAAGTGTATTGTGACCACTGGACAACAGAGAGCAAAGAAAGGACTTCTTGTAGCTTGGTCCCTTCTGAGAGAACTGTTATAAAGGATTATTGAAGGTAATACTTTAAAAGGCAATCACACGTCTCCTAAATTGGAATTCCAACCAGCCATCTGAGAACTTGAGCATGGTGTCAGGAAGAGCAACGGCGACATGAGAGCTGAGAGTGGGAGAACAGTGGACTCACGGGTTGAATGGATTGTCTGGAGTGTTTGCACACTTCTTTCAACACCCAGTGCTCCAGCCCGGTGAGCTCCTGATGCGGCCTTTGTGGGTGCTCCAGGTGTCCCTCACCCCAGTCCCAACTATGCTAGGTGTAGGTGGGATACACTCCCTCACTGGGTATGGGTGGGATACACTCCCTCACTGGGTATGGGTGGGATACACTCCCTCACTGGGTATGGGTGGGATACACTCCCTCACTGGGTGTAGGTGGGATACACTCCCTCACTGGGTATGGGTGGGATACACTCCCTCACTGGGTATGGGTGGGATATACTCCCTCACTGGGTGTGGGTGGGACACACTCCCTCACTGGGTATGGGTGGGATACACTCCCTCACTGGGTGTAGGTGGGATACACTCCCTCACTGGGTATGGGTGGGATACACTCCCTCACTGGGTGTAGGTGGGATACACTCCCTCACTGGGTGTAGGTGGGATACACTCCCTCACTGGGTATGGGTGGGATACACTCCCTCACTGGGTATGGGTGGGATACACTCCCTCACTGGGTATGGGTGGGATACACTCCCTCACTGGGTATGGGTGGGATACACTCCCTCACTGGGTATGGGTGGGATACACTCCCTCACTGGGTATGGGTGGGATACACTCCCTCACTGGGTATGGGTGGGATACACTCCCTCACTGGGTATGGGTGGGACACACTCCCTCACTGGGTATGGGTGGGACACACTCCCTCACTGGGTATGGGTGGGACACACTCCCTCACTGGGTGTGGGTGG
Organism: Homo sapiens; assembly: GCF_000001405.40. NCBI lineage: Eukaryota > Metazoa > Chordata > Mammalia > Primates > Hominidae > Homo > Homo sapiens. Next base: position 78,614,216 of record NC_000018.10, read on the forward strand.
GACACACTCCCTCACTGGGTGTGGGTGGGACACACTCCCTCACTGGGTGTGGGTGGGACACACTCCCTCACTGGGTGTGGGTGGGACACACTCCCTCACTGGGTATGGGTGGGATACACTCCCTCACTGGGTATGGGTGGGATACACTCCCTCACTGGGTATGGGTGGGATACACTCCCTCACTGGGTATGGGTGGGATACACTCCCTCACTGGGTGTGGGTGGGATATACTCCCTCACTGGGTGTGGGTGGGACACACTCCCTCACTGGGTGTGGGTGGGACACAATCCTTCACTGGGTGTGGGTGGGATATACTCCCTCACTGGATGTGGGTGGGATGTACTCCCTCACTGGGTGTGGGTGGGACACAATCCTTCACTGGGTGTGGGTGGGATATACTCCCTCACTGGATGTGGGTGGGATGTACTCCCTCACTGGGTGTGGGTGGGACATAGGTGTGGGTGGGATGTAGTTGCCAGTGGGATGTAATCCCTCCTGACTCCCTCCCGAACACATTAGGTTTGCAGGTTATGATAAATGCCACCTCATTATAGTAAAGAAATGCAGAGGCCAGCCCTCTCCTAATGGTTGGAAACTGGGCTTGGTCATGATACTGGTACAATAACAAACACAAAAACCGCTGGAACAGAATAGGAAACCCAGAAATAAACCCACACACCTGCAACCATCTGATCTGCAACAAAACCAACAAAAAAGAGCAATGGGGAAAGACTCCCTCTTCAATAAATGGTGCTGGGATAGCTGACTAGCCATGTGCAGAAGAATGAAAATGGAGCCCTGTCGCTCACTGTATATGAAAATTAACTCAAGATGATGAAATATTTAAATGTAAGACCTCAAACTATGAAAATCCTATAAGAACACCTAGGAAATACTCTTCTCAACATTAGCTTTGGCAAAGAATTGTTGGCTATGTCCCCAAAAGCAATTGCAACAGAAAGAAAAATTGTCAAGTGGGACCTAATTAAACTAAAGAGCTTCTGCACAGCAAAAGAAATTATCAACAGAGTAAACAGACAGCCTACAGAATGGGGGAAAGTATTTGCAAACTATAAATCTGACAAAGGTCTAATATCCAGGATCTACAAAGAACTTAAACAAATCAAGAAGCAAAATACCAAACAATCCAATTTAAAAATAGGCAAGGGACATGAACAGACACTTCTCCAAAGAGGACACACAAGCAGCCAACAAACATATGAAAAAATTATCTACATTGCTAATCATCAGAGAAATGCAAAACAAAACCACAATGCGATATCATCTCATGCCAGTCCAAATGGTTATTATTAAAAAGTCAAAAAATTACAGAGGCTGTAGAGAAAAGGGACAATTACACAGTGTTTGTGAGAATGAAAACTAGTTCAGCCACTGTGGAAAGCAGTTTGAAGATTCCTCAAAGAACTTAAAATAGAATTACCAATTCACCCAGCATTCCCACTACTGGGTATATACTAAAGGAAAATAATTCATTCTATCATAAAGACACTTGCACTTATATGTTCATGGCAGCAGTATTCACAGCAGCAAGGACATGGAATCAACATATATACCCATCAACAGTGAACTGGATAAAGAAAACATGGTACCTATACACCATGGAATACTACACAGTCATAAAAAAGAACTAAATATACCCTTTGCAGCAACATGAAGGAATTGGAGGCCTTTATCCTAAGCAATCTAACACAAGAACAGAAAACCAAATACCACATGTTCTCACTGACCAGTGGGAACTAAACATCAGATACACACAACTGTGAAGGTGGGAACACCAGCGGGGGTCACTAGAGGGGAAGGGAGGGTGGGAGGCATGGGCTGAAAAACCAACTGTTGGGTACTACACTTACAGCCTGGGTGACAGGATCATTGGGACTCCAAGCCTCAGTATCATGCAATTTACCCCTGTAACAAATCTACACATGCACCCTTTAATCTATAGAAAAAGTTGAAATTTATTAAAAAACAGAAAGAAACAGGACTTGATATTGATGTCAAAGAGTTATAGTTTTAAGTTTATTAAGGAGCCTTGCCAAGTCTTAGTTTCTTGGCCTGTAAAATGGGATTGTTAATAACTAACCCACTAGGTATTATGGGAACAAATGAAGCTAATGTAAGATTTTAATAAATACTGGTTATTATTCGTGTTCATCAGTTACTTTGTATGTACATTTATGATTAAAGACTTAGCTATAGAGAGAAAAGCCCCAGAGCCTCAACAAGAAGTCTGAATACTTTTCAGCTACCAAAAAATACTTGGTTTCCAAACAAGTATTAATGTATTCATAAGTAGTTTTCTCTGTGTTCTGCTTACTATGTTTGAATAATGTCTTAACTGGGGTAGGAGAAGGCTACAGCAGCTATATTGTCATCTAAGTACTAAAAGCATCAGTGCTGAATAGTGTTAGGAAGGCAAGGATGGCTCAATGTGCAAACATCAATTGATGATGCAGGACCATATTAATAAAGATAAAAACAAAAACACACACACTCGTCTCAATAGACACTCATCCCAAAAGAAGCACTTGATAACATCAAACACTGTTTAATGATAAAAGCACTCAACAAACTGGAAATGGGACACAATTTTCTCAACTTGACAAAGAACATCTACAAAAACTCACAGCCTTATATCTAACGGTAAGACTAAAAGTTTTCCCCCTACATCAGAAACAAGACCAGGATGTCTGCTCTCACCACCTTCAATCAACATTGTACTAGAAGTTCTGGCCAGGGTGATTAGGTAAGAAAAAGAAATAAAAGACAGCCAGACGGGAAAACAAGTAAAGCTATTTCTATTCACATAAGGAAAATCCTGAAGATCCATACCCACACAAAAAGAACAAAAAACAATTAGAGCTAATAAGTTCAGCCAAATTTCAGGAAGGAGATAATAAATGCTCGGGTCTGGAAGTGGAGCAGAACTGCCAGTGGATACCAGGTTCATTAGGCAGCGGGTGATGAAATGTTCTGGCATTAGATAGTAGTGAAGACTGCACAATTTTGCAAATTTACTTAGTGTCACTGAATTGTACACCCTAAAAGTGTACATTTTACAGTATGTGAATTATATCTTAATTGGAAAAGAATACGCTAACATTCAGCTTCTGTTGGAATTTGTCCATTTCTAGGCGCCAAGCACTCAAGAGAGAAAGCAAAATAAAAATTGAGGAAAGAAAGCATGGTCCATTCACTTGGGAAAAGTGCTGCCTTTTCCCACACACACACACACACAGAATCCAGTTTAAGCCGATCCTACAACCTCACCCTACGTTAATGGAACCAAAAACAACTTTAATGACATCTATTGTTTGATGTTTATAAACCAATCTCTCTTAAACATAATAAAGTGTATAAAAGAGCATTCTCTTTTCTCCTTTCTAGGACAGATGATTTTACAGAATAATAATAACATGTTTCACTTCAAACATTCTGATCAGTCTGTGCAGGAATTTCCACCCGGGAAAAGCAGGCTTCATTTTTAACCATCATATCTTGATTTTCTGGTCTTATTTTTTATTGTGTTGTCTACTTCCATACAGATGCATTGGTTCACCCATCACTCGGTCATATTTACTAAGTACACATGCTGACCAATCCCCAGCACTTGCATTAAATATCTCTTGAATAAATGAGTGAACACGTGAATGAATACTCAAAACATGGAGGCCCCCAGGAGTATTTTAGGAGATTAAAAGAAAGAGCTTAAGTTGGAGCCTTCTAGTTCCTGTGTCCACCATACCAGAGGCCGACTGAGCCCACGGGCCCGTGGCTGCCCAGTGATTCCTGCACAGTGGGTAAAGCTTCCCTCTGGTGGACACTAAGATGATACATACCTGGGCCCCTGCACCGAGCTGGCCCCAGGGACCAAGTGTGGGCTGTAGGAACTCAGGGAGGGAATGGGGGAGGCTTGGGGGGGTGTGCCCACAATCATGGAGCTTCCTCACTTCCTCTGGTCCTGTTCAAGCATAATCCAGATGTCCCGCCCCATCTCGAGATGGACAGTGGGGGCCTGTCCTGGTGGGCTCATGATGGGCAGGGTGAGGACAGGGTCCCTTAGTGCCCCGGGCTCACCTACATGCCAGGGCTGACTTTGGAAGACAGATAATTCTCTGCTGCAGGTGCACAGCCTTCTTCCAGTGCCTGGGTACCTGCCTTTCCTCACCCAGGCTTGCCACAAACTCCATACCAGAGTCCCCCATGCTGCAGGTGCATGGCCTTGTTCCAATGCCTGGGTACCTGCATTTCCTCACCCAGGCTTGCCACAAACTCCATACCAGAGTCCTCCCCGATACTGCAGCACCATAAGTGGGAATGTCGACCCGCAGCCTGACCTGCTGCCAAGCCCTTCCTGCCAGGCCCACACAGTCTGCAGCTGCATTGTCAGTGAGGTTTGTAAGATGCAGCCATTCATTTCTCACCCAGAGAGAAGACTCCAGCCTACCCTGGTACAGGACTCCTAAAAAGCTTCAGCGAAGTGACAGGACTCTGAACCTTTGCAGGATTTATCTCCCACCCCCTGGGCATTTGTTTCTCACCAAGATCCCACTGTGGTGGCCTCCTCTCGTCCATCCTGTCCCATCTGGACGAAGCCATCCAGGTGATGGACCGCCATGCTGTTCCTCATCAGAGAAAGGTCCCTGGGTGACTGCACAGCCATGCCCAGGCCAGGTGCCCATCAGAGAGGTCTCTGTGTGACCCGACAGCCATGCCCAGGCCAGGTGCCCATCAGAAGGGAGGTTCCTGTGTGACTAGACAGCCATGCCCAGGCCAGGTGCCCATCAGAGAGGTCTCTATGTGACCCAATAGGCACACCCAGACCAGGTGCCAGCCTGTTCTTTGTCCCTGTTCTGGACACTGCAAGGCAGATGACATGTCCCAGCTGGTGCCAAAGCCCTAAAGTCCACTCAGCTTTTCACTTCCCCATCCGTGAAGTGCTCATGTCTGTGCTGAACTCAGGCCACCTTCCATGGGATCGCAGCAGTGTTTCCAAGCTCATCACGTCCTTGTCTGTAACCGACACTTTTCTGTGAATCTGGCCTTCATAGCATGGGGTTGAAGCCCCCGTTGGGCAGGGTTGGTGTCTGGGTACCGTTGGTCACCCCGAGCACACAGTGTAGCCTCTCATTAAGTCATCGCTGTGGGTGAGAGTGTTCCGTCAATAACTGCTGTTAAGTAAATCTTGAAAAGCATTTCTTCATCATCACCAGTAAGACTCCCAGGTACGGACCCTAATAAATGTGATACCAAAGGGAGGAAAGGGGAAGGAGAGGGCTCGCCCTTCCTCTTCCTCCATCACAGCACTGGCTCCGTGGTGGAGGCATGAAAGGAGCTCCTCGGGGGAAAGCAGAGAAGTCCAGCAGGATACTGTGGTTTCCATCTCAGTCATGCGTCTCCATGCGGCATGTGGACAAAAGGAGTAAAACTCTTCATCTCAGCCTCTCAAACGCTCTTCAGGCCATCCCAGGTTGTAAGAGAAGTCCGGAAGAAATACGTAAACAGAGGAAAACCTGGCTTCCTGTCGCTTGGAAACGAGGTGGAAAGTCACTGAGCAGTTCAGTCAACTCCGACTCCAGGAAGGGCAGTCACTGAATAAAGCCAGTGTTTAAGTGGAGAAGGAAAAAGAAGCTACCTACGTTTCCATGTGGCCACTTCTGTCGCACATTCACAAAACACTAAGCTCAGGCTCAGGGAAGGCGGCCCGCAGCGCAGCAAAGCATTCCACTCCCAGGAGCCGTCATTAGAACCCTAATCACTCAGGGGCACTTCCTGTCCCCTCCACCGCAGAGGTGTCCTACACTAATTAACACCTTACCCCTGGGACGGGAGTGCATTTAGGCCAGGATGTGGTCGTCACCTTGTAAACAGCAGCTCTCTCAGCATCATGCTGCCTGTGCCCTGGGGCCATGGAAGTCCAGGCCCTGGGAACCTGCACCTCCCAGTCGCGACCTCCAGCATCTTGGTCCTGTGGCCTCTCATCAGCGGGAGAGAGCCTCGCTCCTCAGGAAAATTTTACAAAGGATTCTAACTCTCACCTGAAGGAATCCTTAGGAAGAAAAGCAGCTGTTTCCAGTCTGCTGGAGCATGGGGAAGCCAAGGATTATGGAGATACAGGGGTTTTTTGTTTTAAACCATCCTGGACTGCAGAGTCTTCCTCTCAGGTGTTAAAGGAAGATGTCTGTCAGACCCAAGTGAACTTCGACAGTGCCTTTAGATTGCACAGCTTCCCACGCCGGGGCACATGTTCAGCACATGTGACAAACGGGGTTCAGGTTCAGGAATGAGCTGCCGCCTGGAAGTCAGCTTGGAGACAGGCCTGACTCGGAGAATCCCTGGGCTGGCTCTGCCAAGAGGGGGTGACCCATCCCCTGGTGACACTGGGACACTCCTCTTTCCCTGTGCCCCAAGGCCACACTGGGTCAGACCCAGTGGGTGGCTTTGCAGGGCCTGCAGCCTGACTGCTCCTTGGCAAACATGGTCCAAGATGCAGAGATGACATTTCTGAGAAGCTACCCAGTAAATCAAGCCTAATAACCCCCCAACCCAAGCAGCAGTCAAGCTGAAAACCAGTGACACTGGGCTTGGGGAGAACATGGAGGACTTGTTAGTTAAAAAGTGAAAACTCAAAGAACACAAGTCCATTCCACCAGGAGGAAAGATGGCTGCAGATTCCACCAAAGGAGGAACTATTAGAGCAACAAGAAATGGCCATCACCACTCAGGTCTTCCATCAGATCTGAGGGACATGGAGGAGGCCTGTTGCTGGGATGACTGTTGGGAAGGGTGAAAATGTCAAAGCCGAGGAGAAAAAAGTGAATTCCAAGCTGGACTGAATATTTGGACATCCAACAGCCTGCCTCTTTTTTTTTACTTTTTGCTAGAATTTCACAAAAGTTTAGTTTCAAACTCTCCAGGCCCCTGATTTACTCTGAACTCAACATTCAGGTTTGGTTTTCAGCCTTACCTACACCTGGAACTGTGGCTGTGGAGGGCCCTGTGCTCTTCCCACCTCCTCTTCCTGCAGTTCCCATCAGACTCACACTGCAGGCTGCACCACGTTCATGGATAGGGCACGCGCCCGAGGACATCCCGCTTGCTCCCGCCATTCTGTTTACCACAGGTGACAACCGCCATGGCTGAGAGGCAGGGAGGTCCCCCGAGGGCCAGTGTATCCCCACCTCATGGCCTCAGAGAATGGGGCATGGAAGTCCCACAGTGGAAGTCTCTCTATGAAAGTCCCTCTATGGAAGTCCCCTATGGAAGTCCTTCTATGGAAGTCCCTCTATGGAAGTCGCCTGTGGAAGTCCCAAAGTGGAAGTCCCTCTATGGAAGTCCCACAGTGGAAGTCCCTCTATGGAAGTCCCCTATGAAAGCCCCTTTATGGAAATCTCTCTATGAAAGTTTTTCTATGGAACTCCCCCTATGGAAGATCCTGTATGGAAGCCTCTCTATGGAAGTTTCTCTATGGAAGTTTCTCTATGGAAGTCCCACAGCTGAAGTCCCTTATGGAAGCCCCTCTATGGAAGTCCCTCTATGAAAGTCCCCTATGGAAGTCCCTCTATGGAAGCCCCTCTATGGAAATCTCTCTATGAAAGTCCCTCTATGGAACTCCCTCTATGGAAGATCCTCTATGGAAGTCTCTCTACGGAAGTCCTTCTATGGAAGTCCCACAGTGGAAGTCTTTCTATGAAAGTCTCTCTATGGAAGTCCCTCTATGGAAGTCCCTGTATGAAATTTCCTCTATGGGATTCCTTCTGTGGAAGTACCTCTATGGAATCTATCTATGGAAGTTCCTCTATGGGATTCCCTCTGTGGAAGTCCATCTATGAAAATTCCTCTATGGAAGTCCTCTATGGAAGTCCTCTATGGAAGGTCCTCTATGGAACTCCCTCTATTGAAGTACTCTATGGAAGTCCCTCTATGGAAGTCCCTCTATAGAATATCCTCTATGGAATTCCCTCTATGGAAGTCCCTCTATAGAGGATCCTCTATCGAAGTCTGTTTATGGAAGATCCTCCATGGAAGTCCTTCTATGGACATTCCTCTATGACGATGGTTTATTCCACGTGTCAGCTTGACCAGCACCGGGTGCCCAGGTCAAACATTGTTCTGGGTGTGTCTGTGAGGGTGTTCCTGAAACAGATTAACATCTGAATCAGTGGACCTCATCAAGTTGGCCACCCTCTGTGGAGTGGCTGGCACCTTCCAGTGCTTCGGGGCATGGACAGAACAAAAGGCGGAGGAAGGAGAAACTCCCCTTTCCTGCCTGACTGCTGGGCTGGGACCTGTGTCCTCTCCTGCCCTTGGACTAAGATTCACCCCATTGGCTCTCCTGTTCCTCAGGTCTTCAGACTGAGACTGGAACTTTTGGCTTTCCTGGGTCTCCAGGTTGCAACGGCCCATCCTGGGACTCCTCAGCCTCAACAATTTCCTAAGCCAATTCTTCGTAACTCCTGCGTGTGTGTGTGTGTGTGTGTGTGTGTGTGCATGCATGTGCATTTTCTATTGGTTCTGTTTCCCCGCCTGTCGCAGGCACCTGTTGTACCTGGATCAGGATGCAATGGAAGCAGGGTCCATGTGAGCACCAGGTCCTGGGGGTCGTTCTGCAGAGATGACACCCTCTCTGGGAGGTTAACATGCAATGGCCTCAAATGAAATAACTTTCAGGCATCGTCAAACACCACGTACCTGACAATATTAATTATTCTGACTGAAGAAGTGTCCGGGCCCCAGCAGGATGAGCAGGACGTGCTGGAAACGTAGTGCTCTGTTCTCTGCCAAACCACGGATGGAAGCAAACATCTGCAGGAAGCAAATCCGAGGAGGCCACAATGGCTTCATCCGAGTGTGGAACATGTGTTTGGAAACCTATGAAACAGAAGAGCGCAGGGCAGCTTCGTCGGAGAGTTTGAGATCAAGCACTCACTCTTCTTGAATATGTTTTCATTGGTCAATTAGTTCTGTAAGTATTTGGGGAAAGCATTTCCTCAAAGGAGGGGTGTGTGCAGGTCTGTTTGAAATTATCAGAATTCCAAATGCTTGTTCTCACATCTGAAGCCAGGGCTCTGAAGCTGGGGCTGTTTCTACACCTCAAACCACTCCCATGTCTGTACTCCCGGCTCGTTGCCAGCCAGGTGCTTGACCAAGAACACTGATGGGTTCAGAAGGAGGATGTGAGACGAGATTGGCCTGTGACTGAAACTGCTAGTGAGTCGTAATAATTAGATAAAAAGCTGGAACCACGTTTGTGAGCACTGTAAACCAAAGTAGAAATACAGGCTGATATTTTTATTTAAATCTTTCCACAGGTATATTTTTGTTAACCCCAAATTAACAGGTCTCAGTTGATGTAGAAAGTTTATTTCACCAAGGTTAAGGATGTACCCATGACACAGCCTCAGGAGATCCTAACGACATGTGCCCAAGGTGGCCGGGCCACAGCTTTGCTTTTATACATTTTCAAGAGACGTGAGACATCAATCAACATACGTAAGATGGACATTGCTTCCATCCAGAAAGAGCAACTCGAACCAAGGAGGGGCTTCCAGGTCATAGGTAGATAACAGACAAATGGTTGCATTATTTTGAGTTTCTGATTCATCGTTCGCTGATTGAACAATTTACAGGAAGAGTCACTCATGCCTTCGTCTGGCTTCAAGAAGCAATAGGGCGGAGGGAGCCCAGAAACGCGTTCATCCCATGTGACCAGAGGGACGACTGTGAGCTCTGCCTGTCCTTGGTCCACAGGAATATCCTTCGTGGTTTTGAGATCTCAAGATTTATTTTCCTTTCACATTTTAATCTGTTGTTTCAAACCATGTTCGCGAAGCACTGCAAAATGAGGCGGTGGCCGAAAGCACAGTTTGGAGTCGTGTGTGAAAGCTCATTAGACATCAGGGGCACAGGACAGCTCAAAATTCCTCGCGAAACATTTATGCTCTTTATGCTAATTATTCATGAGTGGATATTCTATCTGAATCATTACAAACTGCATCCCCCCCATCTTTAATTGGGTTTTATTAACTTGCATCTATTGTTAAACGGGAACAATAGCACAAAAAGTAGAGAGAGAGAGCCAGGGGGGATGGTGACCTCATTGTGGTGAATAATTTGAACAGGTGGGCACACTGAAATATTTACAGAGTTGCTTTGTTTGAGCCTGCATTTAAAAGTTTATCATGATCACATACTTCTGCAGAATTAGGCCTGCACATGGAGCTGGAGTTGGTCTGTAGATTTTACACAGCTAAGCACTGTGGGAGCTTCCAGATGACATGCAGGGTCGGGATGGGACGGACATGAGCCAGAGTGAGGGGTAGGGAGGAGCTCGGGCTGCAGGGCTCTGGGTGTGTTTGCTGGTTTCCCTAGTACATCAGCCTAGGTGAGAACACTGGCCTGCTCTGTTTACTGAGGTTGCTAGAGGTTATTTTGTTAGTGTACTGGGATGTCAGGGCAGGAATGACACTTTCTCGGTCTCTGTCACAGATTTCATGGTGTTAGAAGGAAAAACTGCAGACTGGTGTTAAAATTCTCTCACCTTCTACTGAAAGCAACTTCATTAAGTCACGCATCGCTGTGGCCCTGCTGAGTCAACACCCCCTGCGGGTTCTGTGCGGGGCGTGGAGGATCCAGGCAGAGTCACAGCATGGCCCCTGCCCTGCAAGAGATCACAGTGCTGTCAGGGAGGTCAGAGGGCGATGGGGCCACAGACGCCAGGGACGCCAGGGTTAGTGTTCTGTGCAGGATGGAAAGGGGAAGGGGAGAGGCAGAGACGGTCTGACACCCAGGCTCTGGGGGACGGGGGAGCGAGGCCTCCAGGGATGCACAAGATCTCTCAAACTGACCGTCCCCAACCAATACTCAGAGAAGCAGGGAGGCTGCTGTGTTTCCTGGTTTCTTTGTGTGAACAGCCCCAACTGACATCAAGTCAAGGCAGGTTCCCCTGTGCGGCAGGAACATCTGCACAGTGCAGACAGACGGCTGCGAAACAGCCATGGCCTGGAGTTGGTGTGTGTTTGTCCTTTTGCTTTTTAACTATAAAATCAGATCCAACCAATGGCATCACCAGAAGACGGGCTTCAGACTCGTAGGTGCCACTCGGTGACCAAGTACCTGCTATGAAAACACATTGATTCCCGTGACTGTCCACAAATTCTCACCAACATCTCTTCTGCTGCTCACTCAAAGATTTTTCTTCCAATTTTTATTACCAAAAAAGGGAGAAAATCACTGGCTTTTCCTTAAAAGCCTATTTCTCTAGAAAAGTTTCTCTAGTTTCTCCTCATAAAAGTCTTAAACCTTTCACTGCTGTTTCCCATCATTCCGTTGGGTTACCTCCTCTGCAATGAACTTGACGGAATGCACACAGTGACTGATCTACACACCTGGGCGCTCATCCGCCGACCTAGGGGAGCCTTCGCTCTGCCTGTGCATCCTTCATGGAACCAGCATGTAAGACTGAGCCTGGCTCAGGTCCTAGGTGCCCAGTAAAGACTTTTAGAAATATGACAACTGAGTTGGAGACCCTAATGCCACCACTTCTTGAAGCTGAGCTGTTTCCTCTGCCACAGGATGGAGAAAAGAGGGAAACCTCTAAGTGGGTCATTAGTTCCCTAAAGCTGGGAATGCTAAGCTATCTGGGAAGTTTTAAAGAGTGATATAAAGAGGCCACCAAAGCTGGCATGAAATCCAACCTGTCTGCAACACTTGGAATGTCTCTCTAAACACGGCAGAAGACCCATAACTCATGCCGGGATTTCTTTTATTTCCCCCTGAGATTACTGGTGTGGTTTAAGTAAGGAAACTGCTTACTTCCTCATTTCAATGCTAAAATGAAGAATGCTTTTGCTTGGCGAAGATCAACTGTACATTTACTTAAGATAATGTCTGATGACATCATTTCCTGTTGTTAAAATGCTACAAGTGCTTGAATCTCCTACAAAGATACAGGTTAATGGAATCAGAACAGCTGATTGACAAGTGCGGAAATCAATCGTCTGAAATGATTATTTACAAATTCAAAGTTTTAAAAGCTTTTAAAAAAGAAGATGCTTGATCTAAGCTGCATTTGTACACACAAATGATGCAGTGCCACAGAAATCAAATTGCGAGATTCTAAGCAGGAGACGTATATGTATATACACATATGTAATGTCGATACTATATATGTAACAGAACATATACAGTAGTTTATATAATATGTAATAGGTCATATAATCAAAGATGCTACTAAACTTTTCTTACAGCACACTTAATTTTTTTTTTAATATTCCACAGCAGGGTACATTGGCTCATGCCTGTAAATCCCAGACTTTGGGTGGCCAAGGTGGGCAGATCTCTTGAGCCCAGGAGTTGGAGGCCAGCCTGGGTAACATGATGAGACCCCATCTCGACAAAAAATGCAACAATTAGCTGGGCGTGGTGGCATACACCTATGGTCCCAGCTACTCCAGAGGCTGAGGTGGGAGGATCCCTTTACCCCGAAGGTTGAGGCTGTAGTCAGCTATGATTGTGCCACTGCACTCCAGCCTGGACAACAGAGCAAGATGATGTCTCAAAAAAAAAATTCCAAATTGCTCGCTTTCCGCAGAAACAAACAATGTATTACCCTTCTTAATATGAAAATCTGTCAGTGATACAATAATCTCTAATATTTAGCATTCATTATCAATGATGCTAATATTTGTGATTAACTCCCCCCTCTGAAGGTAAATCCACTTCTCTATAAGAGCAATAAAGACACCATATTCTCAACCAACTCTTTGAAATGGAAGGAAAACTCGACTAGACCTTCAGGACAAGTTCTTCACATCTGGGTGCCCAGCCACACGCAGTAAATTTTCGCTTTCACTATAAATCAAGTTAATAGTTCTCACTGTAAATGCAATACATGATTTTCCCACTTTTTAGTAGGAACTGTTTAAAATGCAATGTTTCTATGTAATCCAAAAATTTGAGTGACTTAATTTCAAAGTTACAGAAACTGCTATGCTCTCACTCTGTAATTTTTTTTAAAAAAGTTTTTGACAATAAGTAGCAGTTAAAACGAGTCAATTTAGCAGTGACAAAGAATGTTTTCCGCTATAAATGTAGTGCTTAAACAGTTATTTTAACAGTAGACTTGTCAAATTGATGTCGCTGGGCATCATAAAAACTGTCTAAAACTGTAAATTTAACTGTTAAAATGAGCATTTACACTGTTAGCTGCTAAACACTGGTTTAAACGAAGCTGTAATAAGCACAAACAATAAGAATGAGTGGAAATTATTTTCAAATGCTGATTTTTTTGTCATTTCTTGTTCCTTTCCTAAAGTGGGATGCAGGCTAATACTTGAACAGAGATGAGAATCTCTGGGAAATCGCCTGGCACGCTTTATAGTCCCTGAGCTCAGGAGGGACAGTGCCAAGTGAACCATTCGTCCCGAGGGTGGCTGCTTTCGGCCCAGGCTCCGATGCCTTGTGTGGCATGGCTTATCCAGGCATCTCACCTCCAGGACCTGCAGTGCGGTTTCTTCCTCTCTGGGACAAGCCTCATTATCTCCAAGAAAGTCACTGCATTCCGGGGGAGCAGGAGTGCGGACCTGGACTGACGCTTCCACCCTGCAACTCTTTCTGTGGGGGCACGCTGTGAAAACTGGCATTCCGAGAGAAACAGCCAGGCCCTGGCGCTGGCACCGTGGTGTGTCTGTAAGGGCCCCTCCTGAGGGTCTAAGCAGGAGAGGCGTCTGCCCCTGAGGAGGCCCCTTCCTTGGAAGCCCACTAGGTGCAATTACCAACCAATGCCGTCAGCCCTCGGGCCACATGCCAGCAGGGATCCTGCAGACCACATTTCACAGAAAACCCCAAATCTGTGTATGCTGGTGAACAGCTGAAAATGAGTTCTCAGAAACACACACACACACACACACACACACAAGCTGATGCACAGTGTGTGCCAATTTCTGTGTTGTAAACAGTCCTGCCATGGCCAACGGGGGAGGTAAGGGCTATCACTGAGGACTGTGCAGCCCTGCCTGTGATCGCAAACGCCTGAACAGTGAGGAAAACACCCAGAGTCCCAGAGGCCTCAGGGGAGTGTTAATGAGGAGGTAGGGCGACCCCTGAGGGGGGCTCTGGGGCATCTGCTGGCCAACGTTATGTTCATTAAAGGATTCCACAGCTGCTGGGAAGCCAGGTGTCCCTTCCACAGCCTCTAGCAGCCCACTTCACCCCAGGATCTCAGAGTCCCCAGCCATGATAGGGAGGGCTCAGAAAGAGAATCACAGCCCCCGGGGGACTTCTCTGTCTGCGTTTTCTCACATGGGCAAGACTCTCCAGCCAGCCCTGGACTCGCTGACAAGGATTTGTAACTCCACGTAAGTCTATCAACTCAGATGCCACTTCCTCCAGGAAGACCACCTGGCCTTTCCAGGAGGAGGATGCACACGCACCCTGGTGTGACCCCATCTCAGGCCTGGTGACCCTGGATTTTGATCACTTGTGGACCCGCCTCCTGCAGAGACTACAGCAGAACTGTTCAGGGAGCTTGGGCAACAGAAAAGAATAGAATGGCCTCATCAGCACAAACAGTTTGAAGGATGACGGGGACAAATGTTCATGAGAGGGTTGAGGTACGCCATGGACTGCCTTGGATTTAAGGCCACTTTAGTACCAGCAGTAGGGAGCCACTGAAGGTTCTGGAGTAGGGCAATGGTGTGACTTGAATGGTGCTTTAGCAGGGTTAGTGTGGTGATCCTGTGTGACCTGGAAGGACTTGGATGTAAGGAAGCTGAGCCGTGGAGAGGTTGAGACGAGAGGAGAAGAGGAGGAGGGTGGAGCTGGTGGAGATGGCGGGAAGGCACCAGCTGTCAGGATTTGCTATCACGGAGGTCATGATGAGGCTGGGATTGGAGGTCATGGTGAGGCTGGGGTTGGAGGTCATGGTGAGGATGGGGTCGGAGGAAAGGGAGGGTGGACTTCACTCCATCACTGGACTCCAGATTGCATGGGGCCTCTGGATTTGCCAATAGAAGCACTCACAGGGTGACGAGGCCACTCTGTGGGCAAGACCCATCACTGTCTACACCTGCCGTCAACATGGGGACACCAAGGTGCAGCTGGGGAGAGCTCCTGGTGGGAGAAGAACCTGGGTCGTGACTGCACGTGAGCCATGGGGTCTAACAGAATCCAACCCCACAAGGAGGGAGGCCGGGGGAGGGTGGCAAACAGGAGACAGGGCTAGAGGCAAGGAAGGACCTGAGGCCTCCGAGGATAACAGCGGCTAAAGACGAGGACGGGGGGCTAGAGATGAGGACTGAGGGCTAGAGATGAGGACAGAGGACGGGGGGCTAGAGACGAGGACGGGGCGGCTGAAAGATCTCGCAGGGAGAGGCTGGGATGAGGCGGTGGGCTGCCAGGTGCTGCTGCAGCCACAGTGAGGGAATCTGAGGGCTGGGTCGGGCCATGGGAGTGGAGGGGAGATGGGAGGAGGCGGAGGTGGGTGGCCCCTGCACCTGAGGTGGCCCGCACACCCTGCGTCCTGGGAGGTCCCTGAGGGTCCTCGGCTTGTGTGTGTGTTTGTATTAACAGCAGCACAAAACCAGCCTCTTCCATATCATCACATGGTTTACAAAGACTATGAAATAAAAATAAAGATGATGTGTCTCTGGGAGACGGGGTGAGACACTGGATGCTGAGAATGTTAGTATCGAGTCTGTCACTGAGGTCAAAGCCATCTTTTATGCTGCTCACTCAGGAACTGTGGGGTCCCTCATGATCGATACCGGAGGGAAAGATCCCGGGAATTCTCGGGTCACAGGAGAACGCTCAAAACGTGCTGTCAACCAGAGGGGCCTCCTTGTTGGAATGAGTTAACACTCTGGTAATTTGGGCCTTTAGAAAGTGAAATAATATCACTAATAATGACGCCACCACCCAGCATTTATACGCACCTTTTTGCTTTCCAAGAACTTAAAGCACCTCACGTGTACCTTTCTTCTAGATCTAAAAGTGTATATTAGGGAGTTTGGGAAAACGCATTTTTGCTACTCCTAACCACAATACCCCCGTTTCCATAGTAACAAACAGGAAAACGAGGAAATAGGGACCCCAAACCCGGAAGCCTGGCTCAGGTCACAGACACGTGACAGGACGGGATCCAATATGCTGCTGCCAGGGTTGGACATTTGTCATAAGACACTTGAGGTGTGTGCAAGTTGTGCTGTCTAGTAAAGTAGAAACACTGAGAGCAGTAGGCAGGTGTCTGCGGGGTCGGAGAGGAAGGGCGCCATCGGGGAGGAGGCAGAAGGCGCGGATCCCGCCCGGCACACTGAGCACGCTGCCTGCCAGTAAGACGGGGCCTCTGTCCTGCCTGCCTGCCCCAGAGGACTGCGAGGTCAAACAAAACAATGAATATGAAAGCTCTACGTACTTTAAACAAACACGTGTTATTCATCATCATATTGTAAACCATCACAAATGTAGGACTATGCTAAAATAGTGCGGGAACAATGGCTTGCCTGGAAATGTCGTTTGTCCTCACTTTTTCCGAGATATCAGCATGACCACATACACATGCGGAGGTGAGCTGGCCATGCTAAACTCACTGAGCAGCGGCTTACCGATTATCACCTGGTCAAACGTAAACACAGCGAGGGATACGTTCCGGTAAGATGGATCTAAATTGAATCGGAAGTTATGTTCTACATGAAACTTTTCCATTATTTTTGGTATGATTCATGAAATAGATCTTCATGAATTTTCATCTAATGGAAACATTTCTGTTTTAGTATTTGGCCATGAGTAGAATAGAACAGAATAATTTGGGGGGTTATAAGGACGCACATGTTGGTTTGGTGTTCAACTCCTTCATTCTACAGTTCAGGCCTGAAGTCGAGAGAGCATAGCAGGTGTTCACAGACCACGCCATTATCTCATTCAAATTTACTTCATGGGAACATTCAGCTGCTCTGACGGAAGGGGGCTGCGTGTGTCACACAGCACACTTTGTGGCAGCACAAGCATCACGCTGTGAACCACAGCGACTGGGCTGCCTTTGCTCACCCTCAGCTCAGTGCGCACCAGGCCACTCTTCTGTCTTTTGATCCGTGCAGCAGCCCAGGCACCTGATGGGGTCATGGGAGAAGTGCGTTGAGTCGTGGGTGGGGCATGGGCCTCGACTTCTCTTCAGTGGAAAGTCTATTTGTGTGTCTTCTCCAGGAGATGAAAGAGTCACTGTCACGGCCCCTCCTTACCCCCTCCTCCCCCAATCTACTTAGTATGCCCAGAATATCCGGATGGATTTATATAGGTGCCCTCTCCTGTAAATCTTGTAACGGTGGCATTCTTCATTCTCTGATCAGGTTCAGGAGAAAATTTCCACCACCGAACACCCTGCTGTTACAAATTCCCTCCGACCACGTCCCCGGGACGCTCCTGGATGCCCCTTCCTGCCCCTGAAGGGAGAGATTGTGGCCTTATCAGATGCAAGGCAGAGGATGAAGATTTTGTAAATTTTACTGTTACATAAAAATGAGCATTATCCCTTTCTTAAAGTGCTCCTACAATGGGAACACTCGTAAATAAAAGTTTATAAAATAAGACATATTTTTATTAATGTTTCCACATCATCATGTTCTGTGATTCCATCTGACTCACCTCTTTTAGAATCCACTCAGTTAACATTTATAGAGCTCTCCTCAAACCTAAGGCCAGCAAGACAACTGGACTGGGGGCTGCCGTGTCTCCCCAGCACACGCATGGCAGCTTGTGTTGACATCGGCAAATCACAAGGCATTGAAACGAAGCTCATCTTAGAAAACCAAGGCCACACGTGGCACTTGTGGAGAGTGGGTTTTCCACACTTCCCACGGCCACAGAACATCGTTCTGAGCCTCACATGGGTGTCACAGGCCTCCCTGGGACCTGCTGGACCTCCCAGGGAGTGGCCTCTTCAGATCTACCGTCCCTGCAGACATGAGAGCCAGCCCCGTTCCAAGGTGAGTCACAAGTAATGTCCCGCGGGTGACGAGGTGCTCACATTTGTGGGTGATTTATATTTGCATGAATTAAGCTGTATGTAATATTGTGCAAGAATAACACTCACTCACTCTGACTCACACTGGTGCTTCCCAATCATCTTTCTAGACTGAGAGAGTCATGGTGCTTCAGCCAGATGTCCTGGGACTGGGTGTAGCCCATAACCTGCCCATCTGCACGGTAAATGTGCAAACACCATCACTCACCATGTGGGGGCAGGGAAGCCGTCTCCGCAGACAGCGAGGGAAGCTTCCGCCCAGCCATGGGGCACAGCTGTCAACGTGGCCCAGAGACCAGCATCCCCGCTTGCTCCATCCTCCTGAGGTCCATCATGCCCGTTTCCCCATCTTCATGTGGTAAATTCACGTGATGGCGATGGGTTGACTATGTCATAACAGACACACAGATGATGCCCTTGGAAAAGATACAAACCCAAGCATGCAACCATCCCTGTTAGTCTCACTTTGCTTCTGTGGGCCAGATGAGCTCAATGTTGATTCACTCTAGGACAATGGCCCCTCTCAGTTGAAGAAAGACGATTTTGTTGCCAGAGAAATCTCCTAGCATAAGGAAATTAGAAATGTCTTCTCATTTTTAATAAATCCCAAAGTCCACACCATATTCTACATGTATACAGGAAGCAATGTGAGTTACTGTTACAGCCTTAGTCCTACGTGTATACAGGAAGCAATGTGAGTTACTGTTACAGCCTTAGTCCTATGTGTATACAGGAAGCAATGTGAGTTACTGTTGCAGCCTTAGTCCTACCTGTATACAGGAAGCAATGTGAGTTACTGTCCTAGCCTTAGTCCTACATGTATACAGGAAGCAATGTGAGTTACTGTTGCAGCCTTAGTCCTACCTGTATACAGGAAGCAATGTGAGTTACTGTCCTAGCCTTAGTCCTACGTGTATACAGGAAGCAATGTGAGTTACTGTTACAGCCTTAGTCCTACGTGTATACAGGAAGCAATGTGAGTTACTGTTACAGCCTTAGTCCTACGTGTATACAGGAAGCAATGTGAGTTACTGTTACAGCCTTAGTCCTACGTGTATACAGGAAGCAATGTGAGTTACTGTCATAGCCTTAGTCCTACGTGTATACAGGAAGCAATGTGAGTTACTGTTACAGCCTTAGTCCTATGTGTATACAGGAAGCAATGTGAGTTACTGTTACAGCCTTAGTCCTATGTGTATACAGGAAGCAATGTGAGTTACTGTTACAGCCTTAGTCCTATGTGTATACAGGAAGCAATGTGAGTTACTGTTACAGCCTTAGTCCTATGTGTATACAGGAAGCAATGTGAGTTACTGTTACAGCCTTAGTCCTATGTGTATACAGGAAGCAATGTGAGTTACTGTTACAGCCTTAGTCCTATGTGTATACAGGAAGCAATGTGAGTTACTGTTACAGCCTTAGTCCTACGTGTATACAGGAAGCAATGTGAGTTACTGTTACAGCCTTAGTCCTACGTGTATACAGGAAGCAATGTGAGTTACTGTTACAGCCTTAGTCCTATGTGTATACAGGAAGCAATGTGAGTTACTGTTACAGCCTTAGTTCTATGTGTATACAGGAAGCAATGTGAGTTACTGTTACAGCCTTAGTTCTATGTGTATACAGGAAGCAATGTGAGTTACTGTTACAGTCTTAGTTCTATGTGTCTACAGGAAGCAATGTGAATTACTGTTGTAGCCTTAATGTGTCCGGCTTCCTGCGTACTTTCAGGCTGCTCCTGGAGACACTTTTTCTCTCTTCTTCCCTTGGGCTTCCCAGAACCTGGCCACTCTCTTCAGTTGTCGCAGCTGCAGTCGCACAGAGAGGAAAAGGCCAACCGTTGACAGGTTCTGCACCCGCTTCTGCCTTGCTTTCCTCATCAGAAGGGAGACGGAAGTGAGATGCCTAGGATGGCCGACATTCTCCTTGCTGTGCACCTGTACCCAGCTGAGCCCCTGGCCCTTCTCCCTGACTCGCGGACACTCTCCAGAGCTGCTTGCACGCTTCCTGAGGCCGTCTGCCCTAGAGTAGCCCACCTGGCCTCTCGTGAGCCTCTCCAGGTTCCTGGGCTGGGTCACAATGCTTCTTTGAACTCTCAGACCCAGCCACCCCAGCTCCGATGCTTTGTTCTTCTTCCACCTGGGAAACTCCTGTTTCTGCCTCAAGACCCTGCAAAGCCTGCCCTCTCTCAGGAGCTCTTTCTGCCAGCCCTGGTGCCTCCACATGCCTAGACCGCCCTCCACCCCTACACGCTGTGCAAGCCTGTGTGTCTGCGCTCACTGTCCTGTGTGGTCCCGGCAGCTGTCCTCACCCGGGCCTCATGGTATTTGGAGGAACGGTCTTCATCTCCAGCTCTGTGCTTTGGGGACTCGTGCAGGGGCTGGAAGTCAGGAGTTCATAAATGCTTGTTGGATAAAGTACTGAGTAGAACGTCCTGGCGAGTGACAAGGGTCACTGACCCACAACTGTGACTCCCAACCCGCAAATTCCCGGGCTCTCGAGATTCAGCAGCCCATAGTGCGTGGAGGTGCTGGAGCATGACTTTGATAAAATTGCTGTACTCGTGTGTATAAGACACGAAAGCCGAGGCCTGGCTGATCTGCGTCCTCCCCCGTCAGGGCTGTGCAGGCCTCGGTGCGAACGCTGCAGCTCCATCAGCAGCCATGACTCTCACAGCTGCACAGGGGACCCTGGTGGTCCATCGATGGGGTCCTCAAACGTCAGAGACATCAATAAAAGAATTAATTGCATTTTAATTATTTTTTAAAAACCTCATCATTTTCCTGAAGCCGGAAACGATGGCTCTGCCTGTCCCTTGGTTTACAGGCCTGCTAAGGAAGGCGCCGACGTCCCTCCGAGAAGCAAGCTGTCTTTCATGCCTCGCAGCCTCGCAGAGGACATGGAGCAGGCCACCCCCAAGGACTTCCAGAGACCAGCCAGCCCCGTCCACACCTGGACAAAGCTGAAAACAGCCAGGCGGACACACCGCCTTCCTTCCCCAGGCCCGTCGGTTACACCCGAAGAACCACCAGTCCGTCCAGAAAGCACCCAAGGGCCCACACCGCCAGGGGAGTCGGCGAGCGTTCACACTGCCAGGGGAGTCGGCTGCAGGCTGAAGTGCTGGGCACGTTGGGAAGGGGAGGTCTCTGTGAGAACACAGACACTGGAGGTCCTGAGTTGTGTCCTGACATCACAGTTCCCTGGGCCTTGTTCTCGGATTCCAGTCTTTCCTCCTCTTCGCAGCTCGGGTGTCTGTGTTGGGGATCCCCTGGAGAGTGCATTTCTGAGGGCACCGAGACCCTATGTGCAGTGGGAGGCTGCAGCTGATGCCCCCGGGGATTTCCTCCAGTGTTTCTTCTAGGGTCCCCCCACCCCTGTCATCCCATCTCATAGACGCCTCTAGGCGATGCCCACCGGGGGCTGCAGCTCCACCCGCAGCTGGGGGCCACATCAACATGACTGCGCCTCCCGCTGGCACCAGACACCACCACTCACCACTGCTTGCTTGAAAATAGCCCCAAAAGAACATAGATTCCAACATGTATTTCCATGAGAATAAAGGAAGTCTGAAAAATCCATGTAGAGTTACTTCGCACCATGTGAAAATCAATAAATGTGTGTCTGTGTGTAAGTGTGTCCAAGTGCATGTGAGTGTGTGCCTGTGTGTGCAAGTGCATGTGTGTGCATGTGTGTGAGTGCATGCAATTGCATGTGAGTTGTAAGACCATGTGTATGCATGTGAGTGTGTGTAAATGTGTGAGTGCATGTGTCTATGGGTGTGTGTGTAAGTGCATGTGTGTGAATGTGTGAGTGGATGAGTGTGTGTGAGTGCATGTGTAACTCCATGTGTGTATGTGAATGCCTGTGTGAGTCCATGAGTATGTGTTTGTGTGCCTGTGAGTGCATGTGTGTGTATGGGAGTGTGTGAGTGCATGTGTGTGCATATTACTGTGTAAGTGCATGTGTGTGCATCAGTGCATGTGTATGAGTCCGTGTGTGTGGCAGTGCATGTGTGAGTGTATGGATGTGCGTGAGTGCATGTGTGTGTGGTTGTGTGTGAGTGCATGTGTGAGTTTGTGTGTGAGTGCATGCATGAGTTTGTGTGTGAGTGCATGTGTGTGTTGCATATTTGTGGAGTGCATGTGTGTGTGAATGTGGGTGAGTGCAAGTGCATGTGTGAATGTGCTCGTGTGGGTGAAAGTGTGTGATTGTGTGAGTGCATGTTTGTGTGTGCATGTGTGTTTGTGTGTGCATGTGTCTAAGTGTTTCAGTGCATATGTGAGTGCATGTGTTAGTGTATGAATGCATGAGTGCATGATAGTGTGAGTGCATGTGTGTGCAAGTGAGTGGTTGTGAGTGCATGTGTGAATGTGTGTGCAGGTGTGTGTATGTGTGCCTTGTGTAAGTGCATGTGAGTGGATGTGTGAGTGTGCATGGGTGTGTAGAGGTGCATGTGTGTCTGTGAGTGCATGTGCGTGTGTGTGTCTGTGTATGAGCATGTGTGCATGAGCATCAGTGTGAATGCGTTTGGGAGTGTGTACATGTGTGAGTGCATGTGTGTGTCTGAGTGCATGTTCATGTGTGATTGAGAATGCGTGTGTGTGCGCAGGTGTATGAGTGCGTGTGTGTGACTGTGCATGTGAGTTCATGGTTGTGTGTGCCTGCGTGTGTGTGTGTGTGCATGTGTTTGTGGGTCCATGTGTGCCTGAGAGTGCGAGAGTGTGCATGTGTGTGCATATGTGAGTGCATGTGTAAGGGTGTTTGTGTGTGAGTGTGAGTTGTGCTTTCTCTTTTTTGAGATGGAGTCTTGCTCTGTCGCCAGGCTGGAGTGCAGTGGTGCCATCTCGGCTCACTGCAACCTCCACCTCGGGGGTTCAAGCCATTCTCCTGCCTCAGCCTCCAGAGTAGCTGGGATTACGGCGCTTGCCATCACGCCCGACTAATTTTTTGTATTTTTAGGAAAGACAGTGTTTCACCAGGTTGGCCAGGCTGGTTGTGAATTCCTGACCTCGGGTGATCCGCCCACCTCAGCCTCCCAAAGTGCTGGGATTACAAGGATGAAATGTGTGTGTGTGTTTGTTTGTTTGTTTTTAATCTCACATCCCACATCCCGCAGTTTTTCCTCCTCGTCACAGGCCTGGCTACGTTGCGGCATTCATGATTTCCTTCATGAGCAGCGGCATTTCCCATCGGGTGGACAGGTGGGCCTGGGCTGCACCTTGTTCTGCTCTACTCGGAGCGGCCCCTCTGTCCCTGTGGCATCGCCTCTCGGCTCCCGGCCGGCTGGGCTCCCTGTGTCACCGACTCCCAGGAGAGGCTTCCGAGGCTGCTTTGCCTTCTCTCCAGGCCCGGCTGCGAGGGCTGCCTCGCCAGGGACGGGACAAACCCCGCAGAGGGGGCCGTGGGGAACCCTGAAGGGAACCGGGCAGGGCGGGAGAGACAGATGGCCTGAATTTCCCACCGATCGCCGAGCGGCACATTGGCCGGGGCAGTGATGGATGAAGAGTCCTTCAGCCTCAGTCCCATGGCGCGGGGCTTTGCGCAGATGCTCAGCGGGGGCCACCGGCCTGGCTTTGCTGAAACACGGGAAGGGCCCCCAGCCCTGGGTTCGCGCCCCTGCGAGGCGCTCCTTCCCTTGGCGCCTGGGGCCCGCGCGGCCGTTTCCCTCCCCGCACCCACCGCAGTGCAGACCCGGAGCCCAGGCCTCCTGCAGGCGGGTCACCTCCCTCTCAGTTCAGCTGGATCTTCCCGGTGCCTGACCGTGGCCACCCTCTCGGAAACTGTTTTAAAGTCACCTTCGGGTCCTTCCAGACCTGTTGTGCCTGTTGCAGGTCGGAAACGCAACCCGTCTGGAAGCGCAGGCCCCTTAGGGAGGCTGCAGGGCGCCCCGGCCGGCCTGGGGCTGGGGAGGGCGGCTGGGAAGGAGGCACCGAGCAGCACTTGGCCCCGGGCGGCGGCGAGGACAGAGGGAAGCCAGGGAGCGTCCGAGGGAACCACACCCGCGTGTGTCAGGGCCGCAGTGGAGGAGGCTGCAGGGAGCCCCCTAAGTGGGATTCAAGGTCGTGATTCCCAGGCACACGCTCCGTTACACGCCGGGTGGCACGGACATTGCCCGTCTGCCCTCTTCCGTGTCTCCATTGGAGTATGAGATCACACCACACAGCACACACCACACAGCACACACCACACAGCACACACACCACACAGCACACACCAGACACCACACAGCACACACCACACAGCACACACCACACCACACAGCACACACCAGACACACACCACACAGCACACACCACACAGCACACACCACACAGCACACACCACACCACACAGCACACACCACACAGCGCATAGCACACAGCACACCACACAGCACACACCACACAGCACACACACCACACACCAGACACACACCACACAGCACACACCACACAGCACACACCACACAGCACACACCACACAGCGCATAGCACACACTACACAGCACACACCACACCACACAGCACACACCACACTGCACACACCACACACCACACACCATAGACCACCCACACACCACACACACCCCACACCACACACCACACACCACACACTACCCACACACCACCCACACACCACACACACACCACACACCACACACCACCCACACAGCACACACCACACACCACCCACACACCACACACCACACCACACACACCACACACACCACACACCACAGCACACACCATGCCACACACCACACACCACACCCCACACCACACACCACCCACATACCACACAGCATTTTCTGGACTGGCAGTGACTCCGGCCTTTCCTGCAGGTTCTTCCCAGGAGCAGGCCTGGCCTCACCGCCGCCGAAACCAGACCCAGCACAAGCCAGTGCATGCAAGGGGATGTTGATTTCACATTTCCTCTCTGAATCCATTAATATTTTATGAGGCCACACAGAGGGTTCTTGCACTAGATGTTTCTCTCTCTTTTTAATCATGTAATGTGCTATAAAGCATGATATATTGACAAGAGGGAAGGGAAACCAAAGTTTGTTTAGCTCAGAGGGGGGAAAGCCAAACACACATTTTGAAGATTACAACAGACATCCCTGAGGCTGAAGGGTCGCTCAGGTCATTTGACGTCTTGACAAACGAGTCTGTTCTCTTCTGGTTTCACAGCTGGAGTTGTGGGCACGTCCCAGCAAAGGGACACCGTTCACAGAAATAGCATAACCTTCCCAGCACGGGTGCCCCAGCCTCCAGCCAGACCACAGGCCAGCTCCTTTCTGAGACCAGAGGCCAGCACTGTTCTCAAAAGAGGGAAGGGTAAGCAGCCCCCAAAGCTGACCATGAATACTCCAAACACGTCGTCCAGTCTCCTCTCTCTCCTCAGCCCCCAGGCTCCAGCCGCCCCTCTGCAGTACCTCCTGGTATCCCAGATTCCAAACTGGATGGTCCTCAAGGGCTGCCGTGACTCCCCTCTCCGGCCTCACCACTCACCCGCTCATGGGGGAGCGTGGGGACTGCTGGGAGCTCCAGAGGCATTTGCAGCACGGGAGAGCCAGTTCCCACTTCAGAGTGACTGCCACTGTCACGGGCACCGCCCCCTCGGTGCCAGGTGCATTACTGAAGAGTGAGGCCAGCCCCTAGTGTGGACAGTCCAGAGGGAGAGTAGAGTGAGCCCCGCCGTGTGCACAGTCCAGATGGGCAGTAAGGCCAGCTCCCCAGTGTAGAAAATCAAGATGATGAGTAAGTGGATTATCCAGTGTAGACAATCATGATAAGGAATAAGGTAAACTCCCCAGTGTAGACAGTCAAGATGAGTAGTAAGTAAACTAGTAAACTCCCAGTGTTGACACTGATGTGGGTAAGAAGATGAGTTCCCCGGTGTAGATAGATGAGATGGATATTAAGGTGAGCTCCCAGTGTAGACAGCTGGGATGGGGAGTAAGTGAGCTCCCACTGTAGACAGTCTAGGTGGGTAATAAGGTGAGCTCCCACTGTAGACAGTTGAAAATCTTGATTCATCATTTTTATTTAAAATGCAGAAATGCAGTAGATTCCCTGCATTAGTGAACAAGCATTTGTTGCTTTTGTGACTTGTGAACAGTGTCACACTTCTGAGACATGAAATAACAGGCCATTTGCTGATCCCATCTGAAGTGAGGTTGGCGTGTGAAAGTGTCTGAGCTACAGAATGGGTTGGCCAAGCCCCCTTCTGAGACATGAAATAACAGGCCATTTGCTGATCCCATGCGAAGTGAGGTTCTGTGTGAGAGAAAGTATCTGAGCTAGAGAATGGGTTGGCCAAGCCCCCTGCAGCTCAGTTCAGCGGGCTTTTTTCTTCTTTCCTCCTTGTCAGACATACATTTTACCAGTTAATTTAGAAACTGCAGGGATAGTCACCAATAAGAGGATTCCAAACTGTTAAGAATTAGAAAGTGAGGTTATATGGGAAACAAAACACGTCATTGTAACCACAGAGTGGCTCAAGTCTATGTAGGGTGAGAATGAATTTCAAATCCTTTCAAACACTGTGAGAAGCTGATCTTGATGTTCTTTTGAAGTTTTCAGCTGGCAGCGAGCTGAGCTGAGGCTGGCACGCCTCTCCTGGGTCCTGTCACGTGAAGAGGGGGAAGTCCTCCAAGGCTCCTGTGGACAGACAGCAGGGGCACTTTCCCAGCTAAAGCACGAGCTCTGGCATAGGTCTCTGCATCCAACTTGAATAGACCACATCAGCTTCTCCCCAGGTGATAGTTCCCCCAAGCAGAATGCACATTGCCAGAGTCCCTCCGCTAATTTGTACTCCTCTGTTGTGATAGGAAATGCGAGTTCCTTGGCTGGCATTCCTATTTCCCACCTTTTCCCTGATTTCCTTTGAAGTGGCGATATGCCCAGCTATCACCTTTATTTCCAGCCTGTCTCGCACCTAGGAATTTCCAAAAAATGTAATTTACAGTGATAGAGTGAAGTTTCCAATAAAGGAACTTGAATTTTGTGCCCCCTTTGCCTTTCTCTACATCTTTCTTCTTCTGACCTGGAATGTGAAAATGATGGCTAGAAGTCAGCAAGCATCTTGTGACCACAGGGTAACTTCGGGGAGAGAAAGCAAGGAGGCATTAAGGATGGCGGGACCGAGAGATTAAAGGAGCTTGGGATGTCGTGGACTTACCGCACCAGCCCTGAATTGCTTGTCTCCAGACTTCTCATGAGAAAAAAAAAATCTAATTTATTTAAACCATGATCATTTGGGGTCTCTACTACCCTACTACAGCCAAACACCATTTGTAAATGGCACATTGTACTTTTTAATCTTAAGAAAACAATGGACATATGTTTCACATTTCACCTTAATCATACAGCTGTAGCAACACCAGCCTGCAACATCTCATTATCTAAGGGCAGCTTCACTCTAATGAACTAATAGATACCAACGAGTGAATGTATCACTCCTGCTAATTAGTTGTTGTGTTTTCAAATAGGGTCTTCTGGAGTGATGACTTTACCTGTAGCAGTGAAATTTTGTCACTTGGCAGGCTAAGACAGATGCTGGGGTATATGAGTAATTTAGGTCTCATTAAGTCATAGTGTATAGGTGGCACCTTAGCTTTCTGTGTGCTGGCCCAGCCTTTAACCAAAACAGCTTAAAGACTGGGCCTTTAGAGGCTGAGTAAAGGCCCAGTTCTACCAAAAACGGTATACCCTACCCTGATTGCACTAGACAGGAAGATGCTACCTGAAGCAGGATGACTCACAGAGAATATAGCAGAGCAAAGGCAGAAGTGCAGACGAGTAGGATATGACTGGAATTTGAGGAACTACATTTCTCAAGTTATCACTGTCTGTCCAAGAGTTTTGACCACAAATTAATAGAGTTCCCTTTTTTTAATTGTGATTAACAAACATCAGACCAGCTTAAACATCAGTTAGACAGTCTATGCATAATGTGTACCTTTTCATCAGAAAGACGGTGCAGACACAGAAGGGCTGGAATCCATCAGGGTCAGCAACTGAGGAAGATGAATGGAAGAGCAGGGGAGTAATTTGCTGCCATCCATGAAAAATGCGCTGGCAGAGAGTCTCGGGGACTTGCCAAGCCCCCTTTTAGAGCGTTGTCCAACGCTAATTGTCACTCCAGATTTGATATTCACATTAGCCACAACAAGTGTTTCCAGTTTGGAATCCCTAAGAACTCTTCAAATATCTGGCATCCATGTGTTAAACAAAAATTTTCTTCTAGCTGAATTTGTTTATAAGTTATGAGTGGGACGTTAACAAAGCTTTCCGTTGACCAGCACAGCGCTCATTAACCAATAACAAAGGCTTAGCAGGCAGCGTATGATCTCAGGAGTCATTTAAAAATTAAAAGGGACAATAATGCTGATCTAAATGGTCAGTTTCCTTGCTCTCTGCAGAGACAGGTACTGTATCTGTTCTTAATTTGAAGAGTAGCCAGCTGGCTCCCCACTGAAATGTGATATTGTTATAAACAAACTAGCATCATAAAGCAATTGAGCAAGGAAGGCCCTCTGGAAGGAGGGGACTGCCTTTGAGTTATTCAGACAGATAAAGAGGGGCCAGGATTGCCCTGCGAAGCAAAGCAGGATGTGAAAAGCAGCTACGGCGGGGCTGTCAGGCAGCAATAGCAGCATCCAGCTGGTCTCCTTGCACACAGCAGCAGGTGTATTTATTATATCAAGAATCCAACTCCTCAGTGCACATTATAGGAGCCACCTCTTTCCATTAAATAACAACATAATCAATTGCATGAATCATGGCTGAAAGAAACGTTACCTTGCAAAGGTGGATGGTCTGGCAGAAATCTTGCCACCATTCTAAGGGGATTTAGAAAAACCTGTGAAGTTAGAGTAAGAGGAAGTTGAAATTCTATCAAGAACCTTCTATTTTTCACCCCAGCCTGAAGGCGGGGATGATAACCACAGACGTATAGTTGGCCTCTTAGGGCTGACGAAACAAGTGTGATGTTTGACAGTAATAGCAGTTACATAATTCACTTCCTACTTAAGTTTTTAATAGTACTTGGGCACACACACATGAGTAATGGAGGAAAGAAAAAATTGGGTGAGCCTAATTTCTCATAGCAATCTCCACACAGCTGGATGTTTCTCAAATATTTTAAAGTGTTTTGATCAGTTAAAAAGATTTAAAGCATTATTTTCTCAGAAATTCTGACAAAATGTTTCTACGAAATTAACTAGTTGTTCTAAATTACATATTATTTCATTAATTGCCAATACAGGTTATATTTTTAAAGCAAAATCACATTAACAATCCTTTCATGTAAGAATCTTCCATTTCCAAAATTCTTTGGTAATGTAACTTGCAAAATAATCTGTATCCTCTCAGCTTTCAAACTTCTGTCTATTGGGCTGTTCATCCAAATAAGTGTAAATTAATTAGATCCATAATTCCACATTAATTTTGCAATTACAATGAAAAATATTACAATACCACCTTTTGTGTAGTAATTTAAGCTTCAGGTGTGAGTTTATTGTTCCTCAAAATGGGCCAGGAGAGGAAAATAAAGGAGCTAGGACCAGGCACACAATTTTCCTGCCTTGGAGGGCACAGGTGCTGGAGAAAGTGGCCCAGGAGCAGAGGGTGACTGTTGAGGGCCACAGGTGAGCAGATGAGACGGGCATCCAAGGGAGTAGCCAGCAGCATGTTGATTCCGGCCAGAGAGTACCAGGGAGATTCAGCTGGATGGAGCAGCGTCCACAGGGTGGTCTCTACAGTTGGAATCCACACAGGTCCCAGTACCTGGGCCTGGGAACCAGGACTCTGAGCTGTCGAGAGGTGAACTTGACGACGGCACGAAGAGCATGGGCCACGCCCGAGTCCGTGAGGTCAGGACCCTGTGGAGGAGGCTGGGAAGGGTGGCAGGGGTTTCCCCAGGAACCAGTGCGGAAGGCAAGTGTGGACATCCCCAGGACAGGACCCTCAGTGGTCAGGGGGCTGAGTCTCGTTCCTACCACAGCCCTCCTCAGCGTGTGCAATGCCTAGGAGGGGGTGGCCATGTCTTTGTGGGTGCTCAGCAGGTGCCTGGTGCGCAGATGACAGAACGTGGAGTGGAGCAGAGTCAGAAAGGGGCCTGAGGGAGGTGCGCGTGGCCTTGGCACATGGAGTCACGCACCAGGGCAGGAGACCGCATCAGCACCCTTAGAGCCGCGGGCAGCCAGCACTCCTGGAGTGCCACTGGGTCCACAATGATATCCTGGGCGTCCACTTAGTGCTAAGCCCCACGGAACCCAGGATCAGGCTAACAGGTACTGAGTCTTCCAGGGTACTTTTTCCCAATCACAAAATGGTTCAGGGTCTGAATCAAGTAGAACCCGATGGCAGGAGGTGCAGAAGTGCACCTGAGAACGTGGGTGGAGGCTCATCTGTTGCGTCTAATATGATCTGTGTAACATAAATGAAAAGCATAGTCAATTTTTCAAATCGACAATCCAATATTTAGGGACTTGCAGGGTGAATGAATTTAAATCCACATTCAAAATAAGATAATTAGTCTCTCTTACTTGATGAATGATACTATCGTCAAGTGATATCTTTCTGTCACGAGTTTCGGACCAATAGCCCAAAATGAAAATTATCCAATAAAACGTGAAAATTCAGCATTCTGCTACACAAAGTTATTTGAGATGGGACCATAAATCTTTTGCTAAAAGATGCCAAGCCCGAGGCTCAACTTTGCTGCAGAGAACGCGCTCATTCAGTGTTCACCATGTCTTCTCAGCCAGCACTGCTCCGCCCGCAAACAGCATCAGAGTCAAAAATGTGGAGACCAGCCCAGAAGGTCAGGCACATTCCAGGTATCAACCTACTTCCAGTGGCTGATGAGCCCTGGCCCTTAAACCGCCAACCCTCCAAATCCCAGGGTTTCCATCCTGCACCCCCAAGCCTCACCTGGCAGAACACCACAGGACCCCCTGTGTACCAGGATGGACAGCCTGGCTTCTAGCCCTCCTGCCGGCATCCTCAGGGGCTCAGACCAAGGCCACGTGACCACTCTTGTAAGCACCTGGGCTGAGCAGATCTTCCCACGGGCCTCATCACAACCCGTGGTGGGAACACAGGCCCAGACCTCAGCACCTCAGGGGTAGGCGGCGAGACCACACGTCCACACCAGGCCCAGACCTCAGCGCCTCGGGGGCGGGCGGCGAGACCACACGTCCACACCAGGCCCAGACCTCAGCGCCTCGGGGGCAGGCGGCGAGACCACACATCCACACCACACCCAACACTCAGCCTGCCAGGCTGGCCTGGGCGCCATGTGGCTGATGGGCACCCACAGTGAGCACGGTGATATGCTCCTCTCTTGCCTGGAAGGCTTTAGACGCTGCTCCTCCTCAGCGTCACACCAAGCCTGCTCAGAGGTGCTGAGAAATCCGGGGAGTCCCTGCAGGGAGGACACGCTTCTGACCCCTTGCTGGTCAGAAATGAAAATTAACCAATGAAATGTGAAAATTCGGCATTTTGTCATACGTGTGTTTACATATGTATATAAACACATGTGAAGATGAAGGGAAAGCAGGGTTGCTATGATAGCAAACAGATGAATAAAAATAAAACACACCATGTTCTCCATATTTTCATATTTTTCAATTATGAGACTTTACATTCACTTCTGAAACTTTTTAAGACAAAATTTAAAATGGAAAATATCAATCCACTGTGAGTTAATTGCATGCGTTTTTGGCTTCTCCGGCACGTCAGCGGCATAATGTTCACCTCGCAGGAGGAGCTCGGCCTCAGAAGCTTCCTTCCTCTGGCTTCTCTCCTGGGGCGCGTGGGCTGGATCCCCCGTAAGGAGGCACTAAGGTCAGCAGGGCCCTGCGGCCAGGAGGTCTAGGTCCACGGTGAGATCAAGGCTGCGCTGTGTCCTTCTGAGGGGTACGTGTCCAGCGTCCCTGTCCATCTGAGCAAAGGGCGCTTGTGCCGTTGGTGGAATCCGTGACTGAAGGCCAAAGCACCTGCACCTGTGAAAACATCAGAACATGGACTTTTCCACGGCACTGACCATGGCACGAAACTAACTGTGTAGGGAGACAGTTAGAAACGACAAAGATGGTGCAGTGTGTGCTCAAGGTGGGGTTCAGCAAAGCATCTCAGCTTGCAGAGCAGCACCAGCTCAGAGCAGGGGCTCTGTGTGCCTTGTGGATATGAATGGATGGATGGACGGACGGATGGATAGATGGACAGACGAATGGAGAAGAGCTCCGCAGTTGAGGAAATGCGTGAGATGAGATGCAGCGTGGCCATGGGTTTCCCCACATTTTACTTCTACTCTGGGCTCTCCTGGACATCTTCCTTCACATAGAGGGTGTAAACTCGTTAACGCCGTCTCTGCTCCCTGTGTTTAGGACCTGGATGGTCTTTGCATGGCAACAAACCCTTTCCCTCTAAGCCAGGCCCACCCCAACAGCCCCCATCATCCAGCAGGACCCCCATCAGCCACCAGCCGCAGACGCCAGCCCCTCCTGTTCCCACATCCCCTGTTTGCCCTCCTGGCCTTGGGAGTTGGATCCAGCCCCAAATCCTTCATGGGACCCTTCAGGCCCTGCCACGGACAATTATAAAGGCCTCACCCGGCTGGCGTCTAGGAGCAGCCTCGGGAGAGCTGCGCTTTGGACTCCGGCCCCTGCTGGCCACACTCTTTCCACATCTGCATGCCTGCCCCCACACCTCCACTGGGGACCCCTTCTTAGGGGCTCAGTTGAGGGGCTTTTCTCCGTCCAAGCCAGTGCCTTTCCACTTCCTTCCCCAGCTCCAGGTCCGTGAGGGGCAGGAACCCATTGCTCAGGCTTCTTGGCAGTGAAAGGACTTCGTCTGTGCCATGTGCCCAGACCCTCAGCCAGTGTGGGTCTGTGGAGAAGAAGAGACATCAGGGCTGCTGCCCTTCTTGTTCACCACATGCCTACACCATCACAGAGAGGCCGGATGTTGACTTCCGTGACTCATAACCAAAACTACACACTCACCACCCAGTGCTCCACAGGCCCCTGGCCTGAACTGCAGATCCCAATTTCAGTGGCCACCATGCCTGTCTCAGTTTCAGCAACTCTGCAAGCAAGGACCCCATTTCTGAGCCCTGGGTCCTGCACAGGCCACATCCCAGGGTGAGATGTGCACCCTCCATGCCTGGGCAGAGGCTCCTGGTCCAGCCCTGCCCTGCTCCATCTGTGGTCCCCGCAGGAGCAGGAGGCGGAGGGAAGGACAAAGAGGCCTGGACCCCTGCACTGATTACTCTGAACTCGTACTTATGGGACCTGACCCACAGCAGCTTGCTTTCTCTTTCTTTCTTTCTTTTCTTTCTTTCTTTCTTTCTTTCTTTCTTTCTTTCTTTCTTTCTTTCTTTCTTCTTTCTTTCTTCTTTCTTTCTTTCTTTCTTTTTTGTACTGGAGAAGGAAACTTTTTGTTTGCTTAATCTTTCGTTTGTTTGTTTGCCTGTTTTAGGAACCCTGAATTAACAGAATGAAGAATAAGATAATGGAGGAGTTGGCATCGAGTCTCCCCCTGCCCAGCACATAAGCCAGGCTTGAGCCCCACAGGTAGAGGCAGAGAAGCCAGAAGCCTGGGGAACTGTGACTCTGAGAAACCAGTGCACTTGGCACTAGGAATACATCACGATCAAAATGAAAGGTAAAAATTAACAAATATAGAAGATTCACGCTCTAACAGGACTGAGCCCTTCCATGATCTCACTTAATCCTCACAACCCTGGAGGTCATTGCTCTCTTCAACCCTGTGGAGATGAGACAAGACACAGAGAGAGGTGCGCTAAGTTCCCCAAAGCCACGTAACTTGCTGCAGCACAGTCAAGATTTGAGTCCAGGCTCTTAAACTTCACATCAGGAGCTCTCAGCCATCACTTTAAGCCACCTTATTTGCATCTAAGAAGCAAGGATCTTGAGTCTTCTGATTCGGAATTGGGCGTGATCTTTACTGTGCTGCTTGGGGGGTCCAGTGTATGGTGCTCATTTGAGGATCAGGACTTTCTGTCTTCCAGGATTTCATCACCTGCCCATCTAATTACTCACAGACTGGTGGCTTGGAAGACAGTGGAAGAAGTATGCATGGCAGGGCAAGGTCAGGGCAGCCGCCAATGCCAACAAAGAGGAGAAGGAGGAAGAGCCAGAAATGTGGCCTCCTGACCATCTCAGCCATGAGAAACATAGCCCTGAAGACCAAAGCCAGGAGCACGGCTGTGAAGATCCACAGCTCGGAATACCATGACCATGAACATCACAACCACGATCACCACAGCCATGATCACCACAGCCATGAACACCACAACTACGATCTCCACAACCATGATCACCACATCCCTAAATACCATGACCATGAACACCACAGTCCCAAAGACCACAGCCCAGAATACCACGACCATGAACATCACAGCCAAACCCAAAGACCACAGCCATGAACACCACAGCCCTGAAGCCTGCTGCAGTGAAGACCCCCATTTTGGAAGTCCCAGTGGTGCCTGGAGGGGTGTGGATGGAGCCCTGCTGCCCACAGAAAGAGGCCTGGCACTGTGCTCCATGCTAATGTCCATGTAACTGCTCTTCGGCACCATGTCATGCTGTTCTTCATATCACCTGGGCAATAAAGAATATCCCAGAAGTTCTCCCTAATAGATCAAAGCCAGGTTGGATGAGGTCTTTCTCTTGGGATTAGTACATTTTATCGGGTGGATGAAAACAGATTCCTAAATCACCTGCGTTCAAGAAATGGCCTCACCCCTGAAGCCCCAGAGGCTGAAGCGCCACCTTTGTGGGTGACGTGCCTCCTCAGTCGCCACCTTTTGTCTCATTCTGCATGATCCTGGGGTTTGGCCTGAAATTAGAGAAGGAGTGAGCTGATTGGTAAAAGGCAGAATGTGGGAAATTTGCATGAGCTTGTTTCAGAAATTTGCAGTCAGCACAAAAGAATCCCTCTCAGTCCACGGCAAAGGTTCAAAGAAGCATTGAGAAAGAGGCGCAGTGCTCATGGAGGTGTGAGGGTCCGGTTTCCTCAGAGCCGTATCTGAAGCCAGGAGAGGAAGGTGGAAAGGAGCTGCAGAGATGCGGATAGGAGATGGGGCTCTGACACCACCCAGGGAAGCCAGCCAGCTGCACCCAACACGCATCTGTGGAGGCAGGGCCAGCCCTAAAGCGGGTCATCTGGGCCAGGCCAGGGCTCAGAGGGCTTGGCGTGCATTGGGCCAGTGAGGGCGGCTGCCGCGTGTGCCCACACACACATGGTCTTCTAGGAGCTGTCCCCTCTGGTGCTCTGTGAGACTCATCTGCCCTATTCATGCCACTCCCCTCACACTCTGGCTGCTGCTGGAGCCTCACCTGCAACTGGGAAGGATGCAGTGGGCATCCATGACCTTTGCCAAGGCAAAGCCGGCTTTGGGAGCCCCTCAACCTCACGCTCCACACTGCAGAGCCGCAGAGGTTGGCACCCCGGGCCTATGTGCTGCCAGAGTGCCCAGGATGGATGGACGCCCATTCTCAGCTCTGATGGCCTCCTGACACCCCAAGCCCAGGAGCAGAGCCCAACTGTTTAATTTCTGTGATTTTATCTCACTGAAAATCACCATAATGCATCCTCATATAATGAGAACAGCAGATAGTATTAATCAAATAACAATCATGGCTGATATTTGGTAACCACAGGCTCTGCATCATCTGTGAGAGCTTTCACAGCACCTTTCTGAAGTGAGTGTTTTTCTCTCAGCAGAGGAGAAACATGAAGATTAGAGTTTTAAGTCTGTTGCCCATGGTCACACAGATAATTTATATGAAAGACAAGATTCAAATCCAAGTTCTGCCTGAGTTCGAAGCCTATGCTTTCAGGTTCCACACTGAATTCCCTCTACACACTTCTCCACCAAACACACCCAGGAGAAGCATAACAGACGAGATCTTTAGAGGTGTCCACAGCATCGGGGGATACAGACAGTGATATCATTTTGCATGTTCTGTATATACCAATATATCTAATGCCAGTCAATATACCCTGAACAAGGGAATTTCAAAATGCACATTAGGGGTGTGTGGTGGTGGTTATTGGAAACAGAATTTTCTTTCATATGTATTTCTAGAAAAGCAACTTTTTTAGCCTTGAAAATCAGAAGTGTTGCAGCCGCATGAGCTGACACAGTTGTTTTCTCATTTCCAGAGCCTGGGTCCACGCGATGCTGATGCTGTGGCTGGGGCTTGAGAACAGGAGTCTCGCTGTGGTCCCGGCGGGCTCTTACTTAAAGGAAATATATGTGCACCAAAGAACATGCTATGCTTTTATTCTTTCATAAAGGTACCACCAAAATAGCCCAAAGCATGAGAATTTAGAACCCTATCTGCTCCACATGGCTGTTCAGGAAAGCTTAAAAGTGGTATGTGTCTGTTTGGAAACCCCATTTCTTCATTTGAATGGGAAGAACTGGCTATCACAATCACTAATTTCCTCTCATTCCTTTGTGTGACCCACACAAAAGATAGGAAGTCACTTTTACAGCTGATACTAAGGCGCTGGCCAGTTCCCAGAGGACTTACAACTTCCTATTGTTTGTCGCTGAAGCACATTAGGAAACGTGGCATCATTGGTGTTAATATGAATTGTGGTTGTTTTCTCAAACACGCAGGGTCACCTGCCTTCTGCCAATGCCCTGGGAAGCCAAGCTAGACCCCCTTTCCAAATCTGTTTGCTTGCCCACAGGCAAAGATGGGTGTTTGCAGCCACACAATGTGAAATGACCACCCTGTAGAAAAGAAGGCGTGTCCACTAGCCCAGAGAGGCTCTCACTCACCTCCCCGCAGGCCTGGAGGACTCACCTGGAGAGGCCCCTCTCCTCGGCCGGGCGGCCTGTTCTCCTCAGATCAGTGCCCACCATGATCGCTCCGCACACTCCGGGACCCCGGCCTATGGTGAAGACAACCTCCAGGGAGACCTTTCATCCAAGCGTGACTGTCCCGGTCATCATCAACCCAGGGAAGGGGAGAAAGCGGGTTTCCTGCGTATGCCTGTTTTAACACTTTGGTTTTTCATCTTCCTCCTGCTTCTAAACATAGCTGATGTCTCCTGGGCACTCCTTTTTCATAGAGGGAGGCTTTCATATGGCTGCCCTTCCTGAAGCTCATCACATTCCTGCAGATGGGGGTCCCAGGACATGCCCCCTCCCACTTATCCTTCAGAATGCACAACGCTGAGGACAGGATTGCAGGGCCAGAGGGTGTGTGGGGGCACCTGTGTGCACAACCCTGAGGACAGGACTGCAGGGCCAGAGGTTGCGTGCGGGGGCACCTGTGTGCACAACACTGAGGACAGGATTGCAGGGCCAGAGGGTGCGTGCGGGGGCACCTGTGTGCACAACCCTGAGGACGGGACTGCAGGGCCAGAGGGTGCGTACGGGGCACTTGTGTGCACAACCCTGAGGATAGGACTGCAGGGCCAGAGGGTGTGTGGGGGCACCTGTGTGCACAACCCTGAGGATGGGACTGCAGGGCCAGAGGGTGTGTGGGGGACCTGTGTGCAGGTGTTTGCTGCAGGTGGGGAGCTGGGGCCGCTGGAGGATGAGGCGATGGTGCTCAGAAGCTTCTTTTCAGTGCATTGAAAACAGGCAGTTGGAAGGTGACACTACCTTCCTGAGCTGTGCGGATCTTTATCATTTACTTGGTATTACATATTCCAGCTCACCCTGAACAAACCAATGAACAACAGATAAATATGTCCACTTAGTATCCTACTGTTGAGTCCAAGGAACTTTTACAAAGAGAATTCCTCAAGTTCTAATTCATAGATGAGTAGGGAGTCATACAATACCATGTTTTAGCTGCTTCTGCTAAAAGTAAGTCTCTGAAAACCTGTTTCCTTAGAAATTCCCATCGAGGGAGGCTCTGAGAACACTTCCCACCCAACTCCGTGGGCGTCCATGGGGACTGTTTGAACCGGAGGCATCTGAACCCAGGAGGGCAGCTCCGGGGCTGGACGTGGGTCCTCCAGGAGCATTGCCTTCCTCCTGGGACACACCACGATGGAGGCTCGAACATCAGGAGAAATTCTGCGAGAATGGCAAATCCCGGAAGGTGTGCCCTTTTGTGTCAGAGGAGGATCAGTTGTTTCTGAGTAGCCCCTGCCTGGTTTGGGGTGGCCTGAATGCACCCTGGGGAGAGGGATTATAATACCAACTTTTGTCCACTTGAGGAATATTGATTGAACTCCAACAAAGTGCCTGGCACAAGACCAGCAGCCGAGGAGAAGGCTCTGAGCACAGCAGGAAAAAGTCCCTGCTTGCTGGGAGCTCGTGTGCTGGTGAAGGAAGACGGGCGGACACGCAGGAAATGTGCACCCTGTTAGATCACGACCGTGAGTAGATGAGGACAGGCAGGCCAGGGAAGAGGAAGCAGCAGAATCGGCCTTGGGCGAGGTCGGAAATTTCACAAAGGTGCCGAGGAAGGCGGCGGCTACTTGGACTAAGTTTGTCGGGGACTTTCCTGGGTTGCGCACTGAAAGTCCCAGTCCCAGGAAACCCCTCAGTCCTGGGAACCCCTCAGTCCCGGAAACCCCTCAGTCCCGGGAACCCCCTCAGTCCCGGGAACTCCTCAGTCAGGAAACCCCTCAGCCCCGGGAACCCCCCAGTCCCTGGAGCCCCTCAGTCCCAGGAAACCCCTCAGTCCCGGGAACCCCTCAGTCCCGGGAACCCCTCAGTCAGGAAACCCCTCAGCCCCGGGAGCCCCTCAGTCCCGGGAACCCCTCAGTCCCAGGAACCCCTTTGGTCCCGGGAACCCCCTCATTCCCGGGAAACCCCTCAGTCAGGAAACCCCTCAGTCCCGGGAACCCCTCAGTCCCGAGAACCCCCTCAGTCAGGAAACCCCTCAGTCCCGGGAATCCCTCAGTCCCAAGAGACCCCTCAGTCCCGGAAACCCCTCAGTCCCGGGAACCCTCTCAGTCCCGGGAACCCCCTCGGTCCCGGGAACCCCCTCAGTCAGGAAACCCCTCAGTCCAGGGAACACCCTCAGTCAGGAAACCCCTCAGTCCCAAGAGACCCCTCAGTCCCGGAAACCCCTCAGCCCCGGGAACCCCCCAGTCCCTGGAGCCCCTCAGTCCCGGGAAACCCCTCAGTCCCGGGAACCCCTTCGATCCCGGGAACCCCTCAGTCAGGAAACCCCTCAGTCCCGGGAACCCCTCAGTCCTGGAAACCCCTCAGTCCCGGGAACCCCTCAGTCAGGAAACCCCTCAGTCCCGGGAAACCCCTCAGTCCCAGGAAACCCCTCAGTCCCGGGAACCCCTCAGTCCCGGGAACCCCTCAGTCAGGAAACCCCTCAGTCCCGGGAAACCCCTCAGTCCCAGGAAACCCCTCAGTCCCGGGAACCCCTCAGTCCCGGGAACCCCCTCAGTCAGGAAACCCCTCAGTCCCGGGAACCCCTGAGTCCCAAGAGACCCCTCAGTCCCGGAAACCCCTCAGTCCCAGGAACCCCTTCAGTCCCAGGAACCCCCTCGGTCCCGGGAACCCCCTCAGTCAGGAAACCCCTCAGTCCAGGGAACCCCCTCAGTCAGGAAACCCCTCAGTCCCAAGAGACCCCCTCAGTCCCGGAAACCCCTCAGCCCCGGGAACCCCCCAGTCCCTGGAGCCCCTCAGTCCCGGGAAACCCCTCAGTCCCGGGAACCCCTTCGATCCCGGGAACCCCTCAGTCAGGAAACCTCTCAGCCCCGGGAACCCCCTCAGTCCCGGGAAACCCCTCAGTCCCAGGAACCCCTCAGTCCCAGGAAACCCCTCAGTCCCGGGAACCCCTCAGTCCCGGGAACCCTTCAGTCCCAGGAACCCCTCGGTCTCAGGAACCCCCTCGGTCCCGGGAACCCCTCAGTCCCGGAAACCCCTCAGTCCCGGGAACCCCTTCGGTCCCGGGAATCCCCTCGTTCCCGGGAACCCCTCAGTCAGGAAACCCCTCAGCCCCGGGAACCCCCTCAGTCCCGGGAAACCCCTCAGTCCCGGGAACCCCTCAGTCAGGAAACCCCTCAGTCCCGGGAAACCCCTCAGTCCCAGGAAACCCCTCAGTCCCGGGAACCCTCAGTCCCGGGAACCCCTCAGTCCCGGGAAACCCCTCAGTCCCGGGAAACCCCTCAGCCCCGGGAACCCCCTCAGTCCCGGGAAACCCCTCTGTCCTGGGAACCCCTCAGTCAGGAAACCCCTCAGTCCCGGGAAACCCCTCAGTCCCGGGAACCCCTCAGTCCCGGGAAACCCCTCAGTCCCGGGAACCCTCAGTCCCGGGAACCCCTCAGTCCCGGGAAACCCCTCAGTCCCGGGAAACCCCTCAGCCCCGGGAACCCCCTCAGTCCCGGGAAACCCCTCTGTCCTGGGAACCCCTCAGTCAGGAAACCCCTCAGTCCCGGGAAACCCCTCAGTCCCGGGAACCCCTCAGTCCCGGGAAACCCCTCAGTCCCGGGAACCCCCTCAGTCCCGGGAAACCCCTCAGTCCCGGGAACCCCTCAGTCACGAAACCCCTCAGTCCCGGGAAACCCCTCAGTCCCAGGAAACCCCTCAGTCCCGGGAACCCCTCAGTCCCAGGAACCCCCTCAGTCCCGGGAACCCCCTCAGTCCCGGGAAACCCCTCAGTCCCGGGAACCCCTCAGTCAGGAAACCCCTCAGTCCCGGGAAACCCCTCAGTCCCAGGAAACCCCTCAGTCCCGGAACCCCCTCAGTCCCGGTAACCCCTCAGTCCCGGGAAACC
Organism: Homo sapiens; assembly: GCF_000001405.40. Taxonomy (NCBI): domain Eukaryota; kingdom Metazoa; phylum Chordata; class Mammalia; order Primates; family Hominidae; genus Homo; species Homo sapiens. Next base: position 78,654,979 of record NC_000018.10, read on the forward strand.
CCTCAGTCCCGGGAACCCCCTCAGTCCCGGGAAACCCCTCAGTCCCGGAAACCCCTCAGTCAGGAAACCCCTCAGTCCCGGGAAACCCCTCAGTCCCAGGAAACCCCTCAGTCCCAGGAAACCCCTCAGTCCCGGGAACCCCTCAGTCAGGAAACCCCTCAGTCCCGGGAAACCCCTCAGTCCCAGGAAACCCCTCAGTCCCGGGAACCCCTCAGTCCCGGGAACCCTTCAGTCCCAGGAACCCCTCGGTCCTGGGAACCCCCTCGGTCTCGGAAACCCCTCGGTCCCGGGAAACCCCTCAGTCCGGGAAACCCCTCGGTCCCGGGAAACCCCTCAGTCCCAGGAAACCCCTCAGTCCCAGGAGCCCCTCAGTCCCGGGAAACCGCTCAGTCCCGGGAACCCCCTCAGTCCCAGGAAACCCCTCAGTCCCAGGCAAATGGTGGAGAGCAGGGCAGGTGTGTTTTGGGTGCCACCGTGGGGGATGGGGCAGCTGCCGTGAGGTTGCCCTGGAAGAGCGTTCTGAGCAGCTCTGCACAAAGGAGCCCAGAGCAGCATGCTGTTTACTCCCTCACTGACGCCATAAAACTTATCTGCCTGCGGCCGGGCGCAGTGGCTCACGCCTGTAATCCCAGCACTTTGGGAGGCCGAGGCGGGTGGATCACATGGTCAGGAGATCGAGACCATCCTGGCTAACACGGTGAAACCCCGTCTCTACTAAAAGTACAAAAAATTAGCTGGGCATGGTGGCGGGCGCCTGTAGTCCCAGCTGCTTGGGATGCTGAGGCAGGAGAATCGCTTGAACCCGGGAGGTGAAGGTTGCAGTGAGCCGAGATCGTGCCACTGCACTCCAGCCTGGGCAACAAGAGCAAGACTCCATCTCAAAACAAAACAAAACAAAAAAACAAAAAAAGAAGAAGATGAAAAACCTAAGTAAGGTAAGAGGTCAAGAGAATTCCCCAGGAAAATAGGAAAATATTAAATGTGCTGAATTTTAAAGTAGTTTGTGCCTCAGCGTTGGTTCCTGCAACTGTGCCCATCAAGCTCAAACCATCTCCACTTTTCTCTTTGAAACACCAGCACGACGCACTTCAGCAGCCGTGGTGAGACCCGAGGCTGGGCGGGGAGGTGGTGCTGCCTCTGGTCACATTGCAGAGAGAAGTAAGGGGCTCAGCAGGAAGGCTGGGGCACTGGCCAGCACCTGCCTTCTTCAGAGGACGTTCTGGGTTCATCCCGAGGATGACTGTCTCTCCTGGCTTTCACACTGCTACAAATGGCACCTGCAATTCAACTTCCTGAAATGTAGATGGTGGTGTTTGGTGACTCTCCCAAAGTTTTTTAAATGATCCATTAGAAAACTCACAAGATGAAGCGAAAGCAGCCGGGAGCCCACGACCGGTGTCCATGCCACTCAGTGCTCTGAGTCTGCACTTGGTAGCCCCAAGGACAAGGCCAATGGGAGACGCTCCTGCCCCGGACACAGCTGGCACGGGAGGCTGGAACCACGAGGGTGTCTTCCTCCCTCCTCCCTCGCTCCCACATGCAGGGGACAGCTGGGCATCAGGGGCAGGAAGCCAGACCCCACTGACACGCGTGGCCTGTGAGCACCAGCACCCAGCCATGCCAACTCAGGCTTCCATGTGACCACTGCCTGAGGGTCCCATGCAGCGCCCACCCAGCCTCCTACTGCACCATCCCTGGGAGCCTCCGGGGTGGCCTCTGTCCTCGTGGCGTGTTCCATAGCATGTGGCCCAGCTGGGGCCATGCATGTCTGAAATGCGTAACCAGAAGGTAGTCACCGCCTGATCACACAGCTTCCAGGGGCTGCGTCCATGGCACTAAACCACCCATTAGAAGGTTGAAGAAGCCGCTCGCCAGTCCCCCTTCAATCCAGGCATCCGGCCTGCAGCAGCACCTCAGGGCACTTTGAAGTGGAAGTTTCAAAGGTGACAGAACTTGTATACAGAACAATTAAAGAACTTTCAAAACTCAATATCACAAAAGCAAACAGCCCAGGTTTTAAAAAAAATGGGCAAAATATTTCAACATTTCACCCAAAAAGACATACAGATAGCAAGCACTCACATGACTGGTTATTTTTAAATTGCAAATTAACACCATCCGAGATATAGCTGCACACCTTTGAAATGGTCTATATTAAGACAGATCCTACCCAGTGTTAATGAAGTTTTAGAAGAACCAGAACTTTTATATGTCACTAATGGGAAAGTAAAATAAAAAATGAGGTCTTGTCTGTCCCCCAGACTGGAGTGCAGTGGCACAATTTCAGCTTATTGCAACTTCCACCTCCCAGACTCAAGCGATCCTCCCACCTCAGCTTCCCAAGTAGCTGGGACCACAGGCATACGCCACCACACCTGGCTTATTTTATTTTATTTTATTTTATTTTATTTTATTTTATTTTATTTTATTTTATTTTTTAGAGAGATGAGATTTCACCATGTTGCCCAGAATGGTCTCCAACTCCTGAGCTCAAGCAGTCCACCCGTCTTGGCCTCTCAGAGTTCTGGGATTACAGGCGTGAGCCACCGCATCTGGCTTGCAATCTCTTAAGAAGTTAAACATGTGAGCTATCGTATGATCCAACTTCTCAGTGCCTAGATATTTACCCAATAGAAATGCAAGCACGTGCCCATACAAACACTGTGTGCAGATGTTCATTTTAGTTATATTTGTAATAGCCAAAATCCAGAAACAACCTAAATATCCATGAACTGATGAATGATAACCCAGCACGTGTGCTCAGTAGAGCTCTGCCCTGCGGTGAAAGGAACGAGCCACTGCCGCATGCTGCCGAGTGAGAGGCCACAAAGTCACTGTGCTGAGTTAGAAGCCAGGCCCACAGAAAAGCACTAACTTTCCAATTCCATTCACAGATGAGAGACACGGACGGATGCACAGTTAGAGCAGGGGTTTTCTGGGGACAAAAGTGGAAGGAGGGCCAGGAAGGAACAGAGAAAAGTTTTAGAGGGAAGGAGGATTCACCCTCTTCACGGCAGGGATGGCTTCACAGTTAGACACACGTGTCCACACTTATTACCAAATAACACATGTTAAATATGTGTAGCTTATTGAACGTGACTATACCTCAATAACGCTGTTTTTAAAAGTAGCTTAAATGGTAGGAAAAAATACCTTCACACATTAAAGATGAGGCAACATACTGCTCACAAATCCAGAGAGAGCCATTGTGTCCATGAGGTGTGATGGAGTCCACGCCGTATGCATTGGCCGCCCCAGGCCGCAGCTGTCCACAGCCCACCCCCAGGTCAGGTGCCATAAGGACAGAGCATGGTAGGACAGCAGTTCACTGCCTCGCACAGAGACATTAGGATGAATGTTGGCTCCCCCAGCACCTGGTCAACACTGACTGGTATCTTATTATTTTTTCCACGCCAAATGCTCGATCTGCATCTCCGGTGGTAGTAACACCTACTAAGGCCTTCGATAATTTATGAGAGAAACCATGTTGTTCTCTTTGGTTTCCTTCTCTGTGAAAAAGAACAAGGTTCAAATGACTAATCTGCATGGAACACAAAATAATGATAACAATCCTAATTAACAATTTATATTAATAGAACCTTTTTTCTCGGTAGCTGAACACATGGAAAATGCCGACTTCTTTTGCAGAGAAGGGCAGAGTTGGTGGTGGAGAGAAAGGAGGAGGGGGAGGTGCCCCTGCAGCAGGAGGAAGGGGCTCTGTGCTGGAGCTGCAGAGAGGGAGGCAGTGCAGCCGCGACAGACCCACCCACCCGCCGGTTCGTCCAGGGGTAGGAGGCTTTTTGACATCACAGAAACAAGACAACAGGTAGATCAGGATGGTGGCCCATTTTTTCAGAAGTCCAGTGGCCTTGTGGAAGCATGGCCTAAGCCCCCAGGGTCAACTTTAAAGTAATAGTGATTTTCATCTGTTACCCAGCGTGGGGCTGTGTGGACACAATACAATGAAGGGGACGGTCACCTCTGCCCATCCGCCCCTCAATGCAATGAGGGGGACGGTCACCACTGCCCATCTGCCCCCGACACAATGAGGGTGACGGCCACCTCTGCCCATCTGCCCCTCGACGCAATGAAGGGGACGGCCACCTCTGCCCATCCGCCCCTCGATGCAATGAGGGGGAAGGTCACCACTGCCCATTCGCCATCCGATGCAAGGAAGGGGACTGCCACCATTGCCCTTCCACCCCCCAACACAAGGCCCCACAGGTGAGGCAAAAGTGGCTCTCGGCACATCCTGCCTTAGAAAACAAAGCAATCGCACCTCCACGGCCCACAGGCCGAGAGCACCTCATGGATGTGCAGAGCCAGCCCTGGAACTGTGGTGGCTGAGCTGCCCTTTCCCTGGAGCGGGGAGGGCAGGGGCGTGAGTGTTTCATTCTCTAGTTGGTGCTGCCATGTGCCCCATTGGTAGAATGACAAGCTGCAAGTCTTGACGTTTTAGCAATTAGAAGAAAGAGCCACCTGTTTAGGGCCTGACCCAGGGGTGTTTGGAAAATGCAGCCAGCGCCGTAACTAGCTGTCTCCACACAGATGTCACCCCATGAGAACCACGTCATCCCTGCACCCGGCTTCTCCAAGAGCCTTTGGCAAGAGCCATTGGCATGAGGTTGGGTGGTGTAGACCACATCGTGTCTCAGGGGGGCCTGTTAGCTGTTCCAAAGGACATCCCAGGACACTGTCCTATAGACCTTCCCGAGAGATGTCTCCTTTCTCCCTCAGCTCCTGGCACATCTGCAGACCACCCATGGGCTCTCCTCCACGAGACCTGCCCGCCGGGCACCCACCATCCCCCAGCTGTCCCTGGGAACTCCCCACAGCCACCCTGGGGCATGGGCTTTGTCTGCCCTGTCACCAGATGTTGGCAGGCATGGGCTGGACCACCAGCCCCTCCGGCAGACGGCTGGATGCCGGGACTTCCGACGTGGAGGCTGCGAGGCTGCGGCTGGCCAGGTGGTGGCACTGCTGCCCTGAGGCATCTGTGCCCACTTCCACACAGGCTCCTCGAAGGAGCCCACCAGGCAGCCCCGCGTCCCTGGACGTCACCCTCCTGCCCTCACCACTCCACCTGTGGTGTGCGGCACCCACTGTCGTCCTCAGGGCCTGGACATCAACCTGCACCTGTGGTGTGTGGCACCCACTGTCATCCTCAGGGCCTGGACATCACCCTCCTGCCTTCACCATTCCACCTGTGGTGTGCGGCACCCACTGTCATCCTCAGGGCCTGGATGTCACCCTCCTGCCCTCACCATTCCACCTGTGGTGTGTGGCACCCACTGTCGTCCTCAGGGCCTGGATGTCACCCTCCTGCCCTCACTGTTCCACCTGCGGTGTGTGGCACCCACTGTCGTCCTCAGGACCTGGACGTCACCCTCCTGCCCTCACTATTCCACCTGTGGTGTGTGGCACCCACTGTCGTCCTCAGGCCCTGAACGTGAGCCTCCAGCCATTCCCCATGGGGCTTCCCAGCTGCAAAATGCACCGTGCTGCTGAGGACAGCCAGGGAGGCTCCTCTCGCCACTTGGCCTCTCCCCACTGCAAGACAAAACCAGTGCCTACAATCGTTTCAGAGTCTCGGGGAAACTTTGTGATTTAAGACCTTGTCAATGCAACTTATCTTCCTAGTTCTTGTGGAAATGAAGTTTTCAAACATGTAATTGTGCCAGGCTACTGCCAGATTGCCAGGGAGTTCCGTTTTCTCCAGCTCTGAAAGCTGCATGTGACACTGCATGCCAGTCTCCCACCCGCTTTCTCACTGTGAGCGACGCCCTTCTCTCCCTCCTGCCCTCCAAGAATGCCCATCTTGCCCACACTAGCTTCAAGTGGCCTAAAGCGAGGCCCATCCATCCCACAGGACCGGGAGTCCCACAGCCTGCACTGCTGTGAATAATGCAGCTTCTCTCCCATGGCCAGTTGAGAAGGTCCCAGTCTCTCCAGGCCGCATGCACGAGGGCTTTGCTCCTCATGGTTTCCATCTGTCACATCACACGTCTAAGCAAGAAGTCATTGCCATGCAATCCGTCAGCGTTAGTTTTTTCAGCTAAAATAGACTGTGAGGCCCCTAAAGACAAGCCTGAGATGTCTCCTTCCTTCTGTCATCCATCCTACTAGGGAATTAGCACCACCAACAATGCGGGCAGAAAGAAATAGGACCTTGTCGTAGAACACGTCGCGGGTGACGAGAGAAGGGAACATATGTCAAGATTCTAAAATACATTGAAGCCTCCTGTAACCTGGGCCTCGTGTGTAACCCGTGTGATGGCAGCCAGTGTCGAGAAGGTTCACAAACCCCTCCCATCTGTAGCACACACTAAACCCACCAGCCAAAGCAGGAATGATGCATGGCTGTGCGTGAAGCCCCGTGATTATAGCAAGCGGTACAAAGACCCTCAAACTCCAGAGCAGAATGGAGGTCCGGCACCCACCCCAGCAGACATGGATAAAGGCACAGGAAGGTGCAGAACGGAGGTCAGGCACCCACCCCAGCAGATACAGTCACAGGAAGGTGCAGAGCCCAGGTCAGGCACCCGCCCCTGCAGACATGGATAGAGTCAACTCCAGTCTGGGGATGGCTGCCTAGTAGAACGGGTGACCAGGTACAGGATCATGGCCACGAGCCACAGGACCTCCTTGTCCCTCCTCCAGTGAGAGAATGGCCCGAACTCACCTTCCCTCAACCCACCTCCCACTTTTGTTGGGTGGAGCAGGAAGAGGAGGGAGTCTGGGGATCCAGTGTTGAGGGCAGCAGAAAAGGGTCTGAAATATATGGACTTGTGAATATGAGACCAAAGAGCTTCAAAATCTATTTTTGATAAATTTTAAAACATTGCCTCAGGAAGTAAAAGACCAACATATGCACCTTAGAGAGTTACCCTCTATAGCTACCTTCATTTCTTCTTTTTTTAATTCACAAGGAACTGTGTAGATCCATTAAAAGTATTCAAACAGGCCAGGCATGATGGCTCACACCTGTAATCCCAGCACTTTGGGAGGCCAAGGCAGGCAGATCACTTGAGGTCAGTAGTTTGAGACCAGCCTAACCAATACAGCGAAACCCTGTCTTCACCAACAATACAAAAATCAGCTGGGCGTGGTGGTGCACGCCTGTCGTCCCAGCTACTCGGGAGGCTGAGCCAGGACAATCACTTGAACCCGGGAGGTGGCAGTTGCAGTGAGCCAAGATGTCACCACTGCACTCCAGCCTGGGCAACAGAGCGAGACTCTGTCTCAAAAAATTAATTAATTAATTAATTAATATTCAAACTAAAACCCACCATCATAAACTACTCCAATAAGAAAATAACAGGAGAATTCAAAACAGTTCTGTCATCTGCCTGCATTTGAACAGAGAAGAAGCTTGATTGTCATTGATTTCCTTATAGCTTTGTACCAGAAAGAGGTACAGGTACCACACATTAAAGTTCAAGTAAAGGAACGATTGTTGGCCTGTTTGTTTGTGGAGGTGTCACGTGAATTGTATTTTTAAAATGCCATTGCAGTCAAGTCTTTTTCTCTTTCTTTTTCTTTTTTTGAGATAGGGTCTCGCTCAGTCACCCAAGCTAAAGTGCAGTGGCAGGATCATAGCTCGCCACAACCTTGAACTTCTGGGCTCAAGTGATCCTCTGGCCTCAGCCTTCCAAGCAGCTGGGAGGAAGGATAGAAATGAAAGATGCTGTGCAGATGCTTCTACACTCAGAGCTACCCAAGCTATAGAGGCCGTGAGATGTGATTCTCTCCCCCTTGGAGAGCTCAGAGGGCGTAGGTCCCCTGCACAAGTTCTCAGGCCAGTGACCCAGGTCGGATCCTCACCCAGCCATTCTGCACATGAGTGTGATCATGTGCTTAGCGTCGGGACTGGACATGTTAAGGTGTGTGGATGGGAAGTAAAGCCTGAGGGAGACCTGCCACACGTGACAGGTGTGTAAAGCAGAAAAGAGAGGCAACATCCAGAATGTTCTGTGGGCTTCACAGGGTCAGGCTAAGAACCTCCGAGTCATTCTGCAGCTAATGAGGAATCACAGGCCAACTCAGAGCCGGAGCAGCTGTGACCAGCCCTGTTCTTCAAGACAGAGATGGCAGGCACATCAGGGGCGCCATGCAGGGAAAGGGACGGGACCCCAAGGTGGCCGGCAATCAGGGACAGTATGGCCCTGGGGGAGGGCCGGGTGGGAGGCGCCCACCCCGCCTATGACCAGAGATTGAGAAAAATAATAACTGGGAAAAACACATACCCAACTTCTTTCTTTTCTTCTTATGTCTAGAATCTAGTCTGCAATAGCATTAGGATTTTATGTTAAGGTTCTCAACGAAAAGAAGTTAACTCCCCAGGATAATTTCACTAGGGAAGTCTGAGGACGCTGTTCTGTGTGCCAAGCAAACTCCTAACCTCAGCTAGGCTGGGCAAACTCCTAACCTCAGCTAGGCTGGGCAGATCCCAGCCTTGGTCAGCCTCTTCTTCAGTTCATCACCAGGCAGGCAGTAGACTGTTCAAAGTAAAGATATTATTTTCCCATAAGATTCCCATAAGACTTCTCAAAGTATAAGATATACAACTATCCCCGGATTTTTTTGCTTTTTGGTCTAGGAAATCCAATTTTAAACATGAAGTCAGGATTATAAACAAATCCTTCTGATGCTTTCTTCTCTTTGTTACCCCTCTCCCCATTTCATTGCTTACTTAGATAGGAAGAAATGCAGAAGGAAAGATGACAAGAAAGAAACCGTCTGGAGTTCACTTCAAGAGACTCGGTGTCTTTATTTTTGAAAACGATCAGAATCCAGGGAAGAAGCTGTGAAGTTGCCTGAATATGAACTGCAGTTTTGGCCCAGGGCGACTTTTCAGAGGATAAATACCCGGGAGGTTTAATAAAATGAGTGACAATTGTCAAAGGCTAAATGTAGAGGGATCTGCATACCAACAACACAGACACAGGAAATTTCTTACGGATCCTGGACCGTCCTCCTGTGGGGTACCCCGCACTCAGGTCCTCCATCCCCCTAAACGTCCGCTCTCAGGGGACCTCCTCACACACTGGCCACTGCTTCTCTCCTGGACACAAAAGGCCACTGTCCCGATGCCAGGAGGGTTGGAGGTGTGAGCAGCCTCAGAGGTGGACACAGCTTCAGGGGCAACAGGACACTCAGGGAAGAAAGAAATACGTAAACTCTCGCACACTCTCTGCTAGAGGAGAGTGCGGAGGTGACGGGCTCCCATAGCAGGGTGTGGCCCCCAGCCCCGCTCAGCTGCCTCCGCCACCGGCGTTCACTGGCCCCCATTCTCACACCCCAGCGGGTCATCCCAGAAGTGCTCAAATCCCAGCAGTCGCCACAGCAGCTAAGCAGCACTGTGCGCTCCTGAGAATGGCTGTCCTGGCAACAGGATGGAGGCTGAACGCTAGCATTGTAATCTTAGTTTATCAAAGCACTTCATTAAATTTCCCCCAAAATTCTAGAGTTTCAGCTGTAAATAAAATTAACAATTTTTATTTAAACATTTAATATGTTATCATCTGAATTGTACACTTTAATTTTAGTCATTTTGAAATATTTTATAAGAAAAATAACTTTGAAGCATTGCTGAATTTGCTTTTTTATTTTTAACATTTATGTTTTTGATAAAAACTATATTAAAATTTGTTATACCAAGCGGGTACAGTGGTTCACGCCTGTGATCCCAGCACTTTGAGAGACCAAGGCAGGTGGATCCCAAGCTCAAGAGATCAAGACCATCCTGGCCAACATGGTGAAACCCCATCTCTACTAAAAATACAAAAATTAACTGGGCATGGTGGCACGAACCTGTAGTCCCAGCTACTCAGGAGGCTGAGGCAGGAGAATGGTTTGAACCAGGGAGATGGAGATTGCAGTGAGCCGAGATTACACCACTGCACTCCAGCCTGGCGACAGAGCAAGACTCCATCTCAAAAAAAAAAAGAAAGAAAGAAAGAAAGAAAGAAAAAAGAAAAAGAAAAAAATTGTTATGCCTTGGATACAATATTTTACTTGTCAGTCCTTTAAATCAGGGGTTTCAAAATATTTGCTGAAAAGGCTGAGTCATCAATATTTTAGGCCTGGTGGCCACAGCCTCTGTCGCAGCCATTGACTCTGCAGAGCGGAGAGGAGGCAGCCATAGATGATACATCACAAAATGGGAATGGCCATGTTCCAATAAAACTTTACTTACAAAACAGGTGTCTAGTCCAAGGGCGGCTGACCCTGAGTCCATCATTACTCAATGGAAGATAACTTATGTGACAACTTTAATTATAAAAAAATAAGTAATTTCATTGAAATAAAGGCCTAACAAATACATTTTACATATTAAATATAAAATGATTAATGGATTGTCATATGTTTTTGTTATTATTCACCCAAAACTCATGGCCCTAGCAAGGAAACTTCGAGACGTGCTCCACTGTTATCAACTTGAGCTGTCTTTGAAACTTGCTGTTTCAGGCCTGTATTTTTTACATTTATTTTTCTATTTCATCATCATGATGGTCCACAGGTGAAGGCAGGAAAATAGGAGCATGAGACGAACCCGCAGCATTTAGCTGGGTCAGTATGGTGTTTGGCAGAAGCCGCGTAGGCTTCCGTGTGCTCTGTGATCCCGCCCTCCGACTGTGAGGAGTGCGCCTGTACAAAGGTTCAAACGCACTGTTTCCTGGGGCCACACTGAAGAAATTAACAGGAAGTCCACATGAGAAGTGAAACATTCTTCCCAGGGCACCGGACTTGTCTCTCACTGGTTTTGGGGCTCCTGCCTCCTCCAGTATGATGTTTTTCCAGAACTAGATCAAGAAGACCTAGAGCCGGATGAGCACTCAGCGAGGCTGTTTCCGGGTGTGTCTCACCGCATCACAGAAACCACCAAACAGGCGTCACCGTGGAGGGCATGTGGCTGGGAAATGAAACATAGTTTGCTTTTGACGAAGCCAAAGTCGGAAAATTAATTTTTCAATGTATATTTCCTCTCTAAGTCAGTCTTTGCCAATGAAATTTTGAGATAACTAGTAAATTCTCCCTTAAAATATTTCCCCCTCATAATGTGTACAACTGGCTGGAAGTGGATTCACGATGTTTAAGAAAATGGGCAAAAGCATGTTTCTACCAGGATAATTCAAACCTCGACCTCGCCCACTCCCCGAGCGGTTATTCTCGAATTCACACATGTGCAGTATTTTCAGCGCACTTTCGAATGAGGAAACCTGGAAATAGGAAAAGTGGCTTTTTTAGTAAGTATTTAAATACTTTCATTAATGCAAAAGAATCAGATAAACTAACTCAGCCTTCAAAATATTTTTCCCTGAATTATTCAATTTAACTCCTTTATGAAATTAAATCAAATAATTGACAAATCTACTTTTTTTTTTTAAGTAAACACCTTCCATCACAAGCTTTTATGGGAAATCTACATACATGATTTTAGAAGGTAAATTTCTAGATTTACCCAAACCCAAATTAGGTTTGCAAAAATTACCAAAAAAAAAAAAAAAAAACAAAGTTATTATTTCCTTGGTGAAACCTTAAAGCTAGCATCCCAAAATAATTTTAAGATCAGTAATTTTTTAAAAAACAATATCTGTCTTAAATAGTGTTTCCTACAAGCAGATCCTGAGAGGGGGATGTGGGACCACATGCTGTAGGGAAGAACCAAGAAGAAACCCCTTCGAGGGTGGGGTGTGCAGGAGAGGAAGGGGGGCTCCTGGCGAACTGGGTCTCAGGACAAATCCAGCCCAGAGCACAAAGCCAAAGTGCTTTTGCAGCTCGAACCCTGCTCTGAAGTGCCTTGCAGTCGGTGCTGGCCATTGCCTGGGCTGTGGGAGAAGAGGGCCTCCTTCTGCAGGGCAAGTGCCCTCGCAGGCCAAGGGCAGGCACCAGAGAACGGGCCTGGGCCGCCTCCATCCACAGCCACACTGTCCCTGGGAGGCAGGGGCAGCCAAGGGCTTCCTCAAGGAGAAAATGCAGGAGTCTGATGGAAGGAGAAATGAGAACTGGGTAGGGGACCGAGGTGGACATTGAACAGCGAAGTAGCTGGGGCAGCAGCAGGGTCAGGCACGGAGCAACCCAGGATTCTGAGAGGACATAGCTCGTGGAGGGGGAAGAGAAGGTGCCAAGTGGGTGAACAAGGCCGGATCCTGATGTGGGTCACCCTCGGGCCTGGAGTGGGGCAGGAGGTGGCACAGCAGGACTCACACTCAGGGTGGAAGAGCTGAGCACTGGGCACATACGGGCCCCCAGGCCCTCTCATAAGACAGGAACATTGGAAAAGACACACAGGAGAGGATGAGGAGGGGCTACTGTTCACTGTTTAACTAAAGTCACTTACAATTTATTCATCATACACTATAAATTGTTTCAAAAGTCAAAATTCAGTTCGATTCCAAGCCATAAGGAATAGGGAAATTGTTTACATACAAGAGAATAATACCTGAGTCCAAACTGAAATTCAAAGTTGCCTTTTTGTAAAAGCAAGGAACAAGTTACCGCCTAAAACATTAAACCTTAAGCATTTAAATAGCCTTTAGAAACATGGAGTGGAGAGCAAGAGGGGGCCGATGGGGCTGCCATGTTTTGAACGTTTGTGTCCCTCAAAAATCCATGTTGAAAGGGAAGCTCCGAAGCAGCAGTATTAAGAGGTGGGGCCCAGGAAGTGATGAGGCCCTGAGGGCTGCTGGAAGGAAGCAGCTGGGCTCTTCCCACCCTCCCCTTTGTCTCTCATCCTTCCCCCATCCCCCCCATCCGCCCTCCCACCCCTCTCCCATCCACCCTCCCACCCCTCCCCATCCACCCTACCCCTCTCCCATCCACCCTCCCACCCCTCCCCATCCATCCTACCCCGCTTCCCCATCTGCCCTCTCACTCCTCCCCATCCACCCTCCCACCCTTCCCCTTATCCGCCCTCTCATCCTTCCCCCATCCACCCTCCCAACCCTACCCCATCCACCCTCCCCCATCCACCCTCCCACCTCTCCCCTAGCCACCCTTCCATCTCTTCCCCCATCTGCCCTCCCATCCCACCCCCATACTCCCTCCCATCCGTCCCCAATCCACCCTTCCTCCCTCCCGTGTAAGGACAGGCTCTCATCCCCTCAATGGGATCCAGCAAGAGGTGCCATCTTGACACAGAGACCAAGCCCTCACCAACACCAAGTCTCATCCCCTCAGAGGGTCCAGCAAGAGGCACCATCTTGACACAGACACCAAGCCCTCACCAACACCAAATCTCATCCCCTCAGGGGCGTCCAGCAAGAGGCGCCATCTTGACACAGAGACCAAGCCCTCACCAACACCAAATCTCATCCCCTCAGGGGCGTCCAGCAAGAGGCGCCATCTTGACACAGAGACCAAGCCCTCACCAACACCAAATCTCATCCCCTCAGGGGCGTCCAGCAAGAGGCACCATCTTGACACAGACACCAAGCCCTCACCAACACCAAATCTGCCAGTGCTTGGATCTTGGCTTCCCAGCCCCCAGAACTGTGAGAGATAAATTTCTGTTCCTTATAAATGACCCAGTCTCAGGTGTTTTGTTGCAGCAACACAAATAGGCAGACACAGAGAGGAGGCACGAGCTGCTTCTCCCAGGCCCGGGGCTGGCATCCTCAAGGGAGCTTGATGCTGGGGCCCACTGGGGAGGGGTCATTTTCAGGGGATCCCTGGTGAGGTTTGCATGGAGCCAGCTTCAATCAGATGAAAATGACCAGCTCTTTCCAAATTTCCTACAGCAAGGCCTACCCATGACACTCAGCTTCAGCCAACTCTCCTGTCTCTTCAATGTCATGAGGCCACAAAAGACCCACAAATGCAAAGCAAGAGTGTTGTCTGATTCAACTCAGACTCTCCTGAACATGTGGAGATACAGGAAGGAGATGGATTGGAGATGTGTTTCATGTGAAAAATCAAAGATTCAATTAAGCTCAAATGGAAAGGAGAAAATTCAGAGGGAAGCCAAAGCTCTTTCCCCCGTTAAAACCTAAGTCCTTGGCTGGACACAGTGGCTCATGTTTGTTGTAATCCCAACACTTCGGGAGGCCAAGGTGGGAGGATAACTTGAGGCCAGGAGTTTGAGATGACCCTGGGCAACATAGTGAGACACTATCTGCAAAAAATAAAAAACGTAGCTGGGCACGGTGGGGGGCACCTGTGATTCCAGTTACTTGGGAAGCCGGGGCAGGACGATCTCTCAAGCCCAGGAGTTTGAGGCTGCAGTGAGCTGTGATCGCACCACTGTACTCCAGTCTGGGCAACAGAGTGAGACCCTGTCTTGAAAAACAAAACAAAAACCTAACTCCTCTTAGGAAACTATACCCTTTCTACACTAGATTTTTTTTAACAACCTTGTAACCATTTGCTCTCGTAATTTTTGCTCTGAGACTTTATTCCCAAATTATTCTGCAAAATCCTCTGTGATACTCAAATCATGAAAAAACTACATAAAAATGCTTTTCCCAAGGCATGATTTTCTATCAAAAGATTTGGAGCACGCAGAGTCCCAGACATTAAACTGCTCCCAGCATTGAAGAGCCCTCCTGATCTGGAGCAATAAAAGCATTTTTGTTAAAGTTTGCAAGACTCACTTTGAATGTCTTGCCTTTTGTTGATTGAAGCCATATTTCTGGTGTCATTTTAATAGTTTCTGTGTGCATTTTCATTATCTATTAAACTTGTAGTTTGATTATAGGTATAATGAATAATTTTTCTGTCATTTACATTCTAAAAGAAATGCATTCATGAAATAGCATGCAATCTGACTTCACCATAAATTCTCTTCTTCGACATTCATTTGGTCAGATTCACAAAGGCTTAATGTCAGATTATTATTTCTGGCATTCACTCATCAGCAACTCCCAAAAAAACCCCACCTTAAGATGTGATTCTCTGATACTCACACCAGAAATAATTATCATGACATCCGCTGGCTGATGGAGGCTTTTCATTTTGTTCTTCCACAACACATTTAGTCAAACGTGGGTACCAATTGCAAGATCACAGAAGCTGTATTTTTTGCTACAATGAGAGCATATACTCTTACTCAACAGTACTAAGGATTTAGTAGATGAAAAGGTGAGACTTACAAGGTCCACTTCAACCTACAGGGCTGAGCTATATGGCTGCCTTCCACACACCCCCAAGATTTCAACCTATTGCCTGAGAGGTTCGCTGTGGCCTAAAGTGAAGTTACATTAAAAGACTGCACAAAATAAAGTATCTACCAAATACCTTTTCTTTCTGGGTTAAATTCTTTATCTGCAAGGCTGGACTCAGCATGCTCGGGGGAATGAGTAGGTCTACATGAACGGTGAGCCTCCAGGAACGCAGCTTCTCCACAGATTTTATCTTTTTCACTTTATATTTGAATCAGAATGTACTGATGGGTGATCATTTGGATGCAGAAGTGCAAGATTCCACTCATTCTTCACTTCTCTCTCCTGAGATAACGGCCACCTGCCCATGCACACATGACATAAAATACATAATAATAAATACCAGTAGTAAAGAAAAATATTAACTTTTCTTAAATACTAGCTTTTCTTGTATTGTTTTCCTAAAAATGCAAACTTCTCTTTACAGCTTATGTAAAAGTCCCAGGAAATGTTAAGCAAAGTTTGAAGTGGAGGATCTTTTTTTCCTACCAAACACCGCCCCCTCCCCACCTCCATCCCTCCTTCCCCACCCACCCCACACCACCCACAGAAAATGCCTTGGTCACCTGGAGCCTGGGGCAGAGTTTAAAAGAGCAATGAAAGTTCCCAGTACCCAGAGGGAAAAAGAGCTCCCCTACACCCCAGGAAGTTTCAAAGATTCTCCCCAAGGAAAATCAGCCTGGAATACTCACCCTGAAGGTTATGGGCAGGCCGTACACCCCAGGAAGATTCAAAGATCCTCCCTGAGGAAAATCAGCCTGGAATACTCACCCTGAAGGTTATGGGCAGGCATGGAAGGCCCTGTCTTTCCAAACCCGCTGTGGCAGGGACGGTGGGGAGAGCTGTGTTCTCCTCTTGGAAGGCGGCTCGGTGCTGCCCACTGCTGTGGTCCGTTTATCAGCCCTGGAATTGGACATTAATTAGCACTTTATTTGCTGTTGTGCTCCTTTTTCTGCAAATATTTCCTCTGAGGCCACAGCAGCCATTTCCTGCCCTTTCATCTTTCCCCACTCGTAATTGAACCCTGGGCCTCCTCACCTGGGGACACTGAATAGCCGGGCGGGGGAGGGAGCTTGAAGGGAGGCCCGTCTTCTCTCTGATCACAGCAAGAGTGAAACCTGCGCAAGGGGGCTCCTGGATAAAGGGAATAAAGTTGAGATGTGACAAACTGAATTCTGCACGCTGCGTGTTTTTAAGCAGGGGAAGCTTAGGAGTTTGGCATTTTCAGTTTGGGAGGCGTTCATACTTGCAGTTGTGCCGTGGTAGTAAATGGAAACAGTGAACAACACTAATGATGTGGTAACAGTGTCCCAGGCTCACTTTCCACACCCCTTCCACACTCAGGCAGCCTGGCTTCAGGTGTTTCTGAGAGGAGATCCAGGCTGAGTGTGTTCAGGGCATCCTCAGAGACCGCACGGCTCTCGGGGTGGGGGCAGCTGGCTTTTTGGACCCAGGAAGTTGAACCCAAAGTTACACTGGCCTCGAAATGAAGGAACAGCACATAAATAGCTCATTAAGAAGGTCACAGAGCCACAGCAACCACGCAATTGTCAAACGCAGTGGAAGTGGACCCGCTGCACAGATGGACACCCGTCACATGGACTTTCTGGGCTTGCAGGAGGAAGGTCGCAGACAAATGCTCTGTCCATGGTCCATGAAGCCACGTGGTCCTGTGTCGTACCCCGGAGCTCCGAGGGTCCTCACGCATCCTCTGGAAAACAGAAAACAAAACACAAAGTCACTGGGGTCATGGCGACCCAGTTTGATATCACACCCTCAAGTGGTATCCAACAGTGTTCACACAGGTAAATGCCCCAGTGTTCATTCCAGGTCAAATAATTTACTAAACCAGCTATGAAAAATGCCAGGAGATGACCCCTTCTCATTCTGAAGACGTCCAATTCAGGTATGAGGAGAGCGTCAGAAATAGAACAGAATGTGGATTGGGCATGGTGGCTCACGCCTGTAATCCCAGCACTTTGGGAGGCCGAGGCGGGCAGATCACGAAGTCAGGAGATCGAGACCATCCTGGCTAACATGGTGAAACCCCGTCTCTACTAAAAATACAAAAAATTAGCCGGGCGTGGTGGCGGGCGCCTGTAGTCCCAGCTGCTCGGGAGGCTGAGGTAGGAGAATGGCGTGAACCTGGGAGGCGGAGCTTGCAGTGAGCCGAGATCACACCACTGCACTCCAGCCTGGGCGACAGAGCGAGACTCTGTCTCAAAAAAAAAAAAAAAAAAAAAAAAAAAGAAATAGAACAGAATGTGTTTCTTGCTTCATCTCTCAGGCATTCCCCCACAAACACAAAAACATGGAGGGGATCCAGGGAGGCAACTCCACCAATCATTTTGTTAAAACATGAAAGTTGCAAGGACCACTGCCCACCAACGAGGAGAAAGTTCTCGTCAATCATATTAACCACTATTATTTCAATGTGGAAAGTTTCATAGTGAATAAGAGTTTATGCAGTGCCTCTTTATCTCCTTAGATCTGAAAATAGTTAAGAAACTCCAGTAAAGGTTTATTTTTCTTTTGATCTTAGTCATATGAAATAAGCCATATGTAAGGCCATTCCCATCTGAGGGTTCACAAATTTCCTCATCTAATGCAGTTCTGCCCAGGGAAGGCCGCATGAATTATTATATTAATGTAAAAATGGTAAACACCCTTTTAGTACAAAAGGACATGTAATCTGAAGTACTATTCTTTCCCTGTTTTCCATTTTCCAGAAGCGACTTTAACTTGGACTTGACAAGACAGGCAGTTCTTGGCCATCAAAGAAAGGAATGAGAAGCCAGGTGCACAACACACTTCTCACGGCACCCCCTGGGGAGCAGATCCTCCTGGGCGAGCAGAACCGACGCCAACTACCGGAGCAGCCCAGGACTGCGCTGGCCACAGAGGCCTCCCAGCAGGTCACAGGGGCTGAACGAGGCCTGGGCTTGGAGCGTGGCCCTCGAGGGGGCTGGCACGGGTTTGCAGCTGCTGCTGCAGTTTGAGTGTTTGGCCCCTTCCACCACCTATTTGTCAGACACCAGCCCCACCCTCGGGAAAGCACTCCCACTTCTCTGTCCGCACAGCAAACTTCTCTGGAGAAGCCTGAGTTCACATGTGGAGCCGCTGCCCCCGGATTCTGCACGGTGGGTCTCTTCCAGCCCCCTCTGCTCCCTTAGGCTGGGTGCCGTGGCCCCCACCAGCCCCTGGGGTCCTGCTGTGGGTCACCTCTCAGGATGCGTGCTCTCACACCAGAATCCACGCTCCATGCTATAGACAGAGCCGTGTTCCCCAAAGAGATGTGTGGACGTCCTACCCACTGTGCCAGGGATGTGACTGTTTGGAAACAGGGCCATCAAATGCCATCAGTGAGTTAAGACGAGGCCACAGTGGAATGTCAGGTGAGTGGCCACTTCATGAAACGAGGGAAATGTGGGTGCAGACACCAACACCCTGGGAAGACAGGGCTGGACTGAGGCTTCTGCAAGCCCCGGAGCCGGAGGACCAGAGCTGGGGGAGGCAGGGAAGGGTCCTCCCTGGAGCCTCCAGAAGGAGAACAGTGAGGATAAATTTCTGTGGTTTAGACCGTCTGGTCCATGGTGCTGGGCACAGCAGCCCCAGGCCCCTCATGCCCCACCATGGGCACTGGCACTCCTCTTGGCCCTCCTCTGGGAGCTGCATCCAGGCAGGGTCTGTGCAAAGGGACCACGGGACCACTCTCCCGTCCATAGTCACAGTGGCACTAGCAACACAGGCATTTGTGTCTGGATGTCTCTGTTCAGCCTCAGTCCCAGCTCCTGGGGAGGCTGGGGGGGAGTCTCGGATAGTTAATGCCACACTCAGCGCAGAAGAGCCTCTGCCAGGACACGAGCACATGGAGTGACACGCTGCTGCCCCTCTCTCCAGGTTCCTAGGAGCTCACGCGGCTACCGCTCTCCAGCCCTCATGCACGTGGACCCTGGTGGGACAGACTGGTCTGTGCTGCTGCTCCACCACCTAGGCTCAAACCGCAGCCCCCACACCCCTCTCAGGATTCCCCGCCATGGGGTCAGCTCCTGAGGGCCCCGTTTGTGTCTGTCCACCCCTCAGCAGGTAGTCGGGCCGCACTGGTAAACAATTGCCAAACTGAGCCACAGCCCTTTGAAGTAAGCAGATCAAAGTTGTATTACCTCTAGATGAGGAAATGAGGTTTAAGATATCACATAGTTTACAGTTAAGACCCTCTAAGGAGGAGCTCTATTCTTACACATCTTTGTGTCCTGACTTTGTACATTCCCTGGGTGACAACCAGCAAGGTGGGGGTAAGGAACGGCGCTGGGCACCAGCTCACTCGCCTCCCTCCCCTAAGTGCCTGGGAAAACGCACGATGAAAATTACTTGGAGCTGCAGAAGAGACTCGAGTTCCCTCCCATCAAAGAGCTTCCATTATTTTTTTTTTTTTGAGATGGAGTCTTGCTCTGTCACCCAAGCTGGAGTACAGTGGTGCGATCTCAGCTCACTGCAACCTCCACCTCCAGGGTTGAAGCGATTCTCCCACCTCAGCCTCCTGAGTAGCTGGGATTACAGGTGCATGCCACCACGCCGAGCTAATTTTTGTATTTTTAGTAGAAACGGGGTTTCACCATGTTGGTCAGGCTAGTCTTGAACTCCTGACCTCGTGGTCTGCCTGCCTCGGCCTCCCAAGGTGGTGGGATTACAGGTGTGAGCCACCACTCCCGGCCAAAGACCCTCCATTCTAAGATGAGTGACATTTACAAGGATTCATGCAAACTGAGATGCTTAAATGAAAACGTGACTGTTCATGGTCCATGTCATTTTATGGCATCATTCTTCCTCCAAGTGGATGGAGTTTCTCCTAGGGCAGAACTCTTACTGCCTGACACCCCTGCCTCTCTGAGAGCAGGAAGGAAACCCATTGTTCACCTCCAGCCCTTTTCCATCTTCCTTATCTCAAGGTTTTGTGGGAGGTTGGAGTTTTTTTTTTTTCCGGATGGGGGAAGTGGGGGTGTACCACTCAGACCAGGAAAACACCGAGATACCTGCCTGGGTTTGCAGAGCCGTCTCACAAGACCTGAGTGTTCCCCAAAAATCAAAAGTCTGTGTCCTTAGAGGCTGCAAACTCCTCACTTCACTACCACATCCCACTGCTGCTGCCCACCTCAGGGTCTTGATGCTCATGGGGACCAAGAACACAGCTTTGGCCAGGTCAGCTCCCATTAGAGGAGGCCAGGACGCCCTGGAGAACACTCTCTTGGGAATACAGGGGCGGGAGCAAGGGCAGGGTCCCCTGGCACACCCCGATGGTGCTGAGAGCATCCCACACTTTCCAGGAGATGTGCACACAAGACAACACGGTGCAGAAGGTGCCGCCTGGAGGCCCAGCCAAGCTCCGCTGCAAGAACTAGTTTTGCAAACTAGACCACTCACCCTCCTTCCAAAGAGGGAAGTAAGGAACCCAGGAAGGACCGTGATTGGCCTGGGCTCTTGGGGCGAAGGTGTGATTCAGCACAAGGCCCTTAGGAGCCCGTGGCCTCTGCTCTCCCACCCTTCCTCTGTTTGTTTCTACACTAACTTATTTTTTCTTTCTCTACAGAATGCAAACAGTAGCAGATAGAAGGGCTTGGGATGCGGTGCCGTGGAAGGGAAAGTTGGGAATTTAAATCCAGGCCATCCAGAGCTGGTCCTGGTTCAGCCTGGTAAAGACAGATCACTTCCCTTTCCTGAGCCTCCATTTATTTATCTTAAATACAGACGGTGCTTGAGTCACGGATGTCCCGAACGTTCGAGCTCGAAGGAGCCTCAGCCATTGGGTGTCCCACCTGCCCACCGTTCACTCAGGAAGCCGAAGCCCAGAAGAGTGAGGTCTCAAAGTTCACAGCACGTGGCCTAGAATTCAGGGGTGCAGAGCTCCTGCTTGGTAACTCATCCCCTGTGCGGTGATGCTTCTGATCCCACAGCAATGCCTGCTTCTGCGAGGCTGGTCCAGGGCTGGAACGGAGCCCTGTGCCGTGATGCTTCCGATCCCACAGCAATGCCACGCTCCTCCAGAGCTGGAGCAGATTCCGATCCCACAGCAATGCCACGCTCCTCCAGGGCTGGAGCAGATTCTGATCCCACAGCAAGGCCGCGCTTCTCCAAGGCTGGAGCAGATTCTGATCCCACCGCAATGCCGCGCTTCTCCAAGACTGGAGCACATTCTGATCCCACCGCAATGCCGCATTTCTCCAAGGCTGGAGCAGATTCCGATCCCACCGCAATGCCGCATTTCTCCAGGGCTGGAGCAGATTCCAATCCCACAGCAAGGCCGCGCTTCTCTAAGACTGGAGCAGATTCTGATCCCACCGCAATGCCGCACTTCTCCAAGGCTGGAGCAGATTCTGATCCCACAGCAATGCCGCATTTCTCCAAGACTGGAGCAGATTCTGATCCCACAGCAATGCCGCATTTCTCCAAGGCTGGAGCAGATTCTGATCCCACCGCAATGCCGCATTTCTCCAGGGCTGGAGCGGAGCACACGCTGAGATGCATTTGGAGTCTTTGTGACCTAGTGTGGACTCCTCGCAAGATTAGTGAAGCATATTGATCCACGCATCTGGTGGAATTTTCGGCACTGCCCTGCTGTATCCCCACCTGTGTCTTCACCATGATGGAACCCTGGACCCACATCCTACCTTCTTCAGTAAGAAGAGCTGCCAGCAGCAGGAGGCAGCCACGTGAGCAACGGATTTGCTGAGCCCATCCCACACCCGCAGGACTCCTTCCCGAGGTGCAGCCTCTGGAGTGGGCTCCCAGTCTCCTGAACACCTGCTCACACTGTCTATTTAGCCCCCACAAGAAAAGAGATGAGGAACATCACAGTGAACGGAGGCCATCGTTGCAGCTCCTCTGCCCTCTGCTGAAAGCCCCTTGGCACCCAGGAGAGTTGCCAGGTCCACCTCTCCACCTTCCATTCCTTGGGTGTCCCTAGCAGGTTAGACATTAAAACAGACAGAGCATCTGGGGTAGGGGGGGTTCCTTCGCTGATACAAAAGTGCCACCAATACCACAGTCAGAGGCCCAGGGAAATGACCCCCAAGGATGGGGATGCCTGGGAGGAACCAAGTGGCTAAGGGCAGCATGCGGACGCTCCAGAGGGAACAGTGGACACCAGACAGGTTTGATTGGGGCAGGTGATTCCTCTACCCCTGGGGCAGCCACGCTGTGAAGAGAGGTGAGGCTGTGTCCACACAGAGGTGCAGGCGCTCCTACTCAGAAGAGGAAACACACTTTAGTGTGGGCCGCGGGGAGCTTTGTTCAAAACAGTTCACAGCCATCTACTCAGAGGGGGAAACACACCAGTGTGGGCCACGGGGAGCTTTGTTTCAGTGTGGGCCGCAGGGAGTTTTTTGTTCAAAACAGTTCATAGCCTTCTCGTGTTTTTAATAATCTTCCAAATGTTTTAAGTCCAAGGTCTGGAGCTGCAGACAGTCTGTCAAATGTGCTTTGCACGCCCACCCAGTTGTGGAGAGACCCTCACACCCTCGGCTGAGCCAGGCCAAGGACTTTTGTTCCTTCTGCAGCGGGTTCACCAGGGGCACGGAGGCCTAGGGACCCTCCCCTAGGTCTGCGGTAACTTCCCAGGACCCTGCCCCCAGGGTCTATAGTAACCTCTCAGGATCCTTTTCCAGGGTCTGCCATAACCTCTCGGGCGCCTCCCCCAGCTCTGCAGTGACCTCTCGGTCACCTCTCCCAGGTCTGCGGTGACCTCTCGGGACCCTCCCCCAGGTCTGCGGTGACCTCTCGGGACCCTCCCCTAGGTCTGCGGTGACCTCTCAGGACCCTCCCCTAGGTTTGCGGTGACCTCTCGGGACCCTCCCCCAGGTCTGTATTAACCTCAAGAAAGGCTTTCCTTGTGTGTCTCACCTCTGCTTCCCAGAGCTGCCACAACAAACCACGGTGTGTGCTGAAGCGAAAGCACCCAGGAGAGGCCAGGCTTCAGGTGCCCACAGAAAGCACCCAGGAGAAGCCAGACCTCCGGTGCCCACACAGCGCTGCCGGCTTCACTTTCAGGGCAGCATCCGATAAATCATGAGATCTTCAGCTCTTACTGTACAATCATAGGCTTCGCATTAGATGACCTTGCCCAACCGCAGGCTAACAGGAGCATTCTCAGCATGTTTAA
Organism: Homo sapiens; assembly: GCF_000001405.40. Taxonomy (NCBI): domain Eukaryota; kingdom Metazoa; phylum Chordata; class Mammalia; order Primates; family Hominidae; genus Homo; species Homo sapiens. The sequence goes on from NC_000018.10 coordinate 78,678,295, forward strand.
GGCAGGCTGGGCTGAGCCATGATGCTGGGAATATTCGGTGTATTAAATGCTTTTTCAACTTAATGATTTTTCAACCTACGGTGGGTTCCTCCGAACTTAACCCCATGGTAAGTCAAGGGGACTCTGTACCCAAACTGGGTGGCTTAAAACAACAGAAACGATTTCTCACACGGTTCTGAAACCCACAAGCCCCACATCAAGGTGTCATGGGCCCTGCCCCCTCTGGGGCTCCAGGGGAGAATCCTTCCTGCCTCCTCCATCTTCTGCTGGCCCCAGGTGTTCCTTGACTGTGGCTGCCTCTCCCGCTCCCTGGGTCTCTGTCCTCATCTTCACAGAGCCCTCCCTCTGCCTGCGCCTTCTCCTTTTCTTATGAGAACACTGGTCCTCAGATGCGGGGCCCACCCTAAGTCTAGGATGGTGTTGTCTTGAAATTCTTAACTCATTAAATCTCCCAAAACCTTGTTTTCTAATAAAGTCATATTCTGAAGTTACAGGTGGACCTGAATTTGGAGGGGATACTGTTAAACAGCCACAGGACTTAAGGAAGATTCTGCCCCCCAAGAGAGCTGTGTTCTGAGCTAATTTTCTTTCCCCCCACATCTAACTAGGAAGAGCATCTACCACTTGGCAATTCTCTGCCAGTTTCCAGGAACAGTGCTAAGCCGTTAGGTCTATCATCTCAGTTAATCCTCATGATAACCCCAAAAGGAGTCATCATCGCTCTTCTTTCATAGGGCAGAAAACCGAGGTTTAGAAAAGTTAAGCTACTAGTAAGTGGCAGAACAGGAACTTTAACCAGGCCTTCACCTCTGCAGCGGGCAGCCTCTCTTGGAATAGAAATAAAGGAGACTCCCTGAAGAAGACCTAAGGGCTGAAAAGATGTCACCAGCCGCAAGAGATCCAGCGCCTGCGAGGTCCCTGGGAGGATGTCTGTCCCAGTCTGCAGTGGGCTAGATCCTGGCAATGGCTGAGGAGGGCCGTGGCGCCCCAGCCTGTGAAACTGTACTTCCTGGCCTTGTGTTTGAGATGACGGCTGCCTGATATGGCTAATGAATTTTACAATCGAAAGCTAAAGTGAATTAGCTGTAGCAGATGTTTTTACTCTGGGAACTACCAGACCTTTCTGGCCATTCATTTATCCTTCAAGGGGATAAAACTTTCCCCCTCTATTATGTGTTGTCATTGGAGCATTGCACAACTTTATCAAACTTTTTATTCTGGAAACTGAATTAATTTTCTGCAAGGGGGTTTTTGTGTGGCTCTTTAATCACATTTACTGGGGAACATGTGTACGGAGGGCTGGAGAGCCGATTATGGCTTCCAGAAAGGCCACTTTCAAAAGGAGATTGCCCTCGCTCCCAAGGCCTCCATCTGAAGGTCCCTGGGTTTTGTGAAGAGGAAAAAATTAATTACTATTTTAATAACGAAGCCAGGCCTGCTGAAAATCCTCTTAGAGAGTAGCCGGGTGATGTAATGGCTCGCAGGGGGGATATTGAAAGCGCTGGCCACACAGCCTGCCCTGGCCTCCCTATTCATTCCCTGTAAGATGATACGGGCTGCCGGGTCACACATTAGGGAATTAAAAATATAATAATAACACTTGTTTCTTGGGAAGGGGAAAAGTTGTGATCCTGAGATAACAGGTTGGCAGAAATTCACTCTCAGGCCTCCATCTTTGCCAGACGCTCCAAGCGGCTGGACAGGAAATTGGGGCCCTTCTCCCTCAGCAGGTTGGCTCCACAAAGCCTCCAAATTCTGGCGGCCGCCGACAGATCACCCCCAGGACAGCAATGCATGAGCTCTCAGCAGTGCTGAGACATGGGGGACTCGGGGGTGCAATGGGTGGCTCGTAGGCTCGTGTCTTTCCAGGACCCAGGAGAGGACGGGACTTGCATTCCAATCTTTAATCCTCCACACACATCGTCTTTCTGGCTTCTAAAAGAAAAAATTGAGCTTCAGGTTTTTTCTTTCTTTTCATGTGCTTTTTGTTTTTGTTTTTGTTTTTCGGTTTTTTTGGTTTTTTGTTGTTGGTTTTTTTTTTTTTTTTCTTTGAGATGGAGTCTTGCTCTGTCGCCAGGCTGGAGTGCAGTAGCACAATCTTGGCTCGCTGCAACCTCCACCTCCTAAGTTCAAGCAATTCTCCCACCTCAGCCTCCCAAGTAGCTGGGACTATAGGCACCCGCCACCACACCCAGCTAATTTTTGTATTTTTAGCAGAGACGGGGTTTCACCATGTTGACCAGTATGGTCTCGATCTCTTGACCTTGTGATCCGCCCACCTCGGCCTCCCAAAGTGCTGGGATTACAGGCATGAGTGTTTTGTTTTATTTTTCCTGAAAAGTGAACATTTTGCACCAGAATTCTAACTTGGGGTGTTGTTATTGCTATTGTTAATTCTGCACTGTTTGTCTTCTTCACCAGGCAGTGGCCATGTCAGCAAAGTGAGGGCAGGATCTCAGCCAGCGAGTGCCGTGGAACTCAGATCCATGCGAGCTCCTGCCACACTCTCACCGATACAGATAAAAATGCTAATGCTTGGGAAGCAGGTGCAGAGACAGTAAGGCAGAGTCTGTTCTTCATGCGAGAGAGCCCACCACCAGCCGGCCTCTCTGTCCCATACCCGAGTTCCCCATCTTTTGCCTTTTTTCTCCTTACCACCTTTCCACTCGTCTCTTCTCCCCGCCTTTTCCTCTCCTGCCTCCATATTCAGAAAGCATGCCCCTGGTACCGGGTTCTGTCTGCACTCGGGTTGGAGGCAGTAAGTCCCCCGCCCTGAGAAACACACAGGACCAGGTACAGGACACGCGGAAGGTGGCACCCAGCCAAGGAGGGTTCTAATTTTAGATCCATTCTCCCTAAGGAAGAAAGAAACTGCCAAAGATCACTGCAGTGTGTGTGTGTTGGGGGGGGGGCGGGGTGTAAAACCTGCAAGGAAATGTACATCTGATCAAAGAATCCGGAAAGAATCCCAGGGCTGTAGGAAATGGCATATTGATGACTATCCTGTAAAATCACATGGAAGCAAACTGTATAAATAAATGAGTGAGCACCATCTCAAAATGTTTTTCAGAAAGTCAGAAATGGAGGGTTCACTGCAAAGAGAGACCTACGAATAACAGAGAAGGGCACCTGAAATGGCAACACATGCAGATGCTGATGTCATAAACATGCCGATTACTTTAAAGCAACAACGGATGTGCATGTGAAACATCCATAGCACCCCAGGCGAGGGTGGACGTCAGTCTGCACGGCTGTGGCCTTTGTCTGAGGGCAACTTGCATGGCTTTTCTGCTCTCCATTCCCGTCGGGAGCCCCAACCGGCATCGGGGTGCTCAAGGCTGTGGATGTGGATGAGTTGCACAATGGAACATGAGCACAGCAGCCTCGATTTTGGATGCAGTCACCAGTGGCAAACACAGGAGCAGGGAATGAAATCATTAACTTGTGCAAAGCAAAGGGGACCTGGATGGAGCTGAGACGCCTCCAGTGCCAGCTTGCAATCAGGAGGGGCTTCAGCTCCTTGTTAGGGACAGGACAGGGTGGGCAGTGAACTTACCTGTTAGTGGGAAAGTGTCAAGGGCAAGCCCACAGCTCTGATGATGGCCTCCTTACAAGCAAACAAAACAAACCACCCTCCCAGGCCTCAATCTCCACTCGTAACTTTAGAAGGATCCTGGTCTCCTTCCTGACCTGCATGGGTTAGAGCAGGTGTCCCCAGCACCCGGACCATGGACCAAAGCTGGGCCACACAGCAGGAGGAGAGCCATGGGCAGGCTAGTGAGCAAAGCTTCATCTGTATTTACAGCTGCTCCCCATCCCTCCATCACCCGCCGAGCTCCGTCTCCTGTCAGATCAGGGACAGCCTCGGATTCTAATAGGAGCGCGAGTCCTGCTGTGGCCTGCGCATGCGAGGGGTCCAGGCTGCGTGCTCCTCATGAGAATCTAATGCCTGATGACCTGTTACTGCCTCCCATTACCCCCAGATGGGACCGTCTAGGTGCAGGAAAACAATCTCAGGCCTCCCACTGGTTCTATGTTATGATGAGTTATAGAATTATTTTATTACGTATTAGAGTGTAATAATAGAAAGAGAGTGCACAATAAATGTAATGAGCTCACTTCATCCTCAAACCACCCCCACCCTCATCCATGGAAAAACTGTCTTCCATAAAACCAGTCCCTGGTGCCAAAAAGGTTGGGGGCCGCTGGGTTAGAGGCCACTCTCCCTCTTGGTGAGTGTCAGTGTGCACTTAGTTGTTTGAGAAATTTCTGATGAATCTCTTAACCACCCCATCAGATAATTCAACTAGATTTCACCCTGCAAGATAGGTGTCTAAACACAAATATACACATAGACAAAGCTTAGAAGGAATCCTACCATTCCCTTGTTCTTTATCTGCCATTTTAAAATTACTATTGCTGTGGTTCATGACTTTTTTAATTAAATAAAATTGAAAAGTGATGGCTATGTTTTATATTTACAGGAATAAAATTTGGAGACTGGCCACTGTCATTGTGCAACATCGGGCTCTGGCCCCCAGAGCCCCTTCTCTGTATGAAGTCTTGTGTGCTTTTTAAAGTAGAGGTCAGAACGCGCCCGCCCACTCCCTGGAGGCCTCATGCGGCTATTTCACCTACCCCGAGTGGTCGGCCCATTCCCAGAGAGCAGTTCACACAGGAAGCACCGTCTGCCCTGAGAACACTCACACGTGGGAAGGAAACCCCAAGGACATGGGGCATCTGGCGTCCTCAGTCCCTTCTCTGCTCACGGTCCTGCCTCACTGCTCCTTCTCCCGTCCCTTCCTGACGCCCTACTTCCTGCAAAGTGAAAACTGTCAGAGCCTCATTCGCAAGGCAGCTCGCCTTGCGAAGGCGGGAGTGGGGGTGTTGCGGGGTTGGGAGGGAAGGGGGTGGAAATGGACAAACAGAGAGAGGATTTTTAATGCAGTGGTTTCTACCGTTGGGATGGTAAAGCCATCCAAACAACAAAATACCCCCTAATTCCCACCCATGGAACCAGCACATTGCTCTGTTTCCCATGGCAGTCAATGGGGCGCACCACCCCCCGTCCGGACACACTCCCCTCCTCATGTGCCTACTGCTCCGACCGGGGGTGTGGGCATTGCATCCTCTCCTGAAGATGGGTTTCTGAAGACGGGCGCCAGAGCAGATGACCTGGAGGAAAGGCCAGGCAGCAGCAGGAGTGAGGCCCACGTCACCACAGGGCACTCAGTGGACGCTGGGCCTGGACGCCCAGCCCAGCTAGCCAGGAGCATAGCCCCGAAGAAGAAGAAGGGAGGGCAGCCAGCTTGCCTGTCTGGCAAACTCGGTCGCTGCCCAGTGGCTTGACAAGTCACCACGCTGTTCAGATTTTGGAAGCTCGTTCATCTCTAGGTGAGGAATAGAATACACTCAATCCAGTCTACTGACAGCAAGTGCCCAGGGCACCCCCCTCCAGGGGCCCCGAACCACCACAGCAAGCCTTTGTGGAGATGGCGAGGTGGCCCCCACATCAGACAGATGGGGTCTCAGACTGGGAGGGCGAGGCAGGCACAGTTTCCCCACTGGTGGACGACGCATCCATCACTCCACAGAATCAGAGCCCAAAGCCCGGCTCCGGGGCCTCTGAGCAGGGTTCACCCACCACGGCCACAGCCAAACCCACCTACCACTGACTTTTGTACAAGCCACGAGCGAAGAATGACTTTTACATTTTTAAACACATGGAAATATGAAGGGAAGAAGAATATGTCATGATGTGGAAATCTCACCAGTTCAGAATCCAGCTGCACAGATGACGTCCTGTTGGCTGCATCGCACGTAGCGGCTGTCTCTGCTCTGAGGCAGAGGTGAGTGGCTGTAGCCGAGGCCACAGGTCCGGCCATGGCCACATCCAAGCTCTTCAGCCCTTTACAGAAAGAGGGTGCTGACCCTTTGCAGGCCCACCACACTCTGGGACCTCAAATACACTCAGATTTTGGAATGGACTACCCTGGATGTCTCTCATATCCATAGTTTGAAACCCCCAAAACTGAACTCTAAAGCAAAACCTGCCGCAATTAACCAGGCAGGAAGCTGGGTAGGTAGCTCTTCTGGTTGGACACACAAACTCTTCTCCTCTCCTTCAACTCCTGTTCTTCCTTCAAAGCCAAGAACCACTTGACTCTGGAATGGGAAGAAAACGTATCTGACTAACAAATGGGGAAGTTTTATTAGCTGTTTATGACCTGTATTTTTTTCTGAATTGCTAGAGTTAGCATAAAAGAGACACGTCACAGTGATGAGAGATCCCCCAGTCAGGATTATGAATTCCGTGACAGCACATTTGTCTTGATATCAATATGTTTTTTCATGAATTGCAAAGAAAAGCAGGTGTATAAAAATAAAACTCGCATAAAATATAAATTATCATCGTGCAAGTTAATTCTATACCCTCAGGATACAATAGCTCACGCACTTTATATTTGCAAAAATGTTTGTGAGTTACTTTTTGAGACTTATTTATTTATTTCTATTTATTTAACATTGTTTCCTCACTGAGAGGATTCTGAGATCGACACCTTATTTCCATAACCGTCCCTGGGGGCCAACAGTCTTAAAGGTGTCTGTATTAACCTCGATATCCCAGGTAATATAATACAGAGTGTGACATCCCAAGTGCGCAGACACTGCAGGCAAGCCTTCTCCTTTGAGGGGCTGGTAAAGGAAAAATGGAAGCAAATGCTCTTCCCTATCAGAGCTGGCACCTCCAATTCCGCGCCTCTGCTCGTTACGGTGATCAATGTCTAGGAGGTTTTAGCGCCCACCTGCTATGGGCACTGTTTCTGTTGTTACATCAAAAATGTCCTAATTATTTTAGTGGATCCATTTCTGTGTTGGAGATCATTTTCCATTTTGTCTCTATGGAAAACAGAAGAGTTGGGAAGCCCTTGGTGAACACATTCCTGTCTGTTTTACCCCGCAAAGGATTGAAGACTCTTCAGGAACTCTCCAGGGAATCATCCCCTAATATAGGGTCGCCACCAAACATGGTTCTGGCCAGAGCGTCTCAGCTGCCAGCACTCACCGGAGGGCCCGGTTAACAGGCAGCCTTCAGCTGGGTGGGTCTGGGTGGGCCTGAGCACGTGGGGCAGGTCTCAGGTGATGGTGATGGGGAGGCCGGGGCCCAGGGACCAGCAGGGACCCAGCTGCTGACAGCCATTCAGGCGTGGTCCTGAGATTCAACTCATCCCTCCGCCCCCACCATCCACCCCAGAGGCTCGAGGCTCTGACGCTGCTGCCCCGGGGCCCAGCTCTGCTTCCTCCCCAGTGCCAAGATTCTGCCGAAATGCTGCCTTCTGGACTTCCCCAGCATCCACACCCAGAAGGAAGGGCTTGTTTCTCCCGATCTCAGCCCTGCCACTTCCCACACTGTGAATGTCCCCTGTGTCCACCATCACCTCTCTGCCACCTTGCCCCACTGTCCCACCTAGGAGGGACTGGAGGAAGAAGCCATGACTAGACGTTATATTCTGGTCTGGGGAGCTTCTCAGTGGACGTCCGGCTGAGTGAATGAACATGGCTCCAGAACTGTCGCAGAGGAAGCTGCCTCCACATCCCGCCTCCCGCTTTGCAGCGAATTCTCACAAGTCTTACGTCCCACCTTTTGCAAAATATCCACGCCAAGCCTGGATGATTTTTATAGCTGAGGCCATAGCAAGCACTCAGGATCCTTACCAATCCGTCCTCCTCTCTCTGGACACAGAAAAGCTGTGTTAGACGGGAGCTGCGTGCCCGGTTTCTTGCCCACGGGCGGTGGTGGCAGAGTTCACACCTGTTACACCGGAGCTGACTGTAACTGTGGTGCACGACCTGCAGGCTGTCTTTGCTCATCAGTCCCCTAAGGGGAAGGACCCGGGGCCCAGCGTTAAAGATGGTACCCCACCCCGTGCCCCAGATCAGAGGCGCCAGGATCCTGGAGCCCCTGGGTGTCAGGGAAGACCCGGAACGCCGAATCCTGCTGGGAAGAAAGAAGCTAACCCAGCGAACTGAGTCACTGGGGTGTGGACGACGCCCAGGGCGGCCGCTGGCCTCCTCTACCCCAGCCCCAGCCGAGTGAGACAAATGCTTCACACCACACTCCCTGGACTTAGAAACCACTTCACGCGTTTTCCAAAAACCTGACTTACGTCCTCCCTCTGCTTCTATTTTCGGACGGAGAGACAGTGAAGGTGCACTCTGTCACCTCCTTCTAAGCAAACCCGCCATCCAGTTTATCTATCTTTTTTACCAAAGAGGCACAGTTGCAAGATAATATGACTGATCTTTTCATTAACTGAATTTTCTCTGAATATTATGCCTTGGGTATTTGGCACAGAAATAAGAATACTTGGGAACGCTCGTCTGAATGTCTGGAGCTTAGGTTTTCTGCCCCGTCGGTAGCATCAACCACACCCTCCCTGTGCTGTGTGGAATTATTGTACTGGAATAGATTCCTTAGCAACAAAATATATTTTGTGGATCCTGTAACATCTCGCTGTGCTTTGATGCTTGATAAATATTTAATTGCCCATACAATATCAGTTCTGCTAGGATATACTGTTCATTAGTCTTTTTATTGAGAGTGCATTTCTTAATTATATTGATCACTCATATCATGTGAACGATAATTGGTTCTTTCTTCTGACCATATATTTTTAATGAAGTGCTTTTGACCTCTTTGTAATGGCAAAGTATGTCTTCCAGATAAAGTATATCACTTACAGTGCAATGCCTGCTCCCCTCCTTTGAATATTGTAGATCCAGACTTGAGTTTGAGGGATTATTCGTTTATGTATCTATCAGGAAACCTGTCTTGGCAATCGGGGGCCATGCTGTTCGTGACAACAGAATGAAGTAGTAACAGCTATCGTGATTTTCAGATAAGCTCTGAGCGCACACCCACACAGCTCTCAAACCCTCACCATTGGGCCCTACGGCTTTGCTCTTCATGGCTACATGGCGGCTTCTCCAGTCCAAGGTCAGATGAAAAGGCACAAGCTGCAGGCTCAAGTGTTGTGGGGCAGTTTCAGAGTCTGCTCCCGAAGACAGGACTTCACCTGTCACAGTTTCCTGTAACCGGCATCACGAGGGGGACCGGGGTCAGACCACCTCCTCCAGAGCCCTCCCCTCGGGCTCCCCATTCAGGCTCCTCCCTCCGGAACCCCCTCTGCTCCCCCACTCAGGCTCCCCACCTTGCCTTGGGGCCCTGCCGCCAGCCCCTGCCTGAGGTTGTGCTGTCCACCTAGGTCTAGATCAGCTGAACTGAATGGCAAGGACACCTGTCCCCCCGCCACCTGTCCCTCCCCACCACACACAGGTGCACCCGGGCTCTGACTGCCCAGCCATGGAGGCCTCACCAGCCCCCAAAGTCCTGAGAGAGCCAACATTGCTTTCACAGGGCCCCAGGCCCTGGGAGCTGTCACCACCTCGCCCCAGAGCCATGTTGCTGGCCAACCACTCGGAAACATGCCTGGCTCAGACCAGAACCCCCAGAGGGCTGCGCCTCTCTCTGTCACTGCAGCCAATGCCAGCCTACCAGTCGCCAAATGTGTCCCCCCAAAATTCGTGTTGAAGTCCTAACCTCCAAGGTGACAGTGTCAGGAGGCAGGGCTTTGGGAGGTGATAAGGTTGTGAGGGTGGCACCCTCAAGGAAGGGATGCGTCCCCCTGGAAGGAGGGCCTGTCATTCACCACCACACAGGGCACAGCAAGAAGGAGCTTCCAAGAGCCAGAAATCGGGCCCTCACCTGACACCTGACCTGCCAGGGCCCTGACCTGGATGCTCAGCCTCCAGAACAGTGAGAACTAAATGTCTCTGTCCCTCAGCCACCCAGCATGTGGCATTCTCTGTCCCTCAGCCACCCAGCATGTGGCATTCTCTGTGGCATTCTCTGTCCCTCAGCCACCCAGCATGTGGTATTCTCTGTCCCTCAGCCACCCAGCATGTGGCATTCTCTGTCCCTCAGCCACCCAGCATGTGGCATTCTCTGTCCCTCAGCCACCCAGCATGTGGCATTTTGTCATAGCAGCAGGCGTCGACTGGGACACAGGGCCCCTCAGGACCGCCGCTGCCTGTGGGCTGGCACCACGGACTCTCCGTGCCCAGGGCAGACTCGGCCTGGCCGGGTGGGGCCCGACCTTCCTCCTTTCCTGCCCTCTTTGCTTCCCTTTCCATCCCTGGCCTGAGGACACGCCCTCAGAACATCCTGAAAGCAGGTTCTCTGCTTCCACAAATGCAACCTAAGAGTCAGGGACCCATGAGTCCTGGGAACAGATGCCAGGATCGGCCCGGGCTGGGTAGAATAGCTACAGGCCCTGGCACCTCTGGGGCAGGAAGGCTACTCAGGCCTCCTGCTGGGTTTGACTGATTTGGGGTGAACGGGTGCAGGATTTCCAGAATTTCAGAAGTATTGAGGGGGGTAAATAGTAAACATGGAGGCTGCAGAGTTGGGGGCTGTGACCAGAAGCCACCCGTCCACTGAGGACACAAGGAGACAGATCCTCTGGTCAGAGACCCCAGCCCCCAGCTGCAGGAAAAGAATGCCTCCCCAGGCAGGTGCAGGTCAGACAGGAGGGGGTAAACAGGGGGAGGCCGGCGATAGGCATGAGCCAATCTGGCAAAGTGCTTATGAGAGACGCCTTGTGACACCGACAGGGCCAGTCACAGGCCCAGCCCAGGCCTCACCTGCCAAGGCTGAGCAGCCACCACCACGACAGGAGGCCCGACCCACCAGCAACAGAGACCTGCTCCAAGAGACCCCAGCTCCAAGCCCCCAGCTCCGAGCCGCTGGCACAGAGCCATCTTGGGAGGCGTCCGACCAGCCACTTCTTAGCAAGTCTCTTCTAGGGGACCCGTCCCACCCCAGAAGGGCACCATTCTGTCCCAGCCAGCACTGATGTGGACTCTGGGTACAGTTTCAGCCATCGCCACTGCCTGAGTGGCTGATCATCGCCCCAATGTCCACAAAGGAGCTGCCAGGGTGGGCTCCTGGCCTGGGACACCCTGTCCCACCACTGGCCCCTCCAGGGTGCCGAGCTGACAGGCATGGAGTGGGCTCTGGAAGATGTAGTGTGGGCCGTGGGAGGTGACACAGAGACGGGCACTTTCTGGAAAGGCAGAGAGAGACCTGGCTGGAAGGATTCATACAGATGGCTTGATTCTGTTGGATGCTAATTTCTTAACAGAAAACTTCCCACCTCTGCAGAGCACTCTTAGAACAGAAGCTTACATAGCAGGGACCTCGTTTCCTCGGCTGATTATCCTCAGGTTTACAGACAGCAGTGGAAGCGAGAGGTCAGGAAACACCGAAGCAGATGCCGTCCTGACCACAAGCTTTCCAAGAGAGTAGACGGGAGCTGGGGCATCCGGGCCTCACTCCTGGGGCACCCAGTTTACATTTTGAGTATGTCCCTTTCTGACAGCCGCCTGCCTTCAAACCACTTCCGATGGCTGTTGGGTGGACACCTGCGCAAACCACACCAAACTGGTCCATCATGGAAAGGCTGATGTGGAAAGGGGAAACTGCTTTTTCTCTTTTCCAGATGTCTAAATGAGACTGATATTCCCTCTGAATACACGGCCTGTTCCCAGATGACAGGCCCTGGGAACGCCAGAAACAATGCGGAGGAGACAGTGACACGTCCCGTCTCCAGCGGAACACACCGAAGGCACTGGCCTTACCGCATCACCCCAGAGTTACCAGGATGAGGATGCTGCAGACTCCACACAGAGCCAGCACAGTGGGCCATGTCAGCGCCATGGCAGGGTTTTGGGAATTGCAGGCCAAGTTGGAGAATGGTTCTTTTCAAGACAACAGCAACAGTAAGAGAAATGGAAAGTTACCACTTGACTGCCACTGTGCGGAATGCTTTGTGCAAAGCATCCTACTTAATCTGCACCATGATATAAGCCAGAAATTTGAATAAAGAGAATAATTGTTGTCAGCGCCAGAGTCCAGGTAGAGCCTGGGAGCCCCTCAGGCAGGGAAGGCTCCATCTTCTTAGGAAAACAGACCAGGAACAAAACAGCAGGTTTGAGACTCTGCACCTGCTACAAAGGCGGCTGGTGGCGTTCAGGTGGCAAACCAAACACTCACTCACTCAGGTGGGCCTGAGAAGGAAGACCACCAACACCATAACTCCTGTGGCAACGCAGCCACACAACAGCGATTTAATTTGCTCTTCAGAAGGATTGTATGAACAGTGATTTTGTCTGCGCAGCTCGCTTACAAAACAAAACTTAGATAGCAGGGAAGCATGTGCATGTGAAAGATGCCCTCTGAGACCCTGATCATCACCACCTAGTACATCTTATGTGACTGCAGAACACAGTCTTAGAAGCAGGGGGATGAGGCAGGGCTGTCAGCGAGCAGTTATGACTTGTGGAGAGAAACTGCTTCTTAAGCACTGTGCGGGCTAGGGCAGCATTTGCTCAGAGCTCACTCCCCTAGGCTGGCACAGAGTAGGAGCCTCCTACCAGAGTGTGAAAGCAAAACAAATCCAAACGTCGATGAAGGCAGACAGGGATGAGGCAGCCATCTTTGTTTAAAACAGAGCTATCCAGATGCCACTTTAGACTTTTTTATCTGAGGCACATCAAAGCAAGGAGCTCATTTCTTTCTCCAGTAAGCATTATCTGTTGTTTACTAACTGCAAGGCCCAGAGCTCCGCCTTAGAGATGGAGTGGAGAGAAAATTCAGACCCAGCTCCTCTCCTCTCTGCTCATGATCCTGTGTTTGGCTACCTTAGTATTCTGCTTTTTTTTCACCTAGGTAAACATGGAGAAAGTTTTTAAATGCCAGAGAGAACTGAAAGAAGGACCTCAAAAATACGAGTGCAAATGTTCCCTGAAAATGTATGGATACTCAAACAGATGCAATTTTAAGTATCTGGATTCTCTACTAGCTATGTTACATACTATTCATGGGAAAATAAAACAAAAAATACCTAGGAGTGGAAATATGGTCTAACCTCTCCATCATGATTGATTAAACATTAGAGAGAAGAAAGCGTAACTTTACCGGTATACAGATTGCGCCACTAAGACTATAACGCCTGACTGAGAAAGAGAGGAATTAGATCAATCACTTAGACTATTTTTAAGAAAATGAGAATTGACTATATGATTTTTAAACAGTATTTGTCTGAACAACCCAAATCAACAAAGTAAGTGTTTCCCCTCATCCCCTGCTCCGTCTGTTGGCTCCAGTTCTAAACACCCTCACACACAAGGGACATCACGAGGCTTCCTTATTTGGAATAAGTTGTCCTGAACTTATCACTTTATTATCCCTTTTAATTGTTTATTTAGCTTTAAAATAATAACTCACATATTTCAAAGTTCAAAAGGCAGGAAAAGGCACCCAGTGAAGTTTCCCTCACACCTGCCCACTGGCCTCCCCTGCTTCCCCTCCCAGAGGCACACAGTGGTAAGAGCGTCTTGTGCACGTCTAGAAACATTCTAGGAATATACCTACAAATGTGCACTGGGTCCTCTTTTCATTTTCGGTAGGTTTTAGGTCATGGTAGCTGCATTGTTCTGAACCTTGCTTTCCGCTTTTGTTGTTTGTTCGTTTTGCTAGGGAGCATTTAAGGTATCATCACATGGCAATTATAAAGACCCTTCTCATTGTGGTAAAGATGTGCATTGTTCCTCGTATAGATCCCTAAATAACTAAATAAGAATGAGAGACCGCTGTGTGGTACCAAAGAGTATTTATGGGGTCTCCTATGGAGAGGCATTAACTTCTTTCCTACCTGTTGCTTTTACAAAAAAAAAAAAGTGTCACTTCACTTACAAGTAAGTATGCCTACAGGATAAATTTCTTAAGGCAAGATTACTGTGCCAAAGAGTACATGTGTAATTTTTATACTTCTTGCCAAGAGACCTCCTTAGAGGTTTTACCAAGTGACACTCCCATCACTGTTTCAAAGACCTGTTATCTCTTCAGCAGTGTGTTACCAAGCTTTTAGACCTTTGCCCATCCCGTGAGTACAAAGTGACAGCTCAGTGTTCCTTTCATGTGACTTTCTCTTACTCAGAATGAAACTGAGTATCTTTTCATGTGTCTGAGAGCCATTTGTATTTTTTCAGGCAGTTTATGTCTTATGCCCTTCATTCCATTACATTGTAGATCTTTTCTTCTTGATTTGTAAGGGCTCTTTATATATAAGGGAATTAGCTGTTTTCCTGTTATGTGAATTATAAATATTTTTGCCAGTTTGTTATTTGTCTTTTGGCTAAGAAATGAAGAAAAGTTATATAGCTGAATTTACCAACTAGTTTCTAAATGTTTATGTCATAATTTAAGATCTTTCTATATCTAAGAATATTTTTTAATACCCCCGATAGTTTCTTCTAGTACTTTCATGGTCCATTTTTTACACTTAATTTTTTTGTCCATCTGGAATTTATTTTGGTATAAAGTATGAATTATGGATCAATATTGTTTTCTAGTTCCATACTTAACTGGCTCCAAAATTGGCCCAATCAATCTCAGTGTTATATGTATTATATTTAACCTTATGAGAAGCAGATATCATCACTCCCCTTGCACATGAAGAACTGTGGCTGAGAGGAACTAAGACTCATTCCAGGCCAGGTATCGTGGCTCACGCCTATAATCCCAACACTTTGGGAGACCAAGGTAGGAGAATCGCTTGAGCCCAGGAGCCTGGCAACATAGCGAGACCCTATATCTACAAAAAAATTAAAAATTAGTGGCGTATGCCTGTGGTCCCATCTACTCAGGAGGCTGAGGATGGCTTAATCCCGGGAAGTTGAGGCTGCGGTGAGCCAAGGTTGCACCAATGCACTCCAGAACAAAAGAATCATTCCAAAGCCAGAGAGCCAGGACTTGATTCATTGAATCTGAGCCATGCTTTCTGCTTCACTGGTCACCCTCATCCTGTGCAGGTTTAACTTCCTCACCACAAGCTTTAAGCATATGCATGCAGCATTTAATGCATATCCAAAAGGACAGATCAAGAAATCAGTGGTAGACAGATAGATGATAGATAGATAGATAGATAGATAGATGATAGATAGATAGATAGATAGATAGATAGATAGATAGATAGATAGAGATAGGCAGACAGACAAGGGTGATGGATCAGTTGATCAGTAGACAGAGGAAAGAGGTCTTGAAAGACACATGGAGCAAACAGCTTCAAGGAAGACAGGTCCGTTTGAACCAGGAGTGGGAAATAGGCACACTCCGGAGCCAGGCACCAACCACTGAACTTCCTCGGGACCCATATGGGGCATGTCAACACCCCAGCATGTCCCAGCATGGAGCCCACAGGGAGAACTCCCATACAGAGCCCCCAAGGAGCCTTCACTGACACTGGGCGACCGGACCAGCAAGCACTGTCCGCACAACCAAACTGCCCGCAACAGTCACTGTGGATACTTAAGAACAAGGCTGCTGGTCCCTGCCCTGGGTCTCCTGAATTGACACCAGGATGGGGCTGGGAACACACATTCTTAACTTGTTTCTCATATATCCCTATGATCCTAACAACAGAGAACCTCTGAGCTAGGAGCTACAAAATAAACCTGGAATATTTCCTTTCCGCAAGAACCTTTAAGGAGAATGTGAGGCTTCGTTTTTCTTTCAGGGATATCTCATACTTCCCTGGATCAGAATTTTCAAGCTAATTTCCTTCTTTATAAAAATAAATGACTTGGAGCTAACTTCTTTCTAAAGTCCCTCCTGTACCTCACCTTATAGATAACCACCACCATTAAAGTATTGTGATCATATGATGTAGCCATTCCTGTTTAAAGAAGTTGGCTAAGGTATCCCAAAAGTTGACCAACACTTTGTACCATCCGTCCAGTGCCCATTTTGGAATTTTTGAAATTGGTAAGTTACTTTAAATCAGAATCTTAAATGAAGATAATTACTAAGTATCCTGGCTGTTGGATGAACATTGGTACAAATTATCTAAAGATTATAATAAGCATCTTTCTCATTAGAGCTTTTTTTTTTCTCAAAATTATAGCTCCATGAAAAGTCCAGTCAGAGTACTCTTTGAAATTTCTCAAGTTCTTACTAAAAAATTCTACAGGTCCTCAGCCGTGGTGGAAGCGGAGCAGCACATTAGTGTAACATCGTAAGGAAGATGGCTGCGGCCCACTAACCATAAGCACCTGCACCCTGCAGGGCCACCTGCTCTGGGCGTCATGCTCCATGAGACACCATGGGGTAAGTTTGGAGTCCTGACCATCACTCCAGACACATCCTGCTTAAATCACAAGCAGCACGGACTCCCCTGAGTGGCTGCCACTGGTACCCTGCAGAGGGCACGACGCGGGCCTCACACCCGGGGGCATCGGTGCCTGTTTCTTGAGTTTAAATAGCCAGGATTCTGAAGTCATTCCATAGTTATTTACTGAGGACCTACTATGCAGCAGTCATTTTTTGCTGAAATCTGGGGACACAATAATTGTCAAGAAATAGCCCTTTCCGGCTGGGCATGTTGACTCACGCCTGTAATCCCAGCACTTTGGGAGGCCGAGGAGGGCGGATCACCTGAGGTTGGGAGTTCAAGACCAGCCTGATCAACGTGGAGAAACCCCGTCTCTACTAAAAATAAAAAATTAACTCGGCATGGTGGCGCATGTCTGTAATCCCAGCTACTCAGGAGGCTGAGGCAGGAGAATTGCTTGAACCCAGGAGGTGGAGGTTGCCATGAGCCAAGATCACACCATTGCACTCCAGCTTGGGCAACAAGAGCAGAGCTCCATCTCAAAAAAAAAAAAAAAAGAAAAAAGAAAGAAGGAAACATCCCTTTCCCTGAAAGAAAATGCAGTCTCGTGGGTGAGATCAGCACAAACTTAATCAGGGCAGTTATGGAAGCATTGCAAGGAGAGGTGCCAGCCCCCCCACCCCCCAATAGTATGAGAACCATCATTGCCAAAGGAAAAGCTTCATAAAAATCATAACCTGTTTTTAACTATGTGAATGCTGATAGTGAAAAACTGGCATAGAATAGTAAATATATATATATATATGTGTATAATAGATATACGATTTTTCTTATCCCTAAGCTCACTGAAATCTGCATCGTCTCAATGCCCTGCCACGGCTTACACACATTGAGCTATTAACAGATTATAGGAAACAGCTGAAAAACTGGCCCTGAACTTACGACAGCCCACACAGCAATGAAACAGCACTGGCAAAATCAAAACATGGCTAATGGGCTAAGTTTTATTTGTTTCACTGGGTTTTTGATATTTCATTGTGTTTCGACATTCCAGATACCCTAAATCATCTCCCTCAAGTTCAAAGTCTCACAAATCTCTAGGGGAGGGGCAAAATGCCGCCAGTCTCTTTGCTAAAACATTGCAAGAGTCACCTTCACTCCAGTTCCCAACATGTTGCTCATCTCCGTCTGAGACCAGCTCAGCCTGGACTTCATTGTCCATACCACGATCAGCATTTGGTCAAAGCCATCCAATAAGTCTCTAGGAAGTTCCAAACTTTCCCACATCTTCCTGTCTTCTTCTGAGCCCTCCAAACTGTTCCAACCGCTGCCTGTTACCCAGTTCCAAAGTCACTTCCACATTTTTGGGTATCTGTGCAGCAGCACCCCACACTACTGGTACGGATTTATTGTATTAGTCTGTTCTCATGCTGCTAATAAAGACATACCCATGACTGGGTAATTTATAAAGGAAAGAGGTTTAATGAACTCGCAGTTCCATATGGCTGTGGAGGCCTCACGGTCATGGTGGAAGGTGAAAGCCAGGTCTTACATGGCAGCAGACAAGACAGAAAATGAGAACCAAGCAAAAGGGGCTGCCCTTATAAAACCATCAGATCTCATGAGACTTATTCACTATCATGAGAATAGTGTGGAGAAAACCGCCCCTGTGATTCAATTACCTCCCACCAGTTCCCTTCCACGGGAAGGGAATTATGGGAGCTACAATTCAAGATGAGATATGGGTGGGGACACAACCAAACCATATGTTGTTTGCTGAAGAAAACCAAAGTTAAGTATGGCACAAAGCTCTGAGTTAATCATTTGGGATTGTACTCAAGAGGAAAGCCATCTTACAGACAATGCTGACGAGCACTGACAAAGCGTCCAACATGAGGTGACTCCAGACTCGAGCCTTTAGCACTGCTGGGCTAAACCCGACATTGTCTTCCACTTTGGATTGTCAAGAGAGGATACGAGAATGGGTCATTATTTGTTGAAACAGAAGAAAAAAATCTTTACAAGTTACTTTTCTTAAATTATTCTGTCTCTGAAGAAAGTCAGATACCAAAGATAAATTGTATCTGATCCCAAAGTGCCTGATCTAACAGCAAATGTGAGTGACCATCATCAGTGAGCAGCTTGCTCTAGTCACAGATGGGTTTTAATTTCAAATGCCAGAATTTTGGTTGGTGCAATGCTACTTTTTCTTGCTGGAAGATTGGAACCAAATTCCTTCCAGCTTCCGGGAAGGTGGTGAGATTTAAAGCACTCTTCCTGGAGCTCTGCCACGGACAGGGCAGCTGCCAGTGGGGAGCATGCCCTGCCACCCAGCGCGCACCGCAGGCATCTCAGGAGCCCAGCCCCTCTCTGACCTCATCCTGCCGCCATCTCCACAAAACTCAGCCTCACAATCGCCCCCCGGCGCCCCAAAGCCTGCCTTCTGCAGGTTGTGTTTATGCCCCATTCAGAGCACGCACTTTCAGATCAGGCAGGTTTGGGTGAAAAACCCTGAGTTACGTGAATTTGGGCAAAGTATTTAACTTCAAGTTTCCGTTTTCTCATGTGGAAGATTAAGATACTATGGTCTGTCTTAATTTTGTCACAAAGATGAAATGATCTGTGAACATTTCTGTCATTCTCCCACACAAAACCCTCAGCAATGGTGTCGGTGGTGGTGGTGGTGAGCGCGGCGCTCCCCATGCCCACCCCAACCTTGGCCGTCTGATGTCCAGGTCCTCTTTCCTCTCTCCTGTCTGGTGAGCCACTGAGCCCTGTCAACTCCACCTGGGTCTGCGTCTGTGCCTTCACCCCTCAACTCTGAGTCTAATGGTGGCAACAGCCTCTAGCCTGAGCCCACTCCTGTCCACCGGACATGTCGGCATCCATGTCCTCGATAGACCAGGTTGGTTTCTTCCCATTTTAAAACTTTTTAACATCCCATCCCAGCCTACCTGACCAGCCTGAAATATCAGCTCCTTCAAAGCCCCCACCCCTCCAGGCACTGGAGATTCCCTTCTGCCCCCAACACGACTTTGACCATGAAGCCAGTGCTGTGATTCTCTTGTTCTTCCGGTTCCATTTGTTCCAGCCTGTCCTCGCCCATCAGACCCTGAGCTCTGAGGACAGGGGTCCTTCTGACCCTCACACATCGCGGGCTCCTCTGCGGTCAAGTTGCTGACCTCAAGTATCTGCAGACACCGTGGTAATCACGCTTAAGCTAGTAAACTGCACTACCGGGAAAGTCTTCAACGTAGCTTTTCTTGCTAAAATTTAAGTAACATTTTTCCTGTTCTATTGTAGAGAGGTATCTACAAAACTGTTCACAATTGATGAGAGACTACCATTAAATCATGACTTAGCTTATTTAGCTTTCTCTTCTCTGGGGTGGATAATCCCGATTATTTTATTTCCATGGATCAGCCCACCCATGGGTCGTGCCTTTGTCTTGCAGGTGTTGTCCTTATCCCAGCTATCTGGCCGGCCACAAGCAGGGTCAAAAGCGTCACAATTCTGACAACTGCTAAACAGATGACAATGACTTTGCCATGCAGATGCCAGCTAATTTAATCTGAGCTGCACTGCCCTTCTTGGAGGGGTTTGGGGGTGATACTTGCCTCATACTGAATTTCTTTGAAAACTTTATTACATCCACTCCGGCCATTTGGGTCTCCCTGTCTGTTCTGACGACCCGGCACACAGCCACTGCCTAAGGAGTGAACATTTATTAGGCGAATGGTGATGCTACAGTCAGCGCCCCAGAAGCCCCACCACAGGGTCCTGACTGGCACTGGCATGAACAGGTTTTCATTCTCTTCAGGAATGAGCGCAGGTGGCCCCATGCTCCCCCACCGCCTCCCTCCCCTCCCCAGCGAGGGCCAATGACCATCCAGAAAATATCGTTTCTCAAACCCAAGCTCTTTCACCCTCACCTCTGAACTTCTAGCTTGTGAGACTAAAACACAAAACAAAACAGCACCAACTCATCTCTGTAGAAAGTCCAGGCAGGCCGCGGTGGCTCACACCTGTAATCCCAATACTTTGGGAAGCCAAGGCGGGTGGATCACCTGAGGTCAAGAGTTCAAGACCAGCCTGGCAACATGGCAAAACCCCGTCTTTACTAAAAATACAAAAACTAGCCGGGCATGGTGGTGCATGCCTGTAATCCCAGCTACTCGGGAGGCTGAGGCAGGAGAATCGCTTGAAACCGAAAGGCAGAGGTTGCAGTGAGCCGAGATCAAGCCATTGCACTCCAGCGTGGGCGAAAGAGCGAAACTCTGTCTCAAAAAAAAGAAAAAAAAGAAAGTCCAGTGATTTTGATCACGCACTTTAAAAAGATTGCAAAGGGAACACAGGTAAACATCTTCAACCTAATTCAGTCTGAAGAAAATGATGGCCTTTGTTTTGGTTTCAAATTCATTCCATCCTCCCCAGAACACTTTTCTGGATGGGGCTGTGTTCACCCCTGTGTTTCTGTCTCAACTGTGTCTCCTATCAACAGTGAGCTTTCCTGTCCTTGGCCTTCTCTCCTGGAATTTGTATAAATGTCTCCTTGGTTTACGAGGCCCTCTCAATGTGGCACCATCATCCGTGGGAACCTCTCAACGTGGCACCGTCATTCATGGGGTCCAAGTGTGGCACGAGGTTGGCAATGCCCCATGAGATTTTTGTTTTGGGTGAAAATTAGAGTTTTATGTTGTGGCTCCTTTTAATTCAGTCAACAGGGTGCTGTTTTTCATTAATGAACTTTCACTTTGGGAAAACAAGAAGCCTTCCAAACTTTAAGGAGACTGGACATGGATGAAATGAAGAAGCAGAGGCAGGAGAACTTAAGAATGCTCAATGGAAAACCACGAGTACAAAGAAAAAGGAAAAAAACAAAAACAAAAAAAGAAAAAAGCCAGAATTCTTGTGATGTGTGCAGACGTGCCGAAGGAGAAATTTGAGCATTACATCCAAGGACAATGCCTCTCTAATCATGACCCTGAAATGGGAATCCATGCAGCCACCGTGTCCCACTGTGTCCCACTGCCCAGCTCTGTTCTTCCTGAGGGACACTCTGCAGGAAAACACAGTCCATGTCCAGGTGCCAGCTCACTCCCCGTTCCCACTCATCCCAGGTGCTCGTGCCATCGTGGGCATTGGCCTCTGCTGTAGATCTCGTCCAGGCCCCTGAAGGTGCCGCTGTCTGAAGCCATGTTCCTCTGCTGGCACCGGTGCCCACGGATTGACCAAGGCGCTCCAATAAATGTCAGCTCCGGCATGAACATTTTGATTAATGACACAAAAGCAAAGAGAGTGTGTCTGACTCCCAGCTCTGTAGAAAATTAACGTTGAAGCAGTAATTTACTCTTGCAGTCGGCAAGACATTCGAAGAGACTCAGATACCTACCAAGAGTGAATAATCCACACATGTGAACATGTATGTGAGCTGCCCGGGGAGCAGATAATCCTCATGTGTGAACATGTATGTGAGCAGCCTGGGGAGCAGATAATCCTCACGTGTTAACATGTATGTGAGCCTCCCAGAGAGCAGATAATCCTTATGTGTTAACATGTATGTGAGCCTCCCAGAGAGTGAATAATCTGCACATGTTACCATGTATGTGAGCTGCCCGGGGAGCAGATAATCCATATGTGTTAACATGTATGCCAGCCCCCCAGAGAGTGAATAATCTGCACGTTAACATGTATGTAAGCCACCTGGGGAGCAGATAATCCTCACGTGTTAACATGTATGCCAGCCACCCAGAGAGTGAATAATCCACCTGTGTTAACATGCATGGGAGCCACCTGGAGAGCAGATAATCTGCACATGTTAACATGCATGGGAGCCACCTGGAGAGCAGATAATCTGCACATGTTAACGTGCATGGGAGCCACCTGGAGAGCAGATAATCTGCACATGTTAACATATATGGGAGCCACCTGGACAGTAATGGAATTCAGACTTCTGTGCTCTGCCCTAAATACTCTGATTCTGTAGACATGGTGAGGGATCCAAGAAATTGTGCTTATTTACACTTATTTATTTATTTAGAGACAGAGTCTTGCTCTGTTGCCCAGGCTGGAGTGCAGTGGCATGAACACAGCTCACTGCAGCCTCCAACTCCTGGCCTCAGGTGATCCTCCTGCCTCAGCCTCCCAAAGCACTGGAATTACGAGAGTGAGCCACCACACCCGGCCAGAGAAACTGCATTTAAACAAATTTTGTTGGTGATCTGGATGCAGCTGGTGCTCAAAGCCCACTCTGAGAAGGCTGCAGCAGACCCCGAGCCCTGCCAGGACCACCTTTGCTTTCCTCATGACTCCAACCCCAGGATCAACCATGGCACCTTTGGTCTTAGATAATATGCACACTTTAAAAGAATGAGTGGGTGGGAGCAATGGATGAAGGAATGAATGAAAGTTTAAGAAAGGCAATGATACGCATAAGGACAGGTGCAGGGATCTAACTTTTAAGACACATCTACGATTCCTACTACCAGGCATTATGCTAAATCCTTCCTCACAGCAGCAGTGAGGGGTAGCAATTCCAATTGTCTCTTTAGAGATGACAGAAAGGCTCAAGGAAGTGAAAACCTCGCCCACCATTCACAGAAGTAGCTAGAGTCCGAGGAATGAAGTCGGGACTGGGTTTCTGTTACACCAACACCAAGGCAGGCTCTTTCTGCAGAAGAAAAGACCCCAAGAGTTAATGAGCTGCAACCTAAATGGGCCATTATCTTGAAGTCTAATGTAGAAAATATTCTCAATCAAGTTTGCCAATCAGCCTGGATAAATAATATATGCAGACCATATTTGGGGGGTTTTGTCTAAGGTTTTCTTAGAGTCTTCTCCTACAAATACTCTAGGTCCACAGCATTTGATTCAGATGGAAGGAAAAAATGATAATCTGTAAATAATGCTTTTGGTGTTGTGAAGACAGAACAGAGTGGTGAATGAAAATGAGATTAAGAAAGAGAAGAGTAGCATTCTGCAACAGCATCTAGTGCCATTTTGGCATTGCATACTTGAATTTCCAGCATTAAATTGCATCCTCTTAGAAGAATAGTTCAAGCCGCAGTAAAGGCACCTGATTAATGGAGCTTGAACAACTTCAAAAACCACTGAACAAGTTCTGACTATTTCTTATAAAGTTTCTTCTCTGCAGGCTGGGTAAACAGCACACTGTCTCTTTAACTGATTTATTTTATTTCTTTTCTTTTCTTTTTTTTTTTTAGTTTAAAGATTACATTTAATATCTATTTCCCAGCAGTGTACAAACTGACATCATCTACTCATAAAAGCGGAATGCTTTGCTTTTTTAAGCTTCAAGCTGAATAACAAATTGCCACAGATGACAGCATAAAAGAATAACAGAATGGAATCAAAAGAAAATTCATTGTCAACAGAAACCCCCTGCTGAGGAATTTCAATTTCATATATCTAATTATCCCTGTCAGTTGGAAGAACTGACAAAAAGCATTCTTTGTTCTCTCCTTCTGCCTCCCGCATCTCACTCTCAATTAATTCCGGCATACAAATATGACTAATTGTCTTTGCAGTGCTCAAGAGCGCTGTATATAAATGTTCACGAACTGAAAATGATTTGGAGGGTATTCATGCACCGATTTATGATATTTGAACACAATAGACATGCATAATTCAGGTGACCACGTTAGCACCCTCCCAAGCCCGCATTACAGAGATTAGGCAAGATTCCCTTTCACGTCCTTTTTTCATATCTGCTTTGTGACAATAACTCACTTTGCACCTATTAAAAGAGGGAGCATTATATGTCTGCGGCGGCTCATCGAAATTACCATGAACAAGATCATCAGCATTTAAATAACATGTGGGCAGTGAAGAGAAGGGGTTGGGGAGGGCGCATAAAAATATCGGGGACTTTTTAAAAGCACAGCAAGATCTCTCAGAAGGTTAAAGTTTGAGCTTTGATTTCAGGTTGTTGGTGTTTGGGAGATTTGCTTTGTTTTGTTTGTTTATTCTGGGTTTTTTCTCTTTCTTTTTTTCTTTTTCTTTTTCTTTTTTTTTTTTTTTTTTTGGCCCCTCAAGCTTGATCAATGTTGACAAAATGCATTTCAATTAATATAACTAATGATCTCCTTGTCTTCTTGTCATCAAAATAAGTAAAGATTTGTCTCAATTTAACTTCAGCAACTTGTCTTTACACTATTTGTAGCGGCATCTAAACAAAATGTAAATGGGATTCAACATACAATGAAGACGAAATAACATTTAAAAGGACAAAGGCTTTGCCACTAGAAAATAAACATTTTCTCTATATTTTAACAAAATGATTTTTATAGTTATAAAGTTCACTCTATAATTATAAAACTCTATTTTTATCATTATAAAGTATAATCTGGAAAACGAAAGTGAGAGGTCTGTCCGAATTATGGCATCCAAATGGTTTGTTAAAATAAATTTATGTCACTATGACATTTATTTAACTGTCACCAGATAAGCTGAATTGAATGCTTGACCTAAACATATATTTTACTATCATCTGTGCTTTTCGGTTGCGAAAAACTAAAAAATGAAGCTTGCGTTGGTCACGGCGGAGCAGCCTCTTTAAAGTTTAGAGAATGGAAGCTATTCACTAACAAGTAGACATTTTTTGGAGTCTAATCATATTGTCAAGGTTACTAATAAAAGGCCAATATGACATTCTAAAGGGCTTAGTATAAATTACCAAAAAAAAGTGCTTTTGAGCAGTGAAAGAGATTTTTTTGTAAATTGTGTCTCCTGAATATTTTTAGTGTGGGAACTTGAAGAAGCTCGCTTCCGGGGTTATTTTCTCAGAGAAAGCACAACTCAGGGTGCCTGATCTCTGCCGAGACGCACGCCAGCGGCTGCTCACCTGCCGGAGACAGCTCAGTGACCGCCCAGGGAACCGCTCTTCCGACACACGGGACCCGCCAGGCCACAGGGCGCTCCCCGGCCCTCACCCCTCCCCAGGCCCTGCTGAAGGCCCACGTTGGCCCCAAGGCTCTGGCCTGTCGTCTTCTCTTTGTGTCCTTTGCGCATTCACAGGAGCACTCAGGCAGCCTTCAACATCCAGGGAAAGGGGACACAATTAATTCGTTAAAAAGCACGTGGTGGCCGTGAAACGTGGCTTTCGTCACCGAGGCTTCAGCGCTTGCCCGCCGCTCAGACACTGCAGAGGCAGGACAGAGGCATGGCGGCTATGAGTGTGTGGTGTGTGTGTGAGTTGGGGGTGTGTAGTGTGTGTGGTGTGTGTGTGTTGGAGGTGTGTGCGGTGTGTGTGTTGGGGGTGTGGTGTGTGTGCTGTGTGTGTTGGGTGTGGGTGTTATGTCTGTGTGTTGGGGGTGTGGTATGTGTGTAGTGTGTCTACGGTGTGTGTGTTGGAGGTGTGGTGTATGTGTGGTGTGTGTATTGGGTGTGTGTGTAGTGTGTGTGTGGTGTGTGTTGGGGATGTGGTGTGTGTGTTGGGTGTGTGTGTAGTGTGTGTGTTGGGGATGTGGGGTGTGTGTGTAGTGTGTCTATAGTGTGTGTGTTGGGGAGGTGTGCTTTGTGGTATGTGTGTGGTATGTGGGGGCGTACGTATTATGTGTGTAGTGTGTGTGGTGTGTGTTGGGGATGTGGTGTGTGTGTTGGGTGTGTGTGTAGTGTGTGTGGTGTGTGGGGGTGTGTGTATTGGGTGTGTTTGTGAAGTGTGTGTGTGGTGCGTGTTGGGGATGTGGTGTGTGTGTTGGGTGTGTGTGTGCAGTGTGTGTGTGTGGTGTGTGTTGGAGATGTGGCACGTGTGTGTGTAGTGTGTCTATGGTGTGTGTGCTGGTGAGGTGTGCTGTGTGGTGTGTGTGGGTGTGTGTGTTGGGTGTGTGGTGTGTATGTGTGTGTGTATGTAGTGTGTGTGCTTAAGTAACTACAGAAGATCTTCTGAGATTCAATGAGAACTACTTTCCCCAGTTCACCACTGAATCCAAAAAGGCCGTCCCCACGAAGAAGAAATAGGTCCTGAATCTAGTGGTGAAACCCCGGGCTGAGGGCTGCTCCAGGCAGATCCAGACTGAAGCTGGGGCCAGCTGCCTGAATGCTCACCAGTTTTTGTATAACATCTGATAAAGTGTTCTCATGGTCGCCTCAAGCAAAGAGAGACATCTCCGACCTTCCGTGATAGCAAATGTCATGGTTAACGCTTTGGTCAAGTTGACTCGTCTTCAACATAATGACAAAAATTCATCAACTGCAGGAAAACGTTCTGATATTCCTTATCAACTGCCAAAACCAAACAGTAAAACAATAGTGTAAATTAAAGTTCAATCAAGAGAAAATAGGTTTGTTTGTTCTCAAAAGATATTTAAAGTTACCAGACTGAGTAGGGAGTTTGAGAGAGAGAATGAACATCTAATAAAGCATCACAGGAGAAGGGCTTTTCCAGGAGAGCCAGAGCTCAGGGGAGAGCTTGCACGGGGGGCGGGGGTAGCTGAGCATCTGTAGGATTCTGAGTCCATCGCATTCTGCCCTGAGCACGTCACCATCTGCCACCTCCACACCTGAGCTTGCTGACAGCACAGTGTCCACATGTCTCTGTGACCAGCCAGCCATGTGAGCTGGGCCACGAAGGACTCAGGGCCTCTTTCAGTCCTGTGGGCGAGGAACCAAAGCTCTGGCAAAGCCAGAAAACGCAAAGGGCAGCTAGACAGTGGCCATCAGGCGTGGGCGGGAGGGACCTCCCAGTGGACTGCTGCGGAGCAGAACAAGGGAGGCAGGCAGGCAGCCACTACTGCAGAGCCTGGGCCTCCCGGAGGGAGAGGGGGGATTTCCAAGGCTGAGAAACGAGAGGAGGCACAGAAGAAAGGCAGCCGGTGACGGGGACAGGATCTTCCTCGGCTTTGACAAGACCCAGGGCCCCTCGGGCCACGGGGACCCAGGATTGCTGGGAGACTCCAGCCGACACCAGCACCTGGCGTGGCCTCAGAAGCCTGGCAGGGCTGTGGGTGAAGGGAGCTGTTGAGGTCCCTCAGGAATTCTGCCTCCATTCACGTTCTCTGCTCATAATATTTCATCTACTGATATGCAGAGTTTCAAACTTCTGTTTTGCCTAGCTCCAGAGTTGCAGGGAAGGGGAAGCATGTGGAGGGCTTCTGTGATCTGCACGTAATCGCCTGGACAAAGTCAAGTGCTAAGTGTTTGGGTTAAAGTGTTTTCTAAAGACTACAAGCACTTTCAACTCTAAGCCCCTAGAAGGAAGGCAGACTCTTACAGGCAGAGGCTACAGAGCCTACGGCGCAAGGGTTAACTGATTGTAAAACGCAGGCACGTGGCTGGTTTTACCACATCCAAAAATACGATGATGATGCTGATTGGGTTGTGCCACAGATGACTGAACCAGGCCCAGCAATTGTATTTGCATAGAAACTGTAATTACTGGAAATTTCCTGCTCTCCTTGGTCCAACGACAGGGCGTGGTGAAGATGACACCAGTGTATCCCCCGGAAAAACGCTCAAGGATTTACAGAATCGTGGACCGTTTTCTTCTAAAGGGACTGAGGAGCTGGCTCTTGGGGTTCAGCTGTTTTCTTTACAGCCCAGAGAGGTGAGGGACCTGCCCAGGGGCACGCAGCCAGCGGCCAACTACAACTGGATCCCACGGTTCTCGACTTTTAGTAAAAGCCCCACAGTGGCATTCTGCCCCACTGTAGGCTGATGGCGGCTTTAAATCAAACTGCACCTATTTTCGAAGCCGGTAAACTCTCCACAGGCTTTGCACCATGACGTTTCCTCACTTTCTCTGCCAAGGTTTTACACAGGTGAGGTTGTGATGGAACGAGGGTTGCTGGACACCCTGGCACATATTGTGCTATGGCTGTGGCAAATCCTAGCAACGCAACCGGAAGCCAGAGAGAGCCCAGGCTGGTGCTGGAGAGGGGGATGGACCGGCCAGGGAGAGCCCAGGCTGGTGCTGGAGAGGGGGATGGACCGGCCAGGGAGAGCCCAGGCTGGTGCTGGAGAGGGGGATGGACCGGCCAGGGAGAGCCCAGGCTGGTGCTGGAGAGGGGGATGGACCGGCCAGGGAGAGCCCAGGCTGGTGCTGGAGAAGGGGATGGACCAGCCACTGTAATGAGAGTGGCTCCGTTCTGGAGTTTCTGCAACACACAAACTACAAAAATAAAAATGTGCTTTTTTAATAGGTTTTCAAATTTTTACGTTAAGATGACTGTAGATTCACAAGCAATTGTAAAAACTAGAAAAGAGAGATCCTGATAACACCTTCACCTGTTTTCTCCCAGTGATAACCTCCAGCATAACCGTGCAACAATATCACAGAGAGGAAATTAATATCAACAAAATCCACTGACCTTTATAAAGATTTCACCATTTTTACCTGCGCTCATGCCTGTGTGTGCAATTTTATCTCAGGGGTACGTTCATGTGACCACCAGCACAGTCAGTGCACAGCACGGCTCCTTCACCAGGATCCCTGAGCCGCCCTGTATGGCTTCGGCCACCTCCGTCCCAGTCCCCAACCCCTGGAAACCACTAATCTGTTTCCCATTTCTATAATTTTGTCATTTCAAAATACTATATGACGCCAAGCGTGGTGGCTCACGCCTGCAATCTCAGCACTTTGGGAGGTCGAGGCAGGCAGATCACCTGAGGTCAGGAGTTCGAGACCAGCCTGGCCAACATGGTGAAACCCCATCTCTACTAAAGATTTAAAAAGTAGCTAGGCGTGGTGGCACTCACCTGTAGCCCCAGCTACTCAGGAGGCTGAAGCAGGAGAATTGCTTGAATCCAGGAGGTAGAGGTTGCAGTGAGCCAAGATATCCCACCACTGCATTCCAGCCTGGGCAACAGAGCGAGACTCCATCTAAAAAAAAAAAAACAAAAAAAAAACATTGTATGAATTACATCATACATATGGAACTTTTGAGACTGACTTTTTCTACTCAGGACAAGCCCTTTGGGATCCAACCAAGTTGCAGCATGGACCAGTTGTTTTTGCCTTTTTATTCCTGGGTAGTATCCTGCTGGATCAGAGTTTAACCATTCACCTATTGGATGACATTTGAGTTGTTTGCAGTTTTTGCTATTAGACATAAAGCTGCTAGGAACATGCATGTCCAGGTTTTTATGTGACTATAATTTTTCTCTCTAGGATAAATGTCTAAGAATGCAATTGCGGGGTCCTATGATACAACATGTTTAGTTTTGTAAGAAACTAGCATTCTTTTCCTTTCCGCCTGCATATGGCATTGTATCTGAGGTGAGTTTCTTATAGACAGACTCTTGTTGGATCACGTTGTCTTCTTCTTTTGAATCTCCTCTGCCAGCCTCTGACTTTTAATTGTTCTGTTTAGACCATTTACATTTAAAGTAAGTATTAATCTATAGGAACTTATAACAGCCATTTTATCTGTTTTTGGTTTGCTTCTCTGTTTTCACATTTCTCTTTTTCTCATGTCTTGCTTTCCTGTGGGCTACCTGAACAATTTTCAGGCATTCACCTTGATTTATTTATAGTGTTTTTAGTATACCATTTTGAATCGCTTTGCTCTCTGCTGCTCGGTAGTACAATTTACATACATAACTTACCACAGCCTACTAGTATTAACATTTTACCACTTTGAGTGAAGTATTAAAGCCTGGCTTCCGTTCAGCCCCTTTCAATAGAATTGTGTTATTTTCCAATATGCACTGACGTCACATCACTTAGGGTTATCATTTTTGCTTCAACAATCAAGTATGCTTTAAGAAACTCATGAGGCTAATATGATATTTACCTTTATTTTCACCCATTCTGATCTTCTTTCCTCTCTGAAGCTCCAAGTCTTCTTCCGTTGTTATCTCCTCTCTGTTTGGAGAACTTCCTTTAGTGATTCCTTAAGGGTGGACTTTCTAGCAACAAATTGTCTTAGATTTTCTTCATCTGAGAGTGTCTTGATTCTCCTTCATGTCTGAAGGCTGTTGTTACTGGACATAGAATTCCTGGTTGACAGTTCTTTTTCTCGGACTTGAGCCACGCTGTGCTGCTTCCTCTCATCCTCCTGGTTTCGGGTCAGGAATCTTCTGACATTCGGGGCTGTGGCTTGTGGGTAGTGTCATTCCCTCTTTCTCTCTAGTTTTCAGAAGATTTCTAGTTTGCATAATTGTGATGTCTCTTGGTGTGGATTTCTTTGAGTTTATCCTACTTGGGGTTTGTTTAGCTTCTTGAATCTGTGATTTTGTCTTTTGCCAAACAACAATTTATTAATTCATCAAATACTTTTTCAGCCCATTCTCTCTCTTCTCTCCTTCTGGAAATCCAAGGACATAGATGGTAGCTTTTGTGTCGTTGCACTACAGGTCTCCACTGCGTTTAAATGTTGTCTGCCTGTGCTCCTTGCTGTCCGGTTGGGATAAAGGACACTCACCTGTCCTCGCTTAGGTCCACTGACCTTGTCCTCTGTCATCTCCACTCTACAACTAAGCCCATGCAGAAAGTTGGTTTTTTAATTATTATTATTTTGGTGATTCTATTTCTCAGTTCTATTATTTCCATTTGGTTCTTTTTATATGACATATTTCTTTGATGAGATTTTCTGCTTTTTCATTTGTATCAAAAGAATCTGTAACTCCTTACTGAAGCACTTTTATGAAGCTTTAAAATCCTTGTCTGATCATTTCAACCTCAGACTTATCTCAGTGTTGGGTTTCCTGATAGTCTTTTCTCATTCAAATCGTGACTTTCTGGTTCATGGCATGATAAGTGATTTTTGGTTGTATCATGGATATTCTCGATATTATAACATGACACTCAGTCCTATCAAGCTTTCTGTTTTTAGCAGGTGGTCAGCATATTGAGGTACAGCACAGGGCCCGGGTGGGGTTGTGTGTCTGTTTCCCACAGGGCTTCTCAGCACCTCCGAGCCTTGCTGTGGGTGAATAGGGAAGAAGTTCACTATCGGGTTTACTGCCCCGCCCCAGCAGAAGCAGGGTGCTGAACCCCACTGCTGGCTTGCTTTCAAGTGGAGGCATGAGCCCAACACCCTGGTGGGCCCTGCTGAGCCGGGACTTGGGAAATTATCCCTGTGCTCAGCCCCACAGATGCTGCCAGGCAGAACCAGAGCACTGCAGACACTTGCGCAGGAGGATGGGGAAGGACCTGTTGAAATCTCAAGGAGGAAAGAGGAGGTTCTGCCTTTCGGTTTGTGTGCAGTTTCCTGTTGCTAGACCACCCTGTATGCCACCCTTGATTTAGGGGAGCTGCCTTTTCTTGGAGATTTCTTGTCTGCACCTGTCAGTGGTTCTGGGCTAGCAGTCTCTCAGGGCCCTGTCCAGCCCCCAGGTGTGAGGGAGGCAATAGAGATGCCCAGGGAATTCACTGCCGCATCACTCCTCCAGTCCAAGGCCCTGGCCTGGCCACTCCACCTTCATCGCACTCCTCAGGGGTTCATGCTTGCCTGTGGTGTGACGGCCAGGATTGTTTACCTGTAAGAGGGAGGAAGTGGGGTGAATGGAACTTTTCCAACTTAGCCAAGAGAAGAACTTGTCCTTAACACTTTTAATCCATTACATAAAAATAGAAGGAAATAAAGAGATATTGTGATGAATTAAATTCAGTATAGACAAGAACCTCTCTATCTCAGCAATGTTGACCTCTGGAGATTAGAGATTCTTTGCTGTGGGGCTGCCCTGCACCATGGGGTGATGAGCAGAACCTGGGCCACCACCCACTAGATGCCAGGAGTGAACCCCTCCTGGTGGGACCACCAAAATGTCTCCAAGCATCACTAAAGTTTTCCAGGGGGTCAGTTCACTCTTTCTTGAGATCCCTGGGTCTAGAGCAATTGTAAATACTTTATCTACATCCAGGCTTACAAATACCTAGAGTATCTTATTGATTCTTTTTAGAAAAAATTAATGAATTATAGCAAGTTTCTCAATATTACTAAAATTGCGTGACAAAAATATATCTTGCCAAAGCACAATAGGTCAACGCGGTATCCAAAAGATGTTTTATTAATTTCAGTGATGTCACTAAAACTACCATTTTAATTCAAATGCATAAACTTTATGTCAAGAAACACATGAGGTGTGAGGATGCTGAGTTATGAATATATGAGAGTCTGGACACTGGTTTCAAGGAGTTTATCTGAATTTGCTCATGTACTCAAACTAGCATTCATTGATCACTTATTAGTTACACCTATCAAGTGCTGTCCTGGGGACAGAGATAACAGTGATCAAGACCAGGTCCTCCTTTTGTAGAGTTCACAGTACAGTGGGGACTCAGGCGGAGCACAGCTCAGTACCAGGGAAAGGGGTGTGCCCTGCCCCCAGGCGGTTAGGGAGGGCTTCCTGTAAGAAGTGGGACCCCAAATAGAAAGAGTTTACACAAGCAATTGTGGGGAAGAGAACCTGGATAAATGAAAACCAAATCAAATATGTAAACACAGAGGGCACTCAGTCAACATGCGATCACTAACAAATTTGATTGATTAACTCATGATCAGATGAACTTTCTTTGCAGAGGCCAGAGGAGAGCAGGGTGAGGAGGGAATGTGACCAGTCCAGGGTCTCACCTGCTACTGAAAACAGAAAATGCCAGATTATAATCTTCCATTCCTGGGCAATCAAAAAATGGCACGAAGGATCATAGGACACGAGTACCTCCCCTAAAAAGAAACAGAACAAACTGAGGAGTCCTAATTTCCCCCCATCTTCCCATTCCCAAAGTAAAAGGCAAGAGTCAGCCTAGACAGGATGCCGTCGGGGTGCGGGGTTTGGAGCTGAAGCAGACATTCTTTACAGAGAAAATACATGGTGCTAAAAGCCAGCAAAGTTGGTGTTCTTAGAAGTCTGAAATAAAATATCAGTGACACCGAATCCTAGTGGAAATTATGGAGTCAGTAGCAGGAAGTCAGGTAAGAGAAACAGGCCCAAGAATGTGGCACCAGAATGTGAGAAGGAAAGAAGCACTTGGAAGCTGGGCACAGTGGTTCACGCCTGTGGTCGCAGCAACTCGGGAGGCTAAGGCAGGCGGATCGCCTGAGCCCAGGAGGTCAAGGCTGCAGTGGGTGATGATTGCACCACTGCACTCCAGCCTGGGCAACGGAGCAAGACCCTGTCTCTAAAAAAATTATTTTTAATTAAAACTTATCTGAAAGAAGAAAGGGTTCAAAGCAATTGCCCTAACCCCCATGGGGAGTCTTAGCTGCCTTCAGAGGTGGCCAGCGCACCCTGGGCATCTTAACAAGTCAGGGGCACTGTGACTCCTCAGAGGTACAAGACCCTAAATGCCAAATGCTCTGCTGGACAGAGCTGCTCAACTGTGGCTCAAGAAAGATCCTCTGCCTCAACAATTTGAAGCATCAATCCTTCCAAGTTTACTTCTTTCCATTCT
Organism: Homo sapiens; assembly: GCF_000001405.40. Taxonomy (NCBI): domain Eukaryota; kingdom Metazoa; phylum Chordata; class Mammalia; order Primates; family Hominidae; genus Homo; species Homo sapiens. The sequence continues at coordinate 78,711,880 of NC_000018.10, forward strand.
ACCTGTCCTATTCTAGTGGGATGGAGCTGAGTTGCATAACTGATAAAATGTTCCATGTTGAGTGCCTCAGATCCTGGAAACTATCATGGTATGGACTGCAATTCATAAATGGAAGCCCTAATCCCCACTCTGATGGAGTTTGGAGATGGGCACATTGGGAGCTGATTAAATCACAAGGCAGGAGCACTTGCGAATGGGATCAGTGCCCTTATGAGAACAGACAGGAGGGTTCTTCCCACTGCCCACCCTTCACCACGTGAGACTCAGCAGGAAGATGGCAGCTGCACCCAGAAGAGGTCCTCCCCGGACTCCGGCCCTGCTGGCACCTGTGCTTGGCCTTCCAGCCTCCAGCTTTCCAGCCTCCAGTACTGTGAGAAAATAGACTTCCACTGTGTGAGCCACAGTCTATGGTATTTTGTTATGGCAACCCAAGCTGACTAACACATATCAATTGACAGAATCCCAGAAAATTAGAAAACTTTAAAACACTCTTTTTAAAAAATTCTCTCAAGGCTCTTGTAGAAACAAAACTTACATATTAAACCAATACTTAACTAAACAAGGATAGTATTTAAATACCCCTAATCTGTTGGAAAATGTTCAGGTTCTGAACCACCTTTACAGATGCAGGTTTTTTGGTCCTTTCTGAATGACACTGTAAGATTTGAGCCTTTTATTAGATCATATGACAAAAGTATGTGACCACTGGCCCCCGGGAATGGGAGAATGAGAAGGAGAGTTGCTTAGACTTCTTGTTCTACATTTCTGTAGGGTGTGTGATTCCCCCTGCAAAGGTGAACATACAGGGTGCCTTGGGTGCCTGCTCTCTGGCAGGGCAATTGAGTTCTGTGCCAGTATTTGTCCAGTAAGCATCCTCATTCACAAATCAATGGAGTGTCCTTGTATGCAAAAGGAACAGAGAAAGAGCTACCATCTCAAAGAACTATATCCACCTAAAGGCCATGGGAAATGTATGGTGGAACAAGTCAGAACCCAAGGCATACAAAACATGATGAGAATAACAATTGATACTAATTGAGCACTTACTGTATACCAGGCACTTGTCAACGTGTGTTCATGAATTATCTCAGTATTGCCACGCACTAATAGAATATTATTATTCTCATTTTACAGACAAAAAAAGCTAAGAAAAAATGTGAAGTCATTTTCCCAAGTTCACAGAAAAGTGGTTGGCAGAACAGGGACTTCTATCTAAAAAATGGACATTTGTACATTAATTGAAACACACAAATACATGTACAGCCACGGTAAGAAAATATAAAAAGAAAAGAAAACCAGAACTTCCCAGCAGCCAATAGCCAGGGGCGGACAGGCCTGAAGACAGATAGTGACTGCTGTAGACATGAGTTTGTGATAGGGTCCGCGACCCCAAGTGTGCTGCTGTCCATGGTCCTGGAGGATTGTCGCCTAACAGGGTGTGGCTGTTTCTCCTCATCCCGGGTAACTGGGGATCCTGTCCTGGCTCTCCAAGGAATGCTGAGCTATATACAAGAAGTTCCATGGTGAGAAAAGTGGGAAGCAGAGAGAGAAAATTCTGGAGTCACAAACACTGTCAGATTCCAAAGGAGAAAGCAAGAATTTGTTTTCAAATAACTCCATGTAATATTTATTTCAGATAATTGGAAAGAATATGGTTTTTCTTTTCAATGTACTCTCAAAAAGCAGTAATTCACCGAACACTATGACACCTATGTTCGTGTGGGTTTTCCGGCTTTTCACTTTAGGCCAAAAGCTCCCAAGTCCTGGTTTCTGCACCACATATTGCCTTTGATGCAGCAGCATCTTGGTAAATAAACAGCCAGAATGCCACGACATCAGATTCATGTAAATGGCTGGTTGCAGCCTCTCTGACTGCCCCATCTTCAGTCACTCATAAGGTAAACTTTCCTTGCCTGTGTCTTTGAAACTTAAATAGGCTTTGCAGTACCTTCCGGGCAGCTTGCTGTGCCCATGAGGGAACGGCCACTGAGGAGAGCAGACAGGGAGAGAGGGAGAGTGGCCCCAGACGGTCCACCACCCTGCGCCGGACATGGGGCAGATGTAAGGATAAAACTGTCAGCAGTGAAAACACAAAGAGAAATATTGCGATTTCCTATTATCCACATTGTTCCCAGGGGCTGTTTGCCCAGTTGCCATGGCACAGGCCCTGAGATTTCATAATTTTTCTCCTGCCGGCCATGTGCCCGTGCAACAATGTGAATTCAATCAGCCCAGACGGTTGGGTTTTGTCCATGTGAGTGGAATAAAACTTTTCTCACCAGCTAAACCCACAAAGTTTCTAAAAGCCATAAATAATGGGTAACTCCTATAACTTGCACCTGCCTGTTTTATTTGATCAAGGCTGCAAGGACTCAGAGGAACTGCAGAGCTCCCAAGTGCCGGCGGCTGCTCGTGGGTCAAGCTTCCCAGACACATTTTCAGTGGAAACGTTTATTTTGATAGGGAGGTATTCTTTCTGAAGGACTGAAATAATGCTGGTCCAAGTACTAATTTTAAATGGAACAGTCCTAACTAAAAACGATTCCTTCCACCAGGCAAAGAAAGGGGGAATAATGTGGGGAACCATCAGGACTGTCTGAGCATCAGAGGACGGAGGAGCAGGTTTAACCAGCAGATCGTGAGGGAGGACTATCTGAGCGTCAGAGGACAGAGGAGCAGGTTTAACCAGCAGATCATGAGGGAAGACTGTCTGAGTGTCAGAGGACGGAGGAGCAGGTTTAACCAGCAGATCATGAGGGAGGCCTGAGCATTGGAGGATGGAGGAGCAGGTTTAACCAGCAGATCATGAGGGAGGACTGTCTGAGCGTCAGAGGACAGAGGAGCAGGTTTCACCAGCAGATCATGAGGGAGGACTGTCTGAGCGTCAGAGGATGGAGGAGGTTTAACCAGCAGATCACTAGGAACAGAAAGTGAGCACGGAAACCCCACACATTGCTTTGGTTGTGGTGAAAGGCAGAAATGCGTAATACCAGCCAGGGGTGTGAATACGGAGGACCCAGAACTGGAATTATCTGTCACACCTAGAAAGATTATTTGAACTGTTTGAAATTATTTGGATCCTTTCAGAGAATAACTTGCCCTATTTAAAAATATCGTTACAATAAGATCAAGAGGAACTTTTTCTGAAAAGTAGTTATCTGACGTTTGCATATCATAAAAAGTATGTCATTAGTTTAAATTTACTGTGGAGAGAGATTTAGATATGCTTTTTTTGTCTCTATATTCTGATACAAAATTATTAAACTTCCAAGACTCTTAAAAATCTATGCACATTATGGTCAAATGATCACGAAATTCTTTATTGTGTTTTTAATGTATTAAATGACCTAAAATAATAATACTGGGAAAATGCTTCTTTGATACAAAACTAGAAAATAGGACTATAATAAATGTATTTGCTGGAAACCGTTTTTCAAATTAACAAATCTATTTTCTATGATATGCTGCCAAGAGTCATGTTGCTTCTCAGGGCCCACTGCAAAGGACAGGCCATTATTTAAGCCATTTCTTAATTCAGCAGGAATTAAAGAACAAGAAACCAGACAATGGAATATTTGCAGAATTGTTTTTTGAGGTCATGTATAATGCCCACTAATCTAAAGAGACTCCTATTTTGAAAAAAGTTGGCAAAGGCTAAAGATGGCTCAAATAACTTCAAGTATTTGAAGTAGTGAAAGAAAATATCGGAAGACAGTAGCTGAAAATGGCAGTGAATGCCGTGTGCACCTGTTATTTTGATCGTGACCCACGATTTCTCTACCGTGCCACCATTTCCACTGGCCAATCTCGTTCTGTTGCCCAGGCTAGAGTGCAGTGACACCATCTCGGCTCACTGCAACCTCCACCTCCCAAGTTCAAGTGATTCTCCTGCCTCAGCCTCCCAAGTAGCTGGGATTACAGGCACATGCCACCATGCCCAGCTAATTTTTGTATTTTTAGTAGAGACGGGGTTTCATCATGTTGGCCAGGCTAGTCTCAAACTCCTGACCTCAAGTTCCCTGCCCACCTCAGCCTCCCAAAGTGCTGGGATTACAAGCTTGAGCCACCACACCTGGCACCCCCACCCTTTCTGATATTCTTGTGACCAGTTCACCAAAGGAGATATTAATTTTTAAAATGCACTTGTTTTTCCGTTGAGATCCTGCCCAGTGAATGTTTTCATAATGAGAGAAATCCCTACACCACGTCTTTAGCCACCTGTGCATTGCGCTTTCAGGGTGGAGGCAGTGTGGAAGAAAAGAAACACCTCCCTCCGGGCCGGCTTTGAATCCGGATCAAATGTGGGCAAGTGGTCAAATAGCTCTGAGCAACAGTCAAAATGAAAACTGAAAATCTAGTTAAAACGTCTGAAACCACTTCCCCCTTGAATTCTGAGCTTCTGGCCCTCCACACCCAGAGGCCTCCACACACAGCAGGCCTGTGCCCTGAGCACGAAAAGCCACTCATCTGGGGAGGCCCAGGCAGGAGGAGCACTTGGACCCAGGTGTTTGAGACCAGCCTGGGCAACAGTGAGACCTTGTCTCTTAAAAAAAAAGAGAGAGAGAGAGAAAGAAAATAAAGGAAAAAAAAAGCCTCTCACCTGCTTTAGCGAGCTCTGCCTGTGCAGCTGGACTGCTTTTCTCTTTTTCTTCAGTTCTCTGGATGCTCCCTGCGCCTGATTTCTTTGATGTCTTGGATGATTCACTCAACACCTGAGACGATGAGGAATGAGGGGAGGTGTTTACAGCTGCCTGGATCTTAGGTGAGCCTGGACCTGCGACCTTACAAATGTGGTTCCCATGATGTCCGCTCTCACCTCCTGTAACACTGAACAAGGCGGGGAGTGGCGGGACTTCCTTCCGGCCCGCGCTGGCCCTCGAGTGCTCGTGCATTTGACCACGGTGGCTTTTGTCAGGACTCGCGAACGTGTGGGTCTGTCCGGGCCCAGTCTGGACCTCCAACTCCACTGGCCAGGGCACCCTTAGGTCTCCATCCCTGCTCCTCCCTCTGGGAACGGAGTGGCAGCTCTCAGGAATCAAGGTTACTGCATTTCTGAGGACCATGTGAGAGGAACAGGGATGCAAGACACGTTAAGGATGGGAACAGCAGAAGCTGAAGAGTGCCAGTGGAGTGAAGACGCCCGTGTCTGCACTAAACAGCTAGCAGGGAGAGGAATTAGAGAGTGTTGTCTCTCAAGGCAGAGCACCTATCTAAAAGGCAGACATTCCTCTCACCAGGTAGAGCAATGCCCATGACCGACACCATGGGTCTCCACTTCCCAAGCCCATGACCGACACCGCGGGTCTCCACCTCCTGAGCCCATGACCAACACCATGTGGGTCTCTGCCTCCCGAGCCCATGACCAACACCGCGGGTCTGCACCTCCCGGGCCCATGACCGACACCGCAGGTCTCCACCTCCAGAGCCCATGACCGACACCGCGGGTCTGCACCTCCAGAGCCCATGACTGACACCGTGGGTCTCCACCTCCCGAGCCCATGACTGACACCGTGGGTCTGCACCTCCAGAGCCCATGACCGACACCGTGGGTCTCCACCTCCCGAGCCTATGACTGACACCATGGGTCTCCACCTCCCAAGCCCATGACCGATACCCTGGGTCTCCACCTCCTGGGCCCATGACCGACACCGAGGGTCTGCACCTCCAGAGCCCATGACCGACGCTGCGGGTCTCCACCTCCCGAGCCCATGACCGACACCGCGGGTCTGCACCTCCCGAGCCTATGACTGACACAGTGGGTCTCCACCTCCCGAGCCCATGACCGACACCGCGGGTCTGCACCTCCCGAGCCTATGACTGACACCGTGGGTCTCCACCTCCCAGGCCCATGACCAACACCGTGGGTCTCTACCTCCTGAGCCCATGACTGACCCCGCAGTTCTCCACCTCCCAACCCATGTCCAGGACATACTGGGGGGGCGGGTGCATTGCATGTCCTCCTGCTGTTTGTGGGAGACCTCGGTCACAGCTTTTCATCAGCATGTTGACTGCCTGGGTGTCACAAAGGGTGACTTGGGGACGTGGCCCACATGCAGCGCACTCTGCCATGCCTCACTCCAGTGCCAGGTGCTGGCAGCACACAGAGCAGGCCCAGCAGGGTGGGCTGCGCTCAGTTCCAATGCATGGGCTGAGCTAAGGTGCAGCAGCACTGCCTCTTTTAGGTATTGACTATGATCACATTTAAAGGTCCCTATGCAGCAAAGCCTGCTGGGCTGGCCACCCCACCAAGGTTTTGGGGAGGGTGGGATCCTACCACAAGCCCCATTCTGTGGCAACCTCAGTAAATCAAACATGGGACCAGCGTGGCTGTGGTGTCCACGAGTCTGTCATGGTTGGATGAAGGTTCTCAGGGCAGCACTGCTGTCTGCACCGTGCACATGCGTCTCAGCCCCACAGACGCAAGAGGAGGCCCTGCTAAACTGGGGGTGCACTAACCACTCATTTTATTACATAAAGGAGTGTGAGGGCCTTTTGTCCGATGGGCTGTGACATGTTCCACCTTGCTTTTAAGCAAACATGTTCAAAGAGAAAAAGCACACTTTTCCCCTGGTGTGTGTTTTGGGGCGGGTGTGAATTTTAATTAAAGTGGATAGGCCATCAGGATCAAGTCACACCATGTTGCACTACACGGGAAAAGATGGGTATAACAAAGTGATGTCCAAGGAACAAAGATGACACCATGTAGAATAAAAATGGATCTATGCAGAGCAAGACAATGTCTGTGCAGAGCACTGTGTGTCCAACAACGAGGATATTCCTATCAGAGCAAAGCTGTGTCCCTGTAGAGAAAGGATATGTTCATGCAGATCAAGGCTGTGCCCGTGGAGATCAAGGCTGGACCCGTGGAGATCAAGGCTGGGCCCACATAGATCAAGGCTGGGCCCATGGAGATCAAGGCTGGGCCCGTGGAGATCAAGGCTGGGCCCGTGGAGATCAAGGCTGTGTCCGTGGAGATCAAGGCTGGGCCCGTGGAGATCAAGGCTGGGCCCACGTAGATCAAGGCTGGGCCCATGGAGATCAAGGCTGGGCCCATGGAGATCAAGGCTGGGCCCATGGAGATCAAGGCTGGGCCCACGTAGATCAAGGCTGTGTCCATGGAGATCAAGGCAGGGCCCATGGAGATCAAGGCTGGGCCCGTGGAGATCAAGGCTGGGCCCACGTAGATCAAGGCTGGGCCCGTGGAGATCAAGGCTGTGTCCATGTAGAACAAGATTTTGTCCACGTAGAGCCAGGATGTTCTCATGTAGAAGAAGGGTATATTCACAGAGCGCAGATACGTCTATGTTGAGCAAGGGTTTTTCTGGGATTCGAGCTCTGCTTTTCTAAGGCCTGTGTCTATCCTGCCATGAGGACTTTCACATCAACCTCCTTGAGCCGGGCCCTTGAACGGTCAATGTGTGGGACATGGATATGTTTTCCAGGGCTGCAACATCAGAGTATCACAGACTTGATGGCTTAACATGGAATGTATTTTCCTGTCATGTTGGAGGTTGCGTATCTGAGCTCTGGGTGTTAGCAGGGTTGGCATTTGGCCGCTGAGGAGGAGAAAGTATTTTACATGATGGGGTTCAGGGCTCACTGCCCCAAAATATGGCACTTTACATATGGCATTTAAGAATGGGGCAGAAGCAGGAAGGTCACTCCCCAACCTTCTCCTCCTCTTCCACAGAAGCAGGTCATAAAACCTAGCAGGTACTTTCTGGCCTTTCCCTGAAGCGAATTATAAGATCCTCCTGACCTAATGGCCTCCACTGCACTGCCAGGGAAGACACATCCTTAGCTTGGAAGATGTGGGGACAGAGAGATGCACCTGCACACACAGGCTTTGCTGCATCCCCGCTCCATGACCATGTGATCACACCTGTCTGGGGCCATGCACTTCCTCATCTAAGCCAGCCTGACAACACCCAGGCTCCCCCAGTTCTTTGTGTCTTCATTCCGTTATGAAGGCCTCCATGTCATTAAAACGTATTAATTAAATTCCAGGTTTTTCTCCTGTTAACCTGTCTTTGTCTGATTTTCAGACCCAGGTGGGAACCCTAGACAATCCGGGACAGCCTTTTCCCTCAGTGGCTCCCGACGCCTGCACAGGCGCCTTGCTCCGCCTGCAAGCGGCAGTTCAGCAATTCGGGAACCTCTGACAAAGGCCGGCAGCGGGAGAGTTCTCACCACATCAACCCCTCATGTCTCTCTCTGTGGGGCTCATTCAAGGAAAAGGGGTAAGAGTCTTTTTTTTTTTTAAGTTTTCAGACCCAGCCAAGACCCCTAAAATGGCTGAGGAAAACCTTCCCTCCCTACACAGGCCTCTCCCCAGCATCTGGTGGCCACTGGTGATCATTGCCCTTCCTTGGCACGTAGAAGCAGCACCTCGATTCCACCTTCAGGAGTCGTGTTCTCCCCGCATGCACATCCATCCTGGCTCCAACTTACCTCTTTCTATAAGGACGCCAGTCATACTGGATTAGGGCCCACCCTAATGATGTCATCTCAATTTGATCATCTGCAAAGTCCCTATTTCAGATAAGGCCTGTCAACCTAAACACAGAGAGAGAGGCTCTCTAAGAGGAGAGATGTTGGACTGAGAGCCGAGCGTGGCCGTGGCACCTACACGCCACAGCAGACTCTGCACGCTTGGGGAGGAAGGGAAGACCAAGGCTTGAGGGAAACCATCGAAGGATGAGGCCATTGTTTGAAATGATTCTCCTCAGCTGCAAGGATGGATAAGGGTGTCGCTGATCTGAGGCTGGCCAGGCCGTGCTGGGCCGACGTCCTTGCCGACTGCTTCTTGTACCAGGCTGCGGGTTTTGTACTGTTTTTCATGACGAGGCCCACAAGCACGAGGACCATCTCCTCATGGCGTTCCCCGCTCTGTTCAGCAGTTTTCTTAACATTTGTGACTGCGCTGTGGCTCTGTCAACATTCACAGCTCACATTCTCGGACACTGGGTGTAGGACTTGGTCACAGGAATCTTAGGGGACAAGCAAAGCCCAGGCTGGAGGGACGCGGAAGGAGGAGCAGGGCAGAGTCGGGGGAGCCCTGGCAGAGGCGCCGGGAAGCCGGTGTTGGACGGGGAAGGGCCCCACGCAGGCTGCTCTCCTCCTGGCAGGGATCCCTGGGCCTGGGAGGACTCCTCCTGTCCGCCTCTCACGTCCAGCTCTTTTCCTTAAAAGGATGCAGGCATAATCCTGGTGAGGCGGCCCACGCCCAGCACTGCCTGTGGGGGCAACAAGCTCCAGTGAGGGGGTGAAACCCACCGCAGAGACCACAAGCCCCAAACTTAACACCAGATGCCTGCCCTAAGCACGGCCACCACGTGGGCCCCAGACTATAGCAGGGGCATTTACATCTTGACAGGACTTTGCTACTTATGACATTCTAGTGCCAAAAGTGCAGAGAGCCTGTGAGAGAAGGGGCCGTCCTGGAGGAGCTGTGGAAGCCACTCCTTGTCTGTAGCTCCCCCTGTTCCTGGGGAGGGGGGGAGGGCTTCATCCCTTGCATTCCTTCCTGTGCTGGGGTCGGCTGGATGCAGCCTGGGGGCTTCAGAAGGGGAAGGGAGAGGGAGGGAGACTGCCCCTGGGCCCAGCCTGGCGTCCTTGGTCCCTGCCAGAGCTCACCAGGGGTCCGTGGTGGGGCCGCCCGACCACACATTCATCCGTTTACAGGGAGACCCCATCTAACCCTCTGCAGTAAGACTGAAAGAAGAGGAGGGCAGAAAGCCGTGTCCTGACAGGGAGATTCTGAAGGGACGGACCTCCTGCCCTGAAGCAGCTTCAGAAACAGACATGGAGAAGGTGGCAAGGCCCTTGGAGAAGATCCCCGGGTCCCTCACAGAACTCAGGACTAAACCGGGGGCTAGGAGGCCTCACATCTCGGCCCACTCCGCGGCAGCCCCGCGCCAGCCAGGAAGACGTTATCCGTCCATCGCCGGAGACTGTTCGTGTATTAGCAATTCACTGTCAAACGCTCAAGAGTTTGCCAAAGCATAATAGATGCTTTACATTTTATGCATAACTAGTTCTGAGACCAGGGCTATAAAAGTTTTCTATTAACATGTAAGCACTAAGACAAGTTTTTTTTCACTTGATAAATATACATAACTCCTTGACAATGAGGCCCTTGTGTTGCTAATGGGGCCCTTAATGGAGAGTTATATTTCCAGGATTATATCTTTATTCAGTTGCAAATGATTTTTGGGGGGAGTTTTAATGCTCTGCTCCGTCTATGAATAATAGTATCGTTTGAATGCAGCGGACACCTGGTGCCGGAGGACAGTGGGGCTCTGCAGTGACCTGGCGACGCTGCCAAGTTCGCATTTTCCCAGCCTTTCCTACCCGCTCCATTCAGCATCTAATTTCATTCTCCCTCAGCAGAATGCTAGACACTTGTAACTTTATTCTCCCTCCGCAAAAACTTGCTCTCTTGTAAGGAAAAAATCCTGGAAGAAAAAAATTTCTCTTATCAATCTCTTCTTATATAGAGTCTAGTAATTTGAAGGCTGGCTAAAGTTTCAGGAAAAACCTTCCAATTAAATACTGTAAAAAGATAAAATAACAGTGGCCTTGCTGCTGCCCAATAGCTTTATTGAAGCGCTCTTTTGTTGATTTATTGTACGTTAGCCACCGAGCCGTGCAAAGAACATTACGTTTCAGAAAGAGCTATTCGTATGCGGCCTGCATCCACTCCAAAAACAATCAGGCCTGTATTGCGTTTTGCAAATTTATACCAGGATGTTGGTTTAGAGTGTTTCCCTGAAAAGTTTTTCAAGTAAGTGTCTGCTTTCATGGGCGAGAGTGATTGAGGCACACAAACAAACCTTTGTTTCAAAACTCACAGATGTATGGCCGGGCTGAGCTTTGTTTTCCCCTTTAAGAAGTATTCTCAGATTTGTGTTTGGAGCACAACACAGGATTGTACAAAAAAAAAAAAATCAGCTTGAGGATGAATGTCTCGTATAATCTGAGGCTTTTCCAGATTTTCCCAGGGTTAATTTTTCTACCCTGAACTTTGCGTGTTGGGTAGGTTAGGGTTTTTTTTTTTTTCTTTAATTTATTTATTTGTTTGTTCGTTTGTTTTTGTTTTTAAATTCAGGCATGCCATGAAAAAGAATCCTGCCTACTTCAGCTTTGAATGTGGCTTCAGGAAACTTCATTTCAAAGCTATTAGGGAGTTTGCAAGCTCCATAAATATACTTTTGTTCAAGTTGCAATCTGCCCTTCTCTCTCGCGGGCGCCCGAGCATCGTGCTGGGACATCCGGCAGCCCCAGGCTGCGCGACGTGGAGCCAAGAGGACAGCCACCTGGGTCGGGGCTGAAGGAAATCCTAAGTGACAAAATATTTAGACTTCAAGGCAGGCATCTTCGGGGGCACAAACACAACTCTTCCTCCAAATAGCAGAGGAGATGTTCTTAAGCTCCACATAGCCACGTGTTCAAACAAAAGATATTTGACCATAAGTGAGGCTCAGGAATTATTAGTTAAAAGAAGAACCACATAGAGACAAAATCCATAGAGCCAAAGGTGCAAAAGCCGGCTCTGAGCACCCCTTGGCTCAGGAGGGTACGTGTGTCTGATGCCCAGGACCGAGCGAGGGTGATGCAGCCACCAGCCAGCCCGAGCCTCAAGTCTGGAGCCGTGTACACACAGAAGGGCATTCTTAGAAGGTCAAGTTAACAGGACAAGCCTTGCACAAGCAAAGATGTGTGTTCGTCAACCCCAGAGTGTGGGAAACTGTAAATCATAGCTGTGCTTGGTTCCAGGGATCAGCTCTTACCATGGGATTCTCACTTTGAAAGAAAAAAATGACATCCCTCAAATCTAGTGAGAAAGTAATCTGTCACTGCGCGGAGTCAGGGAAGGTAGGGGGGCGAGGGGGTAGGTGGGTTAGTAGTACTTGAGCTTCGTTGAGTTATCATTGCTTTAGGGTTAGTTACAGTTTATGATTTATTGCGCACTACGTCCTTTTTATATTGTAAACCAAAAAGTATCTGAGACAAGCCTCAGTCAATTTAGAAAGTTTATTTTGCCCATGACACAGCCTCAGGAGGTGGCTGACATGTGGCCAAGGTGGTTGGGGCACAGCTTTTGCTTTTATACATTTTTGGGAGACACGAGACCTCAATCAATACATGTAAGATTTACTTTGGTTCCATCCGGAAGGGCGGACAACTCGAAGCGGGGTGCTTCCAGATCACAGGTAGACTTAAAAATGCTCAGATTGGCAATTGGTTGAAAGAGTTACTGTCTATAGAAAGGAATGTCTGGGTTAAGGTAAGGGGTTGTGCAGACCCGGGTTTTATCATGCAAGTGGCAGGCTTCGGAGAGAAGAGACTGTGACTGTTTCTCATCAGACTTAAGGTCTGTGTTGATGTTACTGCTGGAGGGTACAATGAGGCATGTCCACCCCCTCTTCCTGGCCTGAACTAGTCTTTCAGGTTAAATTTTAGGGTGCCCTGGCCGAGGAGGAAGTCCATTCAAATGGTTGCAGGCAGGGGGCCGGGGGGGCTTTGACTTTTATTTGGTTTACGGTATCATTTATGAAACTATTTTTATTTTATTTAACTATTACATTTAACTCTCATAACAACTTTGCTAATAAGATTATTAATCCCAATTTAGAGATGAGGAAACAGAGACCCCAGGAAATGCATATAATTTGACCGACGTCCTCCCTCTGGTGCCTAGCAGGCTTGGTCCAGGCACAAATTCGACTTCAGCCAGGGCCCGAACCCCTTGGGGGCTGAGCTGACTGTCTCCAGTGCCTGGCAGGTGGAGAGTAATTCTTTTCCCCCAGACGAGGATGGCAGGGTGCCGGCTGTCACTTGAGCATTCCCTTCCTTTTGCCTCTTTTTTTTCCCCAGAAAATGATAGAATCTGCTTTGAGCTCTCATTGGGACTAGCTGATGTTGGCATTCACTCAGGCTGTGCCTCTGCACTCCTTGTTTAAAGACCATGAATAAATTGGGCTGCGCCAAATTGTACGACAGCGTGGAGATTTACTGCTGCCGCGTGGTTCCAGAACTGCATCTCCACCAGCTCACATCCATGTCCTGTTCACTTGGGATGCCGAATGTTGCCAATGGCTTTTGAGATATTAGCTGGGACAAAACATTTAATCTAGAAAGTGGCATGCTGGGATGGTTTCTCAGGAGAAGACAGAGAATCACACACCACAAAGATGCAGGAGTTGGTGTCAGGCAAACGGAAGTGCTCAGGAAACACCTACTGTGCCCAGTCCAAGTCAATGGGAGACTCTGGGGTTGATGAAACTGCTCAAGGTGGATTTATTTTAAGTGTCCAAATGTGTGTCCTCTTTCCAAGTTTCCTGAGATGTAGGCAGTCTTCATCCTTCCACCAAGAAAGTGGCGTTCATCATAAATTCACTGATGGTATCAGAATGAAATAAATGAGACTAGAAAAATGTATCTCAAATTAGAAATTAAAAGTCAGAGTCAAGTGCTTCTGGGAAGCATCTGCAAAGTTAAAGGAAGTCACCCAAATACAGAGCTTGTTCAGGAGCACTTGCTCTCAGACATTATTAGTAGATGTACGTTCTTTCTATCACCATCAAAACGATCAAAGCCTGCACACAGAAGGTGCGGGTTCCCCACCAGGGCTGCTGAGGCATGTCCGTTGGAGACTGGCCCAACGCTGCATTCCCTGAGATCAAAACTTGGACACAGATGGTGCGGGTTCCCCACCAGGGCTGCTGAGGCACCTCCGGTGGAGACTGGCCGGACACTGCATTCCCTGCAAGACCACCTCCCCTTCCAATCCCACCGCTGCTGTGTGGCTGAAACGCCTGCCCTCTTGATCTTTCATTTCTGACCATTTTGGAATCTAGACATAAATTATTCTTAGTCATTTAAAACATTTATTGCCTCAAATCTGAGATCCATGACTAATTATCTTTCTCTTCAAGGGATTGAAACTGTGTGGGAGGATTAAAAAAGAAAGAAAGAAACAGGTTTGTTTTTTCTTCCAGTTTTTGCAATACGCTGTTTGTGAAACCCCAGACTTCCCCACCTGATGTCTCAGAATCGTGTCTGCATTTCTAAGATCTCCCAAGAACCGAAAGGAAAGATTAGGGAGATCTTAGAACCCAAATCGGACCCGTCCTCACGTCCATACTCGGAATTCCAGGGTTATACTGGAGAGATGCTGCGCTGGACGTCATTTCTGCGTTAACTTCACTATTTCCAACACAAAAGCAAGGAGTTTCTTATCAGCTGAATGTCAATTTTCTAACCATGAGCCATGTCATGAAAAACTCTTTTGAGCTCTGGGTAAGAATAAGGACCAATATCTGAAAACGCAGAAATCCATAATTACTTTTTTATTTGTCCTTTTCAAGGGAGAGACAAGGGTCAGCTCTCAAAATCATCACTTGTCATCTTAATAACAGGGACTCAAAGCCGAGTGATGGCGCAAAGCAGGCCGGTGAAGCCTCGGCGCTGGGCCCGGCCTGGCACTGCGCATCCTTGGCCTTCGGGACCCGGGCTCCCGCCCCCGTGCCCAGCCTCACGGAGCCCGCCCAGGCCTGCTGTCCCCCGAGCTCCAGGCCCACTGCCCGCCAGAACCTTCTGGTCTTGCCTCGCTTCCCGCCTGCACTTTTCTTTCCCGGCCTGGCAGAGACATCTATACCAGTGGGAAAGGCGAGCCACTCCGGCAGCGCTGCCAGGTTGCACTCCAGCACCTCACACTCGCTTCTCCCGGGACTTAAATTTAAACTCCTCGAGCGTCATGTCCCCATGGCTGTCTGGGGCCATCATTGCCACCTCGTACTCCTCTCTTCACTGCCACAAGACCAAGAGACAGATGCGTCCCGGGGTCCTTCCACAGCGTTCCCAGGGGAGGAGGAGGGCGCCTGGAGCCCTGGGGAAGGCGAGCCCGAGCCAGCGCACGTGGAGACTCCCTCGGAGACCTCTGCGCACATGGAGACCCGCGCGCACGTGGAGACTCGCGCGCAAAAGGAGACCCCAGTGCACATGGAGACTTCCACGCACTGGTCTCTCCAAGGAATACCTGCCTGCTCCCACAGGTCGTCCGGACCCACCGGCCTCCCCACGCCTGGATGCGGGAAGGGGCCTTCCTGTGCCATGCGCTGCCCGCCTCCCAGGCCCATGGGCGTGAGGCTTTGGCCCTGTTCCCTCTCCTGGATTTGCCTGCCTGGCGCCTGCCACCTCCCTCAGAGGAAGGGCTAAGTGTTATGAGGACCCTTTGTGTTTTCCCTTCTGAAAAACACAGACAAAGCCCAGGAGAATCGGGGTCCCGAGGAATGATAGGGAGAGCCGGGCCCATGGTACATCCAAGGCCATGAGCGCTGCGGGAGTACGAGGATGCTTTCTCAGAGATGCCTTTGCTAAAAAATAAGCCAATAAGGAACAGAACTTTGCCTCTTCATGCGGAAAGTGGTTATGACTTCCGCGCAGTCGCTGTATAGAAGCGTTTTTGCGGTTTACATGACAGCCAGAAGGTATCTGCACTGCAGGAGGCTCCAGACATACAGCTCCTTACATGTGAACACACGTGCGCGCACATGGGTGGAACAGCGGAGACACCAGGCCAGCAAGACCCCAGGCCCCTTGGGTGGTGCACCTACTGTCCCAGGGACACTGCCACCCTTCAGCTCAGCAGGGGCTCATGGCGCAGCCTTGGCGGGGCTTTCTGCATAGGCAGGAATGTAGCCATTTGCCCATTTGCCAGGCTGCAAGGAGCGCGGTCGCAGCCTGGCAGGGCTCCCTGACATGCTGAGGACAACAGGGGCCATAAGCACCTCACAGAGTGAGCACCGCTTCTCAAAACAGGAGACTCTCGTGTGGCCATCGACACCTTGCATTGAATTATTGGCTTCTGTGTTTTAGCCAACTGGAGTCCTGGAAAATTATTTTTACTCAGGTGACATCTGTGATAAAGAGCCCATCAATAAATACCTTCCAGCTGAGAAATGTGCTCTCCCCAAACGCTGGCGCCAGAAGATCCTGCTCTGTGCAGCTGGCCTGGGGTCCAAGAAGGCAGAGCTCCGTGGAGACAGGCAGGGCTGTGGTGGTCCTGCCCCACACCAAGGCCCCTGGCTGCGTTAAATGGCCAGTGCGGGGCGTCCTTAGGATGGGCCAGCCACCAGGATTCTGACCAGAGGATGCGCCTTGTCGCTGAGGACATGACAAAAGAGAATGGCCTAGGAGTGCCGTGGAGGCAGCGACAGGGCAGGTGGTGTTAGGGGACACAGTGGTCTCCATCCACAGGCCCTGGTTCCCAACTCCCGCAGCCTTTGCGATAATGCTGGGACCCTGTGGGCCTTGGGATACAGAATCTCTGACTGTCTCCTGTCCTTCTTTTGCCTGACCCAAGGCAGGACTCTAACCTGATCGTGGATCAAAAGATCTTCATTCCAGAGAGGGTCCCGCCCCACACTCTGCAGGAAGGAACTTGCACAGAGGCCGGGGTAAGTCTGAGCAGACAGGCCCTGCGAGGGTTAGTTACTGCATGTTTTGTCCATTCCCATTTCTGCATGGCTGTCAATCATGCCTATGTAATGAAATCTCTGTAAGAACCCAAGAGGATGGAGTCCGTGAGCTTCCCGAGAGCTGAGCACGCCAAGGCCCCTGAAGGACGGAGCGCCCATGAGGGCACAGAAGCTCCACGCCCCTCCCACCACCCTACACCTCCTCTTCCTGTATCCTTTGCAATATTCTTGATAATAAACCAGTTGACACAAGCGTTTCCCTGAGTTCTGTGAGCCACGTCAGCAAATTAATCAAACCCAAAGAAAGGGTCATGGGAAGCCCAATTTGAAGCTGGTTGGTCAGAAGTTCTGGAGCCCAGACTTGCAACTGGTGTGGGGGGCAACCTTGAGGACCAAGCCCTCACCTGTGGATCTGATGCTGTCTCCAGGTGACAGTGCCGGAACTCAGCCCGAGGACACTGCTGGTGTCTGCTGCTGAGTGGGGGGCAGCCTTGAGGACCGAGCCCTCACCTGTGGATCTGACGCTGTCTCCATGTCGACAGTGTCAGAACTTAGCCAGAGGACCCTGCTGGTGTCCGCTGCTGAGTCGGGGGCAGCCTTGAGGAGCGAGCCCTCACCTGTGGGTCTGACACCATCTCCAAGTGGACAGTGTCGGAACTCAGCGTCCACTGCTGAGTGGGGGGGGGGGATATCCCCGCACATTTGGTCACAGATGTTCTCTTCTGCAATGCTATTGTCATGGTGATGTAAGAACAGAGGAAAGGAACAGCTAGAGCTTCCGGAAACGTGCAGCATCCACGTCCCGTGTGAGCAGGATCTCCGGGAGCCACGCAGGGGCGCGTTCACGTGTGAGAGAATTTCCTGAGTAACATGGGGGCGGCAGGGGAGAGAGCCCACAACAGTGAGAGCTCTTCAAACCCTAACGCTGGAGGGATGCCACAGCTTGCAGAAGCTACACATGGACCAGCAAATCTCACTCACAGGGTTATAAAGCCATGGCGCTGGCTGGCTTTGGGGAGGGAGGACTGAACTTAAAGGTGCTTCCATCTATTTGTAATATTTTTCCTTCTCTAATTGCCGGCGTTAGGTAGCAGTATGCTTTGCTGTATTGTTTAATTTCTCAGAAAGGTGGTTTTTACCGTTTTTAACAACCGGGGCCTGGTCTGGCAGCTTAAGGGCTGGGCTCCAGGAGACAGCAGGACTGGCTTGTGAAATGCGTGTTGCTGGAAGATGGTTTTGCTAAAGCTAGTTTGATCAATGCCATTCCTGGACATGTCTGAGGACTTTGCGGAGGTATTAACAGAGGAAAACATCTCCACCTTGGAAACTCTTACTGGTGATTTTCTTATTTAATTAGCTTTGGCATAACAGTAATACCCCTAAAATCCTTTGCAAACTGACCCTCCATGATCACACATGCTGCAGGTGCATCTGGCGGATACAGGTTCAGGCTCAGACAGTTTGCTCATAGACAGTCTGGACAGTTGCTTTAGCAAGACGGAGAAGCAGCTACAGTGACGATCTCCCCACATCGAATTCCACCCTCCCCACATCCTCTTTTGCTTTCTGTATTCAGATTAATTATTGGTGCTTGTGCCTTTGAGCTATGCCAGCCTATGGAATTATATCTCTTAATACAAGGCCAAACTGGCAGTGATTCCCCTGCCATGGAAGGTGGAAAGTTCCCAGTAAATCAGGCTACGCTTTCGCCGGGTGCACTGTGTCAACTGCAGCCTCTCCTGGTGCTTCATCAGTGCGGTTGACCTATTGGAATTATGGTTATCACATTTCAGCATCAGTCATCCCTTAGAGATGAGCCGGTTCTTCACTGATACGGCTAGATTAGGAGATAGATAGATACATTAATACATATCTAATGCAATCACAGTTCCCCTGAGAATCACTGGAAACATAAGCTTTTTATTTATTTATCTTACTTAAACCCCAAAGACTCAAATGCCCACATGGGCTCCTGTCTGCTGTGTGCTGCCAACTCACTTGATTAGGAAGCATCATGGTAGGAGGGACTGTGGCAGGCACCTCCCAGGGTCGCTCTGCAGACATTCTGCAGGAAGCCGCACACATTCACCTTGAGAGCAGCCTCCTACCCGGTGCCCACGGAAATGACTTCCCTAATTCTACCATCTCCACTGCAGTGGTTTCTTAATGCCCCATAAATCCAGCCAAATACTTTGACCTTTTTATACATTGTCATTGTGCTTCCTGAAATTGTCCAGCAAAACGCCTACAAGAGGTCTTCAGTGCAGCTTTTTGACGAATGTAGGAAGGCCAGGTCAGAGCATGGCCAGGAAGAAGCCAGCCACGTTCACCAGCAGCAGAAACAGCAGCAGCTTACAGGACGCCCAGGCAGCCTGTGAGCATAACACACACGCCCATGCCGACACCCACACTCCCCCAAACACTGTAATTCTTAGCACCGGCCATGATAGGCGACTTATGATTCAATTATTTTTACGATGGTGTCCCAGGATGTGGTTTTGTTTGTTTTATATCCTTTCCTAAAAGTGTGGTAAAATATACATAGAATAAAATTGACCGTTTAACCATTTTTAAGCACACAGTTCAGCACATTAAGTACACGTTGCTGTTCAACCATCACCACCGTCCATCTGCAGAACCTTTTCACCTCCCACAACTGCAGCCCTGTGCCCGTCCCACCCCCTGCACTGGTACCCACCCTCCCACCGCCTGTCTGTGAGGCGGAGCCTGGTGTCTCCTGTGCAGAACACTGCTGCATTCCTGGTGTCTCCTGTGCGGAACGCTGCGTCGTTCCTAGTGTCTCCTATGCAGATCCCAGCGTCGTACCTGGTGCCTCCCGTGCAGAGCCCCGCAGCGTTTGTGTCTTGCATGGTGCGTTCTGCGTTCAGGGCCTGTGCTGCACCCATCTTGATCATCTCCGTGCTTCTCACGCTGGACTCACAAGAGCCTGGCACTGTTCAGCCCCTGGGTGCCTGGACGTCACGTCAGCCTAGCCGCACAATCAGAGGGCACCATCGTGAGCTCAGGCCATTTGCTGAGAACCCCCTTGTGACAGGCGCTCAGTGGGTGCTAAGGGCAGCAGCAAACGAGCCAACCTAGTCCCCTGTGGGTTTGCTCATCACATGGAGCCAACCTAGTCCCCTGTGGGTTTGCTCATCACCTGGAGCCCCTGCGGGGCCGGCTGCCGCTGGATGCGGAGGGTCCCACTCCTCCCCACAGGCTGCCCCAGCACTTAGGGCTTTGGCTGCTGGGTGCCTGGCAGGTCGTCTCACTCACTCTCTCCAGCGGCTTCGAGTCCTGCACTGCAGGTCGCTGGGAGCCCACCCTCCACCCCAGCTGCACACAACCCTCCGCCTCTCAGCACAAATCACATCCTGCCCCTTCCATCGGAGGTGGGGTCTGCGTCCCTGCCCTGAATCCGGGCGGGTGTGTGCCTGCTGCCACAATGGGGACAGTGGAAGCAATGCTGTGTGACCTTCAGGGCCAAGCCAGAAAAGGCCTTGCAATTGCTCTGTGGTCTTTCTGGGATGCCCCCACTGGCTGCTGCAAGAGATGCCAGCCACCCTGAGACTGCCACGCTGGAGACCGCTGTGTTCACCCTGCTGGCCCCAGGGCTCCAGCGCCAGTGCACAGGGACACCCAGCCTGCTCCAGCTGCCACAGCAGCCCAGCGACACCCATGAAGCCTCAGGCAGGACCTGCTTGGTAGAGCCCTCCCCAGGGTCCTCACCCACGAGAACAAAAGTCAAATGGAAGTTCAAGGCCAGCCTGGGCAACCTAGACAGACCCTGACTCTAAAAACAACTTTTGTTTAATTAAAAGAAAAAAATTTTGCTTTAAAGCCAAATAAAATGGCTATTTTAAGGTGCTAAGTTTTGAGGTAATTGGTTATGCAAGAATCCAAACTCACATCGTTAAACTTCCCCTTGGAGAAGAACTGACTTTCTGCCCAAGGCAGGTGCTGTCTGGCCTTCCCCCTCCGTCCCCCTCCCTCCACCTCTTTTTGGTTTTGCTTGCTCTTTGGTCTGAGCAGAGTGGAACTGCCCAATGGGCCCTGCACTGTCCCTTCCTGGACGTGGACCCTCGGCCTGGCTTCCTACGCTCCTCCCTGCCTCATTTGCCACCAACTCTGGGGGATCCTCTAACACGTTCAAGCACTGCATCAAAGCCTGGAACACAAGGCAGCCAAGCCGGCCCCTTCTCACAGGGGACAAAGACATAAACTAACACCTTCAAGCCCAGACCATGCTCTGAGCTCCCAGCCCACACGCCCCATGGCCCCAGAATCCCCCACGTGCACATCTTCCAGATGCCCAGCATACAGAACCAAGCCCTGAAGCTGCTCACTTCCAGCCCAGTCTTCCGTGAGTGGCTCTGGCCCCCACCCTGGAGCACCCTGTTCTCCTGGTCTTCCTTCACACCCCACAGCTGATTCATCTGTGAGCCACTGACCCTGGCCCATGGTTCATGCTGTGTGTCAGCTCCACGGGCCCACAGGGTGCCCAGCTGTTTGCTGGAGTGCTGTTCTGGGTGTGTCTGTGAGGGTGTTTCTGGAGGAGATCAGCATTTGCATGGATAGACTGCACACAGCAGATTCTCCTTCCCAACATGGGTGGGCCTCGTGCAATCAGGTGAAGGCCTGGAGAGAACAGAAAGGCTCAGCAAATGGGTGCTGCACCTGCCTGGCCCTTCAGCCGGGACACTGGCCTGGTCCTGGACTCAGACTGGAACCCAAGCCATCGGCCCTCCTGGGTCTTCAGCTTGCAGGTGCTGGGACTTCTCAGCCTCCAAATTCACATGAGCCAATTCCTTTAATAAGCCTATACTTCTGGACCTGTTGGTTCTGTCTCTCCGGAGAACACTAACACCATCTTCAAATCATACTCAGACACTGGCGTTTTGGCGTCAGCCTCCTAACTGGCCTCCTGCACTGACTGGCCCCTGTCCTTAACTGACCATTTTCCACAGAGCAGCCTAATCAATTCTTCTACACTGTGAATCAGGCTGTGGCTCTAAACCTACCACCTTCTCCACTTCACCCAGAGAAATGCCAATGTCCTTTCCATGATCTAAACCTCCGGCCCCTCCTAGCACTGGCTGCCCTCTAGACTCTTCACCTCCGCCCTCACTCTCTGCTCAGGACGAGTTTTCAGACATGTTGGCTGCACACTTGAGCTCTGAGAACTCAGTATCTGCATCTGTGCAGAAGGGAGAAACGGAACCTCTCTCTCCCAGGCCTCCATGGAGTGCTACATGCAATCGCGGCTCACAGTGAGTGCTCCAAAAATTATCCCCTGTCCACAAGACATATCCAGGCACCCAGAGACCTCCTTGAACTACAAGACAAACTAAACATTTTGCTTCTACAATTTACATGGACATGAAAGTTTACGTTAAATGTCAGCAAAGGTGTGTAGACACATATTGAAATGCTGCGGGTTCGAAGAAAGCTCCAAGCTGCGTTCCCAGTTTCACCGGAAGATTTCACCCAGGGAGACATGGATTCTTAATCAATCATCACAACAGCTGCTGTTTATTGACACCTGCCTATGCCGGGCTCCAGGGCTGAGTGCTTTGCATGCCCTGTGTTCTGAATGGCAATGGGGTGCCTCACAGATAAGGACAGCTGGGCTCCGAGAGGCCCAGAGAATCCCCGAGGCCTTGGTGCCAGGATGCACTGGCTGCAGGCCGTGGTCTTTCTAAGCACCTGCGTGTCACACACTTTTCACCTGGACATGCACCGAGCCGTGTGCAAGCAGGAAATCCGATTCCATTCAAGACCTGGCAAAGTTCACACCCATCGAAATTCCAACTCCTGGCTTCCATTTTCCAGTCTGATTTCAGCTGATAATCGTGAAACAAGAGTCACATTTTTATGGGACTTTCCTACTTCCTCCTAACTCTGCACCCGCCCTCTAATAGAAGCTTTCTGGGTAAAAGCCATAAAAGACAGCAACGCACCCATCTTTGGGAACAGATGGCCTCTCGGTTTCCCACAGATCCCTCCCACAAAGCGTTCTCTCACAGCCTCAGGACTCTCATGGCCCGGCCACCGGGCTCCATCTCGCAGCACTGCCTGGCACGGTCACACAAACCGGGGGTGGGCGGGGGCCTCGTCTTTGACAGGACTCCAACTGCCCAAACGCACTGCGTTTAAGAATCATCTGAGGACAGGGTGGAGGAGGCTGTGAGCCAAGGACGGTCAGGACTTTAGCACGAGTGAAAGATCGTTTAAGAATCATCTGAGAACAGGGTGGAGGAGGCCGTGAGCCGAGGATGGCCAGGACTTTAGCACGAGTGAAAGATCTTGGGGAACATCGTCCAGCTTCTCCTTTACAGACAAGCAAACAGAGATGTCTGGGACTTGCCCCGCACATGGAGCTGCCACTGAACAGACTGCGCGGGGACGGGGCTCCTGGGCAGGAGCTACAGTCATTGTCCCCTCCCAAGAACTTCTTATCAAGGGGCAAAAAATATGTAAATATAAAAATATATATATAATATATATGTAAGTTGCGTCTCTATAACCACATAGTGGGCATGTAAAGTAGCATGCTACATGTTACATAGAAGCTAAATACATATATGCCTGTGAGATGGTGCCCCCCACAGCAGAGAGGCTGGACTGAGAGCCACAGACTTCGGGGGCACTCACCATCACAGGTCCATGCTCTGCCGGGCACCTGGGGGAGGCTTTATCCTTCATGCCCCCGACTTCACGCCCACCCTCCAAGCCCTCCTGCTCTGGGTCTGCCCAGCCTCTTCTGCTCTGAGCCGCAAGCGTCCCCCTGGGTGCAAAACAGGGCCTCCCCTTTCTGCTGTTCTGGTCCCGTTGGTGCGGGCGGCAAGCGGTGAATCCCAGGAGGCAGGTCCAGGCCCGGGGCACCGGCCGTGGTGCACTCATGGGTGCGCAGCTGTTTCGGGTTTCCAGACAGCAGCAAGTCGTCGCTGACGGAGACGGGAACAACTGCCCAAGGTCCTCCCATGGAGAGGGGAGCGTGGTCAGACCCGCGCAGTCATTGCAGTCATCGGCCTCAATGGCCACAGTCACCCTGATTGTCCCACGTGGCGAGGTGTGGAATCACCCTCCAGCAGAGCTGCCCCTGGCGGATGTCTTCGTTTCTCTTTTTAAGTGTGAATTCAGGAACCAAGGCATCCTGTGATTTCCTGCGGTGATTGAGCAGTCATGCTGCAGCTGACGCAGGACCGGCTTCTGAGGAGCAATGAATGCCCGTGGCCTCGGGTCTCACAGCCTTCCAGGGCCCCTGCTCCCTCCGCAGTGCACACCGTGGACGCGTCGCCTGGGAATGGGCTGGCACCAGCACACGTGGCCCGGGCTCTGTGGCCTGGGTGCCAGGACCCTCTGGGGAATGTGGGTGATCTGGGGGCCCTGGGGGATGTTTTCAAATGCAGACTCCCGGGCTTACAGAATCAGAATCTCTAGGAGTGAGGAGCAGGGCCTGCCTGGAATGAGAACGCCACAAGGAAACATTTTTATCCTCGGTGTGAGCCCGGCCTCGCCTCCCTGGTCACAAGCAAAGCCAGAGGGAAGCAGCGAATATCTGTGGACACCTGCTCTGCGCCGGGCCGCCCGCACGGCTCCAGGGCAAGCTCGGACCTACTCTGTGAGCCGTCATTTTGCCCCATTGTAGACAAGGAAGCCGAGGCCTCCGGGCAGCCGTCGTGGGTAAATATTCGATCCCAGCTCTGAGTCCTGATGTGCGGTGGTTTCCAGTTTCCAAGGGGTCCCCGTCACGGCCGATTCCAAGGTAGCAAGCAGACAGCACTGACGGGGTTAGGAAGAGACGGAGTGGGAACAACACGGCGGCGTTCCCTCCCCGTGAGCGTGAAGCGCGGTCGATGCCCCGCAACGGTGCGAGGTGAGCAGTTTCCATGTTTATCACCGTCGTGTTTAATAGAAGTTATTGCTAATTATAAGTAAGTCCACATAATTTGTTATGCATACATAGCACATATATATATATATATATAAATTGTATGTTTAAATGATTTGATCTTTAATAGTGACAGTGTTTCATAACCGGCTCATGAAATTCCTGAAAACGCATCACTGGGCTCCCATGGGCCTGCAAGGACGCAGGCCCCAGCACACCTCTGCGAGACAGACAGCCCGTCCGAGGTTGCCCGGGTGAGTGTGGAGATCTGGGCTGTAAACTCAGGTCTGTGTGATTCTGCTCTTGACCTCCACTGCTGACATGAGAGCTGAAAACTGCTAGGATGTTGGGTCTGATAGGAATATTAAGTGATATGCTAGTCAAGCCTCGTGTAACAAATGAGGAAACAGAGACCAACGGAAATAAGATGACTTGGAAAGTCACAGAATCAGCTCAGAACAGAGCCAGGCCTGGTCGTCCCTTCCTCCTAGGCCAGTCGCCACCTGACCGAGATTGGAGATAAAAGGTAAACAGGGAAGAAAGTCAGAGTAAACGATACCCTAGGCAATGCACCTAGCTATAGGGAGAGTGGGGTTTCCAATTGCACAAGTTATAATAATTATTTAAAAGGATGTGGGCAAAATAATTGCAATAACAACAAAACAATAATAATACCACTTTGCACAGATTGCTTTCAGAGTCACAAAGCTGTCTTATCTCATTTACTCCTCTAAACTCTGAGAGATCTGTGGCCACCCCACACAAAAATCAGACCAGAGGCAGAGAACCCAGCTGACGTATCCAAAGTGGTAGATTTGGGGTTTGACCTCGAGTTTGTAAGACCTTGTTACCACGCATTTCAGGGACATCCCCCCGCACCCTAAGAGTGATGGACATGGGAGCCTCCGGTCTATTTGTGATCCCAGATTTGCCACACCCCCAGGAGTGCACGGTCTGATACTGAGCAGGAGTGCCTGTCAGATAAACTGGGAAAGGCAGGCCTTTCTGTGGGCTTCTGCTCAAGACAGGGGGCCTCCCCAGAAAATGACCAACTCTAGAACAGAGTCAAATCCTGCCCTGGAAGGAAGGCATCCCAGTGCTTCTGGTTACCAGCCACGGAAAGGTGGAGACAGCAGTGAGTGATCAGTGACAAGGTCTTGTGGGGTGACCTCAGTGCACACAGAGCTGGGAAGAGCATTGCCTTGCACTTACCCTGAGCGCAAGGGGGATCCGAAACGCTAGAGAGTAGAATTGTCTTAGGTAGGGGGAAGAGGAGCTGGTCGAAAGTCAGCATCACGTGGCGTGGGGCTGCCGTGGGGCCCTGAGCTCAGACATAACACACCTCTGACATGGAGGCCAGGCCAGCACTGTTCTCCGAGGACGTCAGGTCTGAAATAAATAGTATCTGCACTCTCTTCTCCCAGAGACAGGGCTTTTCACCCTGTGGCCAGGACGCTATACTCAAGTCCTGTCCAACAGCTGGGTCTGCAGGAATTACACCTGAGCCAGGCCCATGAGCAGCTCATTGAAGAAAGGGCCCTGGGGTCTGTGTGTGCAATGGAGGGGACAAGAGAGCTTCCTAAGGTGACCCACACTCAAATTCTCCTGCACACCTGAGAAAGCCTTCTCATTACTAGGCTGCTGCAACCCTTTCTACAGAAAGAACTTGCCTATGGTTTGGACACCATGCTTCACTTGGCAGCTGTTTCTTAACTGGAATTGACAGATCGGTGATCCTGCTTACACAGTAGTCTCTTGGCAAAAGCACAGGATCTGGAACTGTGTTTGCTTCAATCATTTCCCTTGACATTTGTCTGCTCTGGGGAAAGTAGTCACACTAAGGTGCTGGAAAGGGTGCTGGGTTGTGGTCCCCAGTGAGGTGCTGCCCTGGCCATAAGACCCATCCGGATGCCTTTTAAACACAGAGGCTCACATTCCCTGCCCAAGTCAGTATGACCATCCTCAATGAAGAGTCCACCCCATCAACAGGTGTCCCAAAAGCAAGAGACTCTAGGATGGGGCCAGCGTGGACTGTGAGAAAGACCCACAGAGCCCATACAAACCCCACACAGCCCACATGCAGTCCACACACAATCCCCACACACAAACCCACACACAATCCCACACAGCCCACACACAGTCCCCGCACACAGTCCGCAAACAGCCCACACACAGCACACACAGTCCACACACAGTCCCCACACACAGTTCCATACAGCCCATATAGCACACAGCCCACACAACTCACACACACTCCACACAGTCCCCACACAGTCCACACACAGCACACATAGGCCACACATAGCACACACACAGCACAGACACTGCCCACACAAACCCCACACAGCCCACATGCCGCCCACACACAGCCCATACAAACCCCACACACTTCCCATACAGCACACACAGGCCACACACACCCCACACAGCCCCCACGTATTCCCCACACAGCCCACACAACCCACACACACCCCACACAGCCCCCACGTATTCCCCACACAGCCCACACAATCCACACACAACCCACACACAGCCCACACACAGTCCCCACACAGCCCACACAGCACACACACAGCACACACAGTCTCACATAGCCCACACACAGTCCCCCCACACAGTCCCCATACAGCACACACAGGCCACACACAGCACACACACACAACCCACACACAGCCCACACACAGCCCACACACAGTCCACACAGAGCCCACACACAGTCCCCACACAGTCCCCACACAGCACACACACAGCACACACACAGCACACACACAGTCCCCACACAGCCCACACACAGCCCATACACAGTCCCCACACAGCATACACACAGTCCCCACACAGCACACACACAGTCGCCACATGCAGCCCACAGAGCACACACACAGCACACACACAGTCCCCACACAGCACACACACAGTCCCCACACAGCCCATACACAGTCCCCACACAGCACACACACAGCACACACACAGTCCCCACGCAGCCCACACACAGTCCCCACACACAGCCCACAGAGCACACACACAGCACACAGTCCCCACACAGCCCACACACAGTCCCCACACAGCACACACACAGTCCCCACACAGCCCACACACAGCACACAGAGCACACAGGGCCCAAGTACAGTCCACTCTGCTGCTCTGACAGGAGGGTCTATGCTGCAGAGCCACCTTCCATGCGTGGTGCAACAGGGTGCAAAATCCCACTCTCGTCTTCCCAGAAGTATAATTATGAGCAAGTTACTTTTGCATGTTTATCTCAATTTCTACTCCCATAAAGTGGGGTTAATATTAGAGCCCCCACTAGAGTCACTGAGAGAGTCGAATGGGCCGATGGTACCGATCACGCACCCCCCTTGCTCAGTTTCGTGGTATAGGGCACCCCCCATTGCTGGATTCCCTCTTCTTTGTCTAGAAAACAAGGATTCTGAAACCACCCACGAAAGACACCTTGTCGGACTGCGTCAGGTGGAAACACTGCTGACTATTGCTATAAGCGAGCACAGCTCTAGAGGCTGAAGAGAGATCCCGATGTCAGCATCACACCCGCAAAGAAGTACATGAGAAGGCCACAGCTGGTGGCTCCTCCCCAAATTACAGAACACTGAGACTCAGAATGAAAGATGGCGAGTAGGAAAGGAAAATTAGCAGAACAGTTAATAAATAGGACAAAATAAGAGGAAAAACACCCTAAAATGTCCTGAATGCCCAGGCCTGTCTGCAGCACCCTCCCGGCGCCGTCCCTCCTGGTGCAGCCAGCCCAGGTCTGCAGACCTCGCTGCTGTCAACTTGAAGCTGCAAACCCAGACTCACCTGCAGAGAAATGCACAGGCCCCACCTGTTCCTAGCTGTGTCCGTGCCATACTGCCCCAAACTCAGTGTGCACCCAGCAGCCAGTATTCCTTTTCCTGCAGAGCCTTAAACGGAGACCCAGAAATAATTCAGCCCCATCATCTCGTGAGCCTGTTGACGTTTGCGAGCCACCCAGGAGAGAGGAGACAGCGGGACTTGATGACGACACCTGGAGGGTTTCGCTGGTTCTGCTGATCCCACAGACCTCCTTCTGTCTCAGCCGTGCACACCCCTCATCTCACAAATACTGGCAGGCACAGTGACCACGGGCATCAAACCCGACTCAGCCCCAGAGAAGGTCACCCCAGAAACGCCCGGGATAGTGGGTTTGTTTCATGAGTGCCCACGGGCCACCCCCTGGGCCAAGCAGCAGCTGCAGCCTCCACTGTGGGTCAGGTGGCGTGAGGGCAGGAAGGCCCTGGTCACAGTCCTGGGGCTGTCCTTGGACAGCACTTGGGGGCTGAAGTCTCTCCTCCCATAGAAAACAGCGCCTGGTAGATGGACCGCCACAGCAGCCGACACCCATCTGACCCTCAGAATTGCACCCCGGAAGCTCCAAGGGACCCCACAGCTGTGCTTGCGTACACTCTGGGTGGCTGAGAGGACAGGAGGGCACAGGAGATATGAAGAGACATTAGTATTTTGATTCTCCCTGAGTTCTTAGGATTATTGGTTAAAGTGATTACAATTAGAGGAAGAAAGTTCAAAATAATTTTGCAAATGCTATAAAGATCTAAGATGCCAGTCAACAAAATATATTCTTCCATTACACAGATTGGATTCTGCAGGAAAACCTTAATAATGGAAGGAAGTTCAAATCCACCTTCCAGGACTGTTTATCCCCGTTCTAAGGGATCGAATAGCACCCTGCACCCAAGCACGACCCCTTTGTTCGCCCTGGAGAATTCGACACCCGTGTTTATAATGCTGGAAGGATTTCTGTACATCTTAGCAGGACCCATGCAGACGCACCGCCCGGAGCCACGGGGGACAGAGAGAAAGAGATCACTTTCCCCCCAGGCTGCACAGGGGCTGAAATGTTGGGGATGTCGCTGAAATCATTCTTTCTTCTGCAGCCATCAGTCATTCCTAAAGGCAAAACTTTCGCAAATAGAGTAGAAAATAGTATGAGGACATTTTTACTTTCATCCTGAGATGCTCCGTCAACTGGACACGGGCTACTAATGTTAGAAGACTCCAGGAAGCCCTCCCGCTGGTCCTGAGGAAAACCCCTCACGGGTAAAATGGCACCACCATGTGTCTCCAAAATTAAAGAGAATCTTTGTCTTTAATAACACATAAGTGCTGTCCTTATAAAGCGCAGTCCAACTCGCCGTCAGCACAGTCAGCAGAGCTCAGGAAGTGCGGCTCTCAGTCTATGGATCCGCTGGACGACCCATCCGCTGTTCTCAACTCACCGAATGACAGTAAAATCAAAGCCTTGTATCATATTCAGAAGATTCAGCGCCAAGACTCAGCATGTGGCGGTGTCTTCTTTAGGACGCAGCAGTGCGATGGAGAAGGTAGAGGGTAACTCTGGCAGGGTGCATCGGTAACCAGCAAGACGTCTCCACAGCATTTTTAAGTCTCGTTGCCAAAGTCGCTGAGCACAGCACTGGAGATGAGAACTGAGTTGGCCAGAAGCCTTGGTGCTAATGAGCAGCGCTGCCCCTGCTCAGAGAAGCCCCGGCTCTGGTCCCACGTGGGCGTGTCCCAGGAAGGAAGGGGCTCCCGCCTCTGGGAATCCTCGTGTCCACCACGCTCTGCTCAGCCTTGGGCTCCCGCCTCTGGGAATCCTCATGTCCACCGCACTCTGCTCAGCCTTGGGCAGGTGCACTCATTTTCTGCTGCCACTGTGACAAAGCACCTCATGCGTCAGGACTCAGCACAATACAAATGTGTCCTCCTCCAGCCTGGGGACCAGAAGCCCAAAGTCAGCTTCACTGGCCTGAAATCAGGGCTCTGCGCCTTCTGGGGGAGACACTGTCATCCTTGGCTTCTCCAGCTTCCAAAGGCAGCCCACGTTCCGTGGCTGGCAGCCTGGTCTCCTGCCAGCCTCTGCTTCCATCTCCACATCGTCTGTGACTCTGCCTCTCCTCATTCATTCCCCTCTCACCTACTAGGACCAGTGAAGCACCTTGTCCACCTGCACAACATGGGGCTCCCCCAGCTCATGGTTCTCAGCCACACCTGCAACATCCCTGCTATCCCTGCTGCCCTGGGAGTTGATGTAGCCACAGGTCAAAGATTAGAATGTGGGCATCCTGGGGACATGATCCTTCCCACCCTAACAGCAGGACCCAATGCCGCCCAGCGCCCACCCTAACAGCAGGACCCAATGTCATCCAGCGCCCAACCTAACAGCAAGACCCGATGCCACCCAGCGCCCACCCTAACAGCAAGACCCAATGCTGTCCAGTGCCCACCCTGCAGCACAAGAGTCGGGAGCCTTCCTTCTCCAGCACCTGCCATCTCAGGCCTAACCCTGTGTCCAGGCTCTTCTGTGCACAGCCTTGTCAGGCAGCCTCCAGTCTGCGCCTCTCCCAGAAACAGTCAACACCGTGATCCTGCTCACAATCCGGGGCCGCTGCAGGATGTCAGAGACTCACTCCCACCGCAGCACTCAGGCCATGGTACACCTTCCAGTTGACCAGCTTCTTGCAGTCCCTTCCTGGAAACTGCCTCTTACCAGCTTTCCCAAGTCCCTTTCATGGGATCCAGGGAAACCTGCTTGTAAGAAACTTAATGCTCTCTCAAAAGTCGTGGTTTTCAAAGATATTTCAGTACAAGAACCTCTCCTTTTTCGAGGCCTGTACCCTCCTTGCGGTGCCCCCTGCTGCCCTCCACCCCTGCTCTGAGGTGGTCCTTAGCACTGTCAATGAGACCCAAGCACTACAGAAGATTGGAAAACACCATTCTAAAGGATCGCGTCTTTGCAAGGAATAGATAATGCTAGTTTCTCGTGCGCCAATGTGCTTGGGAGTTAGAAATATACCTGCCTGCTAAACAACAGCAACATCTGATCCCAGGTGCCTGTGAGCCAGTTCCATCTGGAGAAGTCTGAAGGAAGGCTTGGCTGAAATCCTCATTGTTACATCAGCCTTGAACACCACGTGCTCTCCACATGCAGCACTCGACTCCCCGTCTGGTCACTAACCACGTGTGAGGGACATACAGGGCACACGTCTGCCGGGGGCCGAGTCCCACACAGCCAGGCCTGAGGCCTCTGCACGAGGACCCCTGAGGTCCCAACTGTGACCTCTGCACACACTGCTCAGCCTCACCGTGCCTCAGTTTCTTCATCTGTAAAATGTGAATTATTGTGAAAACTAGTGAGATATCCCCACAAACTTGTTAGCTAAGGTGTGACACATAAATTCAATAAAGACTAACTTCTCCATACCAGGGGCCACTCAGCTTGACACTAACACCAAATGCAGAGGCGGAGCCCCTGCCTCTGATGGACCAGAAGTGGTCAACACCACTGAAGGTCTGGCTGACTACCTTCCAAAGCCAGTCAAAGTCTACGATCAGTGTCATCACACGTGGATGGAGCTGTTTCTCAACAAAGACAATTTTAAGACATCAACATCATCTGCCCCTTAAAGATACCTTTATGGGAAACTTGCTCTTCGCTCTCAGGAGGAAGTCATGAGGTTATCTTGACCACAGCACACTGTGGTTGTCACCATGAAGATGTGAATTAGAAATGATGGATTGTGGCCTGGAATTGATGCTCAAAGAATGCAAAGGAGTGTTGCAAGTGACAAGCTACCCTGCAAAGCAAACCAAATTAACAGCTTTCTTTTCAATGTAACAAAGCCTTGAGCTAAAAATCCTTTGTTTATAAGACCACTCCAGGAAAATAATTTGCTAATAGGAATAGATTCCTCAGGGACCTCACAGCTGTGATTCAAACCTCCACAAAAATAGCTATAGCTATAAATCAGTTATTAGCAACATAGGAATGGTCAGAAACCATTATTCCTCACAGTTGGTCTCCATTTTTTCCAGCTGGATTTAAGGAATTTTTAAAGAAGGCTGTTATTTGAGCTGTAATTGTCAACCTCACCATCTTTAAATAAATAGTCATAGAGAAAGTACAATGGTCAACGACTTAGTATCTCCAAAGTGAGCAGAAAACTTGTCATCAGAGCTCACCAAGTATTTCAGTGTTCACACAGTGGTGAAGGAGGATGAGGATGTCTAAGCAGGAATCCTAAAGCATTCTTCACTCTCAGTATCTCTCTCTCTCTCTCTCTCTCTCTCTCTGTGCCCCAACCCACCATTACCACCACTAAGTTATTATTTCTTTTTATTGACTAGGTCATACACACACAAGGTATCAAATGGTACCAACGAATCCAAGTAAATAGTTTTCTCCTCACCACCTCAACCTCACTCACCCATGGCCCCCTCCAGAAGTAACCATCATTGCCAATTTATCAAGAATATGCATAAAAGAAGTGTTTTCTCAAACCAAAATGGTTAGCATACCATACCACCACATGTATTTTTCTTTCTTATTTTGAAAATATTTTCACATGCATGTATGTAGAACTTTTTCATATTTTTAACAGCTACACAGGGCATTCCTTAGGACAGCTGCACTATGAATTGCTTGTCTAGTGCTCTCTTCATGGACACTTGCATTGCCTCAATCATTTGCTCCTAAAAGCAATGACACGATGAATTAACTCTGTGCGCCATTTCTCATGGTTTTAAATATGTGTATGTGATAAATTCCTGTACATAGACTGGCTGGGTGAAAGACTATGCAAATTTGTGATTTTGTCAGACATTAACAAATTGCTCTCCATAGACAGTGTACCAATTTATACTATTACCAGCAATGAATAAGCCTGCCTGTCTCCGCCCTCTTAACAAACCATTATGTTAGCAAATTTTTGGTCTTTGCATATCTAATAGAAGAAAAAAAAATCTCAGTATAATTTTAATGCATTTCTCCATTTATGAGTGAGGTTAAGTATCTGTTAACATGTTTAAGATTCATTTGTATTTCCCTTTCTATAAAGTGTTCGGAATATTTTTCTATTGAGTTGCTAAAAATTTCTAATTTATTGGTGGATCTTCACATATTAAGAAAGTTAGCCCTATGTCTAGAATATAGATGGCAAATATTCTCCCCAACTTGTCATTCCTCTTTTAATTCTGTTGTGCATAATTTTCATTATTAAGAATTGTTTGATTTTAATGTAGTTGAATCACTTAATCTTTTATTTTCTATCTTCTAGGTTTGGTTTTGTACTTAGAAAGACCTACTGTAGCCCAAGATTTAGCAGGAAAAATACAAATTTTATCCTGAGTATTTTTACAGTTTTATATTATATCATTTAAATCCTTGGTCCATTTGATATTTATTTTGGTGGAGGGTAGGAGGTGGGATCTTGTTTTTTAAATTTATTTTTAAAAGAGTTCTGTTCAGTATCACAACATCACTTATGGAGTGGTCCATCTTTTTCTAACTTGAAATCACATATTTATCATCTAACAGTATGTATTTGAGACTATTTCTGGACTCTGTCTTCTATGCCATTGGTAGTCCTATCTACCCACATAACCGTATCACACAAGTGCCATGTGACATTATCATCTAGAATCTGGTAATGCTAGATTGCACTTATTTTCCCATATTTTCTAGTTATTTTTGCTAATTTTTCAATATAACTTCAGAATCTCCTAAAATATTCTGTGGGGGTTGTAACTGAGATTGCACTGAATTTAGGTTTGTTTAGGGAAAAGGGATTCATTTATGATAATGAATCTTCCCAACTAGGTATTATTTCCCACTTTTTCAATTCTTCTTTTATATCCCATAGTAGGTTTAAATTTTTAAACAGATAGGCCTTTAGTATTTTATCTCCTGGCATTGTTATTTTTAACTGTTGAAGTTACGAATGAGGTCTTTAGTCATTCTAAGTGGATATTCAAATATATCCCATTAGAATAATTAAATATCTATATGAATGGTATTAATTTCTATGTATTTTATATCCAGCCAGCTCACAAAATTCTCATGTTTGCAATAGCTTTCCAATTATTTCTCTTGGATTAATTAAATGGTTATATTTATGAAAATAGTGATCATTTTAACTCTTTCCAATCCCCAGGGCCCATTTCCCTCCCTTCTCTAGCTGGATTAGCTGGTGCTTCCAACAGAGCATTGAACATGATGACGACAGGCCCCCGGTTAGTATTTTCCTGCCTTTAGCGGAAATGCTTCCATGTTTCCCGCTTCACATGATGCCGGCTTTGAGTTGAAACATCTATGCCCAGTACTAGACACAGCTGATCCTGTAATGCAAGTGAAACAGAATCATCAAAGAGTTTCTAAATCATGTATAAATATTATTATTATTACTTTTTAGATGGAGTCTCGCTCTGTCGTCCAGACTGGAGCGCAGTGGCATAATCTCGGCTCACGGCAACCTCCGCCTCCCAGGTTCAAGCAGTTCTCCTGCCTCAGCCCCCATGAGTAGCTGGAACTACAGGCGCCCGCCATCACGACCAGCTAATTTTTGTATTTTTAGTAGAGATGGGGTTTCCCCATGTTAGCCAGGCTGGTCTTGAACTCGTGACCTCAGGTGGTCCGCCTGCCTCAGCCTCCCAAAGTGTTGAGATTACAGGCGTGAGTCACCGTGCCTGGCCTAGATATTGATATTAACAAGTGCTGTTTCAAGATCTATGGAGATTTTTATGAATATAGTGAATGATGTAAACAAATATCTTAATATGAAACTCCGAATATTGAATTTTGGATTTCTGAAATAAATCCCACTTTTAAGTGATATTGCTCTTTGAATATGTTACCAGATTCTGTTTTCTAATATTTTGCTTCAGGTATTTATTGCTTTTTTATGAGATTTGGTCTGTAGTTTTCCTTTTTCTGCTATTTCTGCAGTTTTGCTGTCAATGTTTGATCCATCGAAAGAATTCTAAAGTTATTCTTGCCACAGGATGATGCAATGGAAACATCAGTGCCCATTAAAGGGTTAATGGAATTCACTGTGAAAGCGAGCCTGGTGGACGTGTTCTGTTTCTCTATTTTGCTCTTTGATTGGCCCGTTTATATGTCCTGTATCTTCTGGAGTCGGCGTTGGTAATTCATATTTTCCAGAAAACTCAACTATTTCACTCAGGCTATCAATTGTATTTGCAGAGTTGAGCAGGAATCTCTTCCGAGCCTTCGAATGTTTTCTCTTTGGTTTATTCACATGCCCTTCTCCTTTTGGGCAGGAGTTGGTGGGGGTAGGGGGAAGATATTATAATGGGCCATTATTCCCCTTTTTAAATTTTCCCCCAAAAGAGTTACCTTTGAATGTACTTGTTTTACTTATTTTCTGTTAAAATTCCTTGATTTCTATTGTTGTCTTTAATTCTTTCCTTTTGCTTTCCTAAGGTGATTTTTTTTTACTTTTTGTTAAGTTTTTTAACTCTTTTCGTTGACTATTTAGTGTATTTTGTTCATTCTTATTAGTATAATTATTTAAAGTTATGAATTTTCCTCTGAGAACTGTTGCAGCTATATCTCATTAGTTGTAACACACAATTTCTTAAATTATTATTTTATTTCTGAGAGATTTTGAGATTTTCGGTTTTTTTCCCTTTTTTACTCAAGTGGTTTTATTTTAACATTATCAGGTATTGAGGGTTCTGTTTGTTTTATGATTTTGTGATGAATAACTGTTTTATGATTCTGTGGTCCATTTGTAGCTTCATTGCATCATGATCAGAGAATGCATTCTGAGCTATACTTTTTAATGAGTTTTTTTGTCTGCAGTCAATTTTTGCTTGTGACAGTTTAGTTGTCACCTATATAAAAAAGCTGCATTTCCTGTTTGTAGGTCAAAGCATCACATGGATCTCAGTGATATTTATCTTGATGCGCCCTATTTAAATTATCCATGTCTATACTTCATTCCACGATCTTGATTTGTCCCGAGATTGAGAAACTAGAAATCATGTCTCCTGTTACTCATGAGTTTCTATGAATTTCTCCTTGTATTTCCCATGGTTTTCATTTTCTGAATGTTAGTGGCTACTGTATGATGCGTAGATACTCATAAACTATGAGATCTTTTCATTACAATTTTTTTATTATAAAATAACTTTCTCTGTCTCCTTTCATACATTTTGTCTGAAGTCAGCCTTGTCTGAAAATGAAATGAAAATATTACTCCTTGTGTTCTCTTTGTATCTGTTTGCTTGAAGACCTTTGCCTGTCTTCTTCTTTTATTATTATTTGTAATGAAAAAAAAATTTGAGAGAGTCTCACAATGTTACCCAGGCTGGTCTCAAACTCCTGGGCTCAAGTGATCCTCCTGCCTCCGTCTCCCAAGTTGCTGGGGTTACAGTGTGCACCACTGTACCTGGATACTGTCTTTTAATTTCAATTTTTCTGAGTCACCCTGTTCCAGGTGTATATTCCACATAACTGGGTTTTGCTTTGTGATTTTCCTTTAAAAAAAAGCTTTTTGTTCTTTTAATAGTTATTTAGCCCATTTACAAATATAGTTGCAAAAGGTGTGCATGGTCTTATTACCATCATCATTTGTGACATGCTGTTTTCATCGCATTTTTTCTTTTACTATATATTCAGTTTACATTTTCTGTGTTTATGTATCATCACCCAGTTCTAGGTGAGGACACTGTTTTTCTCATTTAGCTTGTTACCTTGAAATAGAGCCTCCATGTACATGTGTGCATGTTGGACACTGTGCAACTTGAGGGAAGCTGAGCCCATGCCACTGACCCCAGCATATTGAAATCTGCTTCTGTTGCTTGTTTGCTTTCATACTCCAGGCTATACCACTTGTGGAATCCAAGTATTAACTTTCCTCTTCTCTTTCCCCTTCCACTCTCAAGTGTTGCTAGATAATTTCTGCAATTTCAGAGTCTGTAACATTTACAGGCACCAGCATTCCCACTTTCCTCTTCATCCTCCAGTCAAGTGAACCCACTGCCGATCTTTTGCCATCGTTTCTTCGTTGATTTCTTTAGGCTAGAATTCATCACAGCTGTCATTAAAATGGTTCATGAGAACTATATTAACTGAGGTCTTGCAAATTCAAAATATTGGTCTATTGCCTTTATATTTATTAGTTTGCCTGGGCACAAAATTATTAGCCCACACTTGTTTTCCTTGAGGACCTTGTAGTCGCTGCTCAATGGGTTTCTAGTGTAGACTTTTGCTTTGGAGAGGCCTGAAACTTGTCAGACATTTTTTTCTGAGGTATTTTGAGAGATCTTGGTTGCATTGTTATTATTATTTTTTGGCCTGGAGACCCAACCATTATTTCTTTGTCTTTGAAGTCCAATAACATTATTAAAGTGCCTTTCTGTGTTTTGATTGTTGCTGTGGTTTGAACATGTTCCCCAGAAGTTCATGTGTTGGGAGCTTGGTTGCTCTCACGGTAGTAGTACTGAGAGAGGCCTTTTGGAAGCATGTGGGTCATAATGGCTCTGCCCTCCTGAACGGATTAATGCTATTGTCACGGAACTGGGCTCCTGATAACAGATCAGTTCAGCCCCCATTTTCTCTGTCTCATGCATTCTCTCCAAGCGATGCCTTCAGCCATGGGAAAACCCTCACCAGAGGCTGCACTGTGCTCTTGAACTTCTCAGCCTCTAGGATCATGAGCCTAATAAACTTTTATTATTTATAAATTAACCAGTCTGTAGCATTCTGTCATAGCAGCAGAAAATGGACTAAGACAATGGTTATGCCTTTTTATACTGGGATAATCTGAAGTCTTGTGGGTTCATTTTATTCTTGGAAAGAGTTTTGGAATTCTATTTTAAAGTATATTTTATTATCTTTTTCTTCGAAAATGCATCTGTGCATATTTTATACCTATTTCCCATCTTCCATATCAACAATTTCTGACTATTCCTTTTTAATTCCATACCCACTTTCATTTCATGTTGGTCACTCTTCTTAGTCCCGTTTTCCATGTCCCCCCACACTTCAAGAAGTCTCAGTCTTATTTATGCTCCTTCTGGGGTGGCCTCGACTCTTGTGGTGACTTCACTTCCCCCATCTCTTTCCTGAACTCTAACTGTTATATCATTTTCTTTCCCTGGTCATAGAGGCTGTTAGACCTACCATCTCTTCTTCAGCCTCTTGTTTTGTGAAAATGATTGCTTCAGAACATTGAGTGTCTGTGTGTTTTGAGCCATGAAAATACATAAGGTCACAATTTTCATCAGCTCTATGACAGCATTTTTTGATGAACATTCTTTCATCATTTGCCATTTTAAAAATTCTTTCTTTCTTTTTCTTACATTCTGCTTTTTAGAGTATAAGACTACCTCCTTTTTTCTAAACCAAATATTTGCAGAAAATGTATGTCCATGAAAGACCAGGGCTGTGTTGCAGACTAACAGAAATTCTTATGGATAGGGCTGTGTGTGTGTGTGTGTGTGTGTGTGTGTGTGTGCGCATGCATGTAAGACAGAGAGTGTGTGTATTCTTTTAGTTCTTACTTCTCAGAGTTCAGCCACTGCAGGGCTGCTGGTAATCTGTAGCAACTTTCCTGCTCTGGTGCATCAGTAGACACTTTCTGCCAGCATGGCTTATTCATGAGAACTCCCCTCCCACCTCCCATGCCTTTTCAAGCCCAGCACCAGCTCCTACACTTGCTTCTCCTTGCTTCTCACCTTCTTGCAAGGTAACTGAGCTCTGCTGGGCTTGTCCGGGGTCTTTGACTGTGTATGTCTCCTCGTGATATATGTGGAGCCGTATTTTTATCTTCACAGCATTGGCAGTCCTTCCTCATATATTATTACGTAGGGTTATAGGTGTCTCCTGATCTCACAGAAGATGACATTTGTATTTCTGCCTCTCCATATTCTAGGCATTTTGTGTATTTTCTGAGAGGAATAAGCTGTCCTTACACCATCCTCATAGAATCCAGGAGTCTTAGACATGTCTCTTTATGTCTAAGAATTATAGCCAATCCCCTCGAATTCCTCATGGGACCTGGACTCAGCCTTACCTGGAACCATTCAGATCAGGCATGAGCCAGGTGAAAGAGCTCCTCACAGGACCTGGACGAAGCCTCACCCGGAACCGTGTAGATCAGGCATGAGCCAGGTGAAAGAGCTTTTTCCAGATGCTTTTCTTCCTGCTTTTATTTCTCACTCATTTATTCCTGCTGAAGATAATTTAGAGGAAAAAGAAAGCGTGAAAACTTGGAGTGGGAGAGAAACTAGAGGTCAGGAGAAAAAGCTTCAGCAAAACACCTTGAAAAAGATACAGAAATTATAGTTTTGTCAGGAAGAAAACAGGTGAGATGTGAAGGAGGGAACTGATGGGGCCCCTGGGCAAAACTCAGGCTGCGCAACCCACGGGGGGCAGAAGAGTCCAAGAAGCAGCTTGCGACATGTGAGGTTTGCTCATTATCCACCCTGACCTAAGGATGTTAACAAGGTTTACTCATGTTTTAATTAAATACCTGAACTCCCTCCATTTCCCAACACAGTGAGGTCAGGAGGAGATAGCATGTACCGTACAAGTCAACCTTTAGACAACTGACCTCAAAAGGAGTGGACTCCTATGACGCTGGGGCCACGTGGCCTTTGTCACGCACTCTCCGTCGCTCTGACGGCCCTCCCATCACGGTGCAGTCTTCAGAGCATCCTCCCTCCAAACATCGACGTCAGCTCTGCAGCCATCCCCGGCTTTATGGAGCAAGGAAGTCTAAGTCAGACCACTCGCGCCTGCTGAATTCTAGATCCTGGTTGTTTATACCCAGTAGAAGGTCCACAAACCACAGACTCTGAAGATGGTGTCTTGGTCATCCTGAGCTTCGTCTAGGGCAGGATTGAGGGAGCAACGCTGGCCGCGTTGAGCGCCTGCTTGCTCCAGGGGGTTTTGGGGATGTGGCTGTTGCTTTCACTGCTCCTTGACACCATGGTGCACAAGCAGAAGACACCTAATTGGTTTATTTAAAGCCGTGGTCAGAATAGTCTGCCGTCCATTCTGCTTCCGCACATGAGACACAGACTGTGCTAACTATTTTAGACAAGAGATTAAGATCTGGGCTCCAGAGGGCTGAGATTTCATCAGGTCACATATAGTCTGGCTTGAAATCAAATTGAAAAATCAATTTAAACTGAACAGAAAAGCATGTCCATAATGCTGGGGGAAAAACACAGAAACAAATTACTCTTTCTTTTTGTAAGCCATCTTGGACTGGCGAGCCTTGCTCCCCCATGGAGTTCTCGCCACCATCTTGGCAACTTGGTTGTGAAGTTTGGCAGTCACAGATTTTCTTTTTATTTTTTTTGCTGTTATTAATCTTTCATGTGTGGCATTAGTGCACAATATGTCTGACACCCTAACTGTGTTCTACAATTAGCCTCTGAGTGCCCATGCTAATAACACTGACATTAGCCATGTTCCTCTGAGTATTACACTGCAGTCACCTCCTGACTCGATATAGTGTTTATAATAAAAGACCTGGACCCAATAAATGCAGGGCTATGGTAGCCTAAGGTAAGAATGCAAAGATGTATTTCTTATTCCCAACATCCAACTGCCTTTGGGACTCAGTTAAACAATATTTTACTATTTTGACTACTATCAAATAGAATATTGTATTTTTCTCCTCTGTGAGAAATTTGCAAAACCTAGTTGAGTCTTTGATAGACAGGATATAAGCCTCATAAATATCACCTGAAATTGATTATACTATGAATCCACTGGGAGGAACAAGAGAATAATTGTTAATGCATTATTAGCTACTGGCAAAATACTATCTTTTACATTTTACTGCACAGATGACATGTCCTAGTGCATATAGTTACATTGTATTGGTTTCTGACAGCTTGGTAGCTATTTTCAAAGGCTTTCAGCTGGTGTTACCCCAGACTGCAAAGCAAAATGAGTAAGATAAGTGAAGGTTATGTGATGATGCTCCCTTGACCAGCAAACAGGAGCACCGTGCCACATCTCTCTACCAACCATCCACTGGTCAGCAAACACGGGCACAAGGCCATATCTCTCTACCAACCATCCACTGGTCAGCAAACGTGGGCACAATGCCATATCTCTCTACCAACCATCCACTGGTCAGCAAATGCAGGCACCACGCCACACCTCTCTACCAACCGTCCACTGGTCAGCAAATGCAGGTACCGTGCCACACCTCTCTACCAACCGTCCACTGGTCAGCAAATGCGGGTACCGCGCCACACCTCTCTACCAACCGTCCACTTGTCAGCAAACGCGGGTACCACACCACACCTCTCTACCAACCGTCCACTGGTCAGCAAACGTGGGCACTGTGCCACGCCTCTCTACCAACCATCCACTGGTCAGCAAACGTGGGCACCGTGCCACAACTCTCTACCAATCGGGACAGACCCATGAGCCACTGCGTCCTCGGGGGCCCCTACCCCTTGCCCTCCTCCATCGGCAGCACTCAACCCTGGCCCGCCCACCCTCAGCAGAATGGACCCAAGCAGCTCTCGCTCCATGTGCTGGCCTCCGTGAGGCCGGTTCCGTGTATAGAGTTGAGTGGCCACTGTGTTTGCTGTTTCCTGTCCTAGGTGAGCCACCTCCAGCACCCAGACCAGGCCTCACTGCTCAGACCAAAGCTTTGCCGTTGAAAAGGATCCCCAAGCCCAGTCATGTGTGAGGCCCTGCCACAGCTGACCATTTCCCTCCAGCACCTCTCTAGCTCCACGATGGGGAGCTTGCCCTTCACCCTGAGCCCGGGAGGCCTCCTGCTGAGCTGCCCTTCACCCCGAGCCCGGGAGGCCTCCTGCTGAGCTGCCCTTCACCCCGAGCCCGGGAGGCCTCCTGCTGAGCTGCCCTTCACCCCGAGCCCGGGAGGCCTCCTGCTGAGCTGCCCTTCACCCCGAGCCCGGGAGGCCTCCTGCTGAGCTGCCCTTCACCCCGAGCCCGGGAGGCCTCCTGCTGAGCTGCCCTTCACCCCGAGCCCGGGAGGCCTCCTGCTGAGCTGCCCTTCACCCCGAGCCCGGGAGGCCTCCTGCTGAGCTGACCCTCACCCCGAGCCCGGGAGGCCTCCTGCTGAGCTGCCCTTCACCCCGAGCCCGGGAGGCCTCCTGCTGAGCTGCCCTTCACCCCGAGCCCGGGAGGCCTCCTGCTGAGCTGCCCTTCACCCCGAGCCCGGGAGGCCTCTTGCTGAGCTGACCTTCACCCCGAGCCCGGGAGGCCTCCTGCTGAGCTGCCCTTCACCCCGAGCCCGGGAGGCCTCCTGCTGAGCTGCCCTTCACCCCGAGCCCGGGAGGCCTCCTGCTGAGCTGACCCTCACCCCGAGCCCGGGAGGCCTCTTGCTGAGCTGACCCTCACCCCGAGCCCGGGAGGCCTCCTGCTGAGCTGACCTTCACCCCGAGCCCGGGAGGCCTCCTGCTGAGCTGACCTCGCTTTTCTGCCAGGGTGGACTTCGAGGCCTCTCCCATTGCAACGCCCTCACCC
Source organism: Homo sapiens (assembly GCF_000001405.40). Taxonomy (NCBI): domain Eukaryota; kingdom Metazoa; phylum Chordata; class Mammalia; order Primates; family Hominidae; genus Homo; species Homo sapiens. The sequence continues at coordinate 78,754,577 of NC_000018.10, forward strand.
ACAGCCCTGTAAGCGGCTGTTTTCGGGGCCTGATCTGGTATGAATCCACAGTTCAAATCCTCAGCGGGCCAACTTTCACCTATGAAGACCCTCTAGACACACTGCAAAGGTTAGTCTGAATTTTCAAACAAGGAAATGGGTGTGAAGAGGACTGTGACCAACCACTGCGCCTCCACGCTGGTCAATAAAGGCAAACCTTCTTCTGAGATGTGGCTCTCCAGACACGCACCAGCCCTGTCCTGCCCCAGGTCACATGGGGTGAGAAGCCAGGCCAGTGGGCCAGTCCCAGGCCCTTGGGTGTGCCCGACACCAAAGCCAAGGTGCTGCGGCCTCTGCTTCATGATGGGCCTGGGTCGCTAGTGGTCAACACCTGGTGATCAGTACTTGGTGTCCAGTGGTCATTACCTGATGCCCAGAGGTCAGCACCTACCTCGTGCTAAGAGGTGAGCACCTGGAATCCAGCAGTCATTATCTGGTACCCAGTGGTCATTACCTGGTGTCCAGTGGTCATTACTTGGTGTCCAGTCGTCATTACCTGGTGCTCAGCGCTCATTACCTGGTGTCCAGCGGTCATTACGTGGTGCCCAGAGGTCATTACCTGGTGCCCAGAGGTCATTACCTGGTGTCCAGCAGTCATTATTTGGTGTCCAGAGGTCATTACCTGGTACCCAGTGGTCATTACCTGGTGTCCAGCAGTCATTATGTGGTGCCCAGAGGTCATTACCTGGTGTCCAGTGGTCATTACCTGATACCCGGTGGTCATTACCTGGTCTCCAGTGGTCATTACTTGGTGCCCAGAGGTCATTAGCTGGTACCCAGCAGTCATTACCTGGTACCCAGCGGTCATTACCTGGTGCCCAGTGGTCATTACCTGGAGCCCAGAGGTCATTACCTGGCACCCAGCAGTCATAACCTGGCACCCAGTGGCATCCAGCGGTCATTACCTGGTGCCCAGTGGTCATTACCTGGTACCCAGTGGTCATTACTTGGAGCCTAGAGGTCATTACCTGGCACCCAGCAGTCATAAACTGGTGCCCAGTGGTACCCAGTGGTCATTACCTGGTTTCCAGCGGTCATTACCTGGTGTCCAGTGGTCATTACCTGGTGCCCAGCGGTCATTACCTGGCATCCAGCAGTCATTACCTGGCACCCAGCAGTCATAACCTGGTGCCCAGTGGTACCCAGCGGTCATTACCTGGTGTCCAGCATCATTACCTGTTACCCAGTGGTCATTACCTGGTGCCCAGTGGTCATTACCTGGTGCCCAGTGGTCATTACCTGGAGCCCAGAGGTCATTACCTGACACCCAGCAGTCATAACCTGGTGCCCAGTGGTACCCAGCGGTCATTACCTGGTACCCAGTGGTCATTACCTGGTGTCCAGCAGTCATCACTTAGTGTCCAGAGGTCATTACCTGGTGCCCAGCCATCATCACTTGGTGTCCAGAAGTCATTACCTGATGTCCAGCGGTCATTACCTGGTGTCCAGTGGTCATTACGTGGTGCCCTGCAGTCATCACTTAGTGTCCAGTGGTCATTACCTGGTGCCCTGAAGTCATCACTTAGTGTCCAGAGGTCATTACCTGGTACCCAGTGGTCATCACCTTGCACCCACGGTCAGTTCCTGGTGCCTGGCTGTCATCTCCTGGTGCCCAGTGGTCATCAGTGGCCCTCAGGCTTCACAGCCATGGAGACTTTTGCCTGGGAATATTCTTCAGCATGGAGTTTTGTTAGCATATACTAAAAAATTCAAAAACAAAAAGCCCAGCTTGCTGTGAGCACCTTTTGTGAGCGTTCCATTTGAACAGAGTCCAAATATATTTAAAAACCGCAAATTCTATGCATTTTACAAATGACTTTTGTTGTTGTTGATGTTGAGCTTTTTTAATTTTCAGTAATGCCCAAGCATGTGGTTCCCTCTAGATGGTTTT